>NC_000008.11:37435860-37738890 GCF_000001405.40 Homo sapiens
TAATAATCACATTATGGAAATGGGGTATCCATCCCCTCAAGCATTTATCCCTTATGTTACAAACAATCTAATTATACTCTTTTAGTTATTTTTTAAATGTACAATTAAATTATTATTGATTATAGTCACCCTGTTGTGCTATCATATACTAGATCTTATTCATTCTTTGTAACTTTTTTGGTACCCATTAAGCAACCCCACCTCTTCCCCATCCCCACCCCCACTACCCTTCCCAGCATTTGGTAACAATCCTTCTGCTATTTCCATGAGTTCAATTGTTTCTGATTTTTAGATCCCACAAATAAGTGAGAACATGCGATATTTTTCTTTGTATGCCTGACTTATTTCACTTAGCATAATGACCTCCAGTTCCATCCATGTTGTTGCAAATGACAGGATCTTATTCTTTTTTATGGCCAAATAGTCCTCCATTGTGTATAAGTACCATATTTTCTTTATCCATTTCTCTGTTGATAGACACTTAGGTTGCTTCCAAATCTTGGTTATTGTGAACAATGCTGCAAAAAACATGAGGGTGCAGATATCTCTTCAATATACTGATTTCCTTTCTCTTGGGTACTACCCAGCAGTGGGATTGCTGGATCAAATGGTAGCTTATTTTTAGTTTTCTGAGGAACCTCCAAACTGTTCTCCATAGTGGTTGTACTAATTTATATTCCCACCAACAGTGTACAAGGGTTCCCTTTTCTCCACATTCTTACTAGTATTTGCTATTGCCTGTCTTTTGAATATAAGCCATTTTAACTGGAGTGAGACATCTCAATCTCATTGTAGTTTGGTTTGCATTTCTCTGATGATCAATGATGTTGAGCACCTGTTCATATGCCTGTCTGCCATTTGTATGTCTTCTTTTGAGAAATGTCTATGCAAATCTTTTGTCCATTTTTTTAATTGGATTATTAGATTTTTCCTATAGAGTTGCTTGAGCTCCTTATGTATTCTTGTTATTAATCTCTTGTTGGATGGGTAGTTTGCAAATATTTTCTCCAACAACTAATTTTGTTGATTGTTTTCTTTGCTGTGAAGAAGCTTTTTAACTTGATATGATCCCATTTGTTCATATTTGCTTTGATTGCCAGTGCTTATGGGGTATTACTCGAGAAATTTTTGCCCAGACCAGTGTCCTGGAGAATTTCCTTAAAGTTTTTTTTGTAGTAGTTTCATAGTTTGAGGTCTTAGATTCAAGTCTTTAATCCATTTTAGTTTGATTTTTTTAAATGGCGAGAGGTAGGGGTCTGCTTTCATTCTTCTACACATGGATATCCAATTTTCCCAGAACCATTTGTTAAAGAGACTGTCTTTTCCCCAGTGTATGTTCTTAGCACCTTTGCTGAAAATGAGTTTACTATAGGTGTGTGAATTTGTTTCTGCATTCTCTATTCTATATCATTGGTCTATGTGTCTAACAGTACTATGCTGTTTTGGTTATTATAGCTCTGTAGTATAATTTGAAGTCAGGTAATGTGATTCCTCCAGTTTTGTTCTTTTTGCTTAGAATGGCTTTGGCTATTCTGGGTCTTTTGTGGTTCCATGTCAATTTTGGGATTGTTTTTTCTATTTCTGTGAAGAATGTCTTTAGTATTTTGATAGGAATTGCATTGAATCTGTAGATTACTTTGGGTAGATGGATATTATAATTATATTGATTCTTCCAGTCAATGAACATCATCTTATATTAGGATGCTGAATTTTATCATGCTTTTTCAGCATCAATTTAAGTGATCATATGGATTTTGTCCTTCATTCTATTGATATGATGTATCACATTGATTAATTTGTGTATGTTAAACCATCCTTGCATCCCAGGGATAAATCCCACTTGGTCATGATGAATGATCTTTTAAATGTATCATTGAATTTGGTTTGCTATTAATAGTATTTTGTCGAGAATTTTTGCACCAATATTCATCAAGGATATTGACCTATAGTTTTCTTTTTTTAAATGTGTCTTTGTCTCTTTTTGGTTTCAAGGTAATGCTGGCCTCATAGAATAAGTTTGGAATATTCCCACTTCCTCTATTTTTCAGAATAATTTGGGTAGGATTGGTATTAGTTCTTTAAATGTTTGGTAGAATGCAGCAGTGTATCTACCATCAAGTCCTGGGCTTTTCTCTCCAGGGAGACTTTTATCATGGCTTTCATCTTTTTACTTGTTATTGGTCTGTGCACGTTTTGGATTTCTTTATGGTCAATCTTGGTAAGTTGTATGTGTCCAGGAATTTGTCCATTTCTTCTAGATTTTCCAATTTATTGGCATACAGTTGTTCATGGCAGCCACTAATGAGCCTTTGAATTTCTGCAGTATCAGGTGTAATGTCTCCTTTTTCATCTCTGATTTTATTTATCTGGATCTTTTCTCTTTTTTCTTAGTCTGCCTAAAGGTTTGTCAATCTTGTTTAACTTTTCGAAAAACCAACTTTTTGTTTCATTAATCTTTTGCATTGTTTTCTTCTTTTCAATTTATTTATTCTCTAGTCTCTATTATTTCTTTTCTTCCACTAATTTTGAGTTTGGCTTGCTCTTGCTTTTAGTCTTTAAGGTGCATTATTAGGTTATTTATTTGAGGTTTTTTATTTTTTTTGATGTAGGCACTTATAGCTATAAGCTTTTCTCTTAGTACTGCTTTTACTGTATCACATAGGTTTTGGTATGTTGCATTTTCTATTATTATTTGTTCCAAGAAATTTTTCAATTTCCTTCTTAATTTCTTCTTTGACCCACTGGTCATTCAGGAGTATATTGTTTAATTTCCATGTGTTTGTATAGTTTCCAAAATTATTCTTATTATTGATTTCTAGTTTTATTCCATCGTGGTCAGAGAAGATGCTGGATATTATTGCAAATTTTTAAAATGTTTTAAGACTTGTTTTGTGACCTAACATATGGTCTATCCTTGAGCATGATCTCTATGTGCTGAGAAAAAGAATGTTTATTCTGCAGCTGTTGAATGAAATGTTCTGTATAATATCTATTAGGTCTACTTTGTATATAATGCAGATTAAATCTCATATTTCTTTGTAGATTTTCTGTCTAGAAGATCTGTCCAATGCTGAAAGTGGAGTGTGAAAGTCTCCAGCTATTATTGTATTAGAGTCTGTCTCTCTCTTTAGCTCTAATAATATTTACTTTATATGTCTAGGTGCTCCAGTGTTGGGTGCATATATATTTTAAATTATTACATCCTCTTACTGAATTGACCCCTTTATCATTATATAGTTACCTTCTTTGTCTCTTCTTATAGTTTCCATCTTGAAAGCTATTTTGTCTGATAGAAGTAAGTATAGCAACTCATGCTCTTTTTCATTGCCATTGGCATGGAATATTTTTTTCCATCCCTTTATTTTCAGTCTGTGTGTCTTTATAGGTGAAGTGTGTTTCTTGCAGGCAACAGATCAATGGGTCTTGGGTTTTTTATTGGTGGTGGTGGGTTTTTTTGTTTTGTTTTTTGGGTTTTTGTTTTTTGTTTTTTGTTTTTGTCCATTCAGCCACTCTATATCTTTTGATTGGAGTATTTAGACTATTTACATTCAATGTTATTATTGATAAGTAAGGACTCAGTCCTGCCATCTTGTTATTTGTTTTCTGGCTATTTTGTGGTCTTCTCTTCCTTATTTCTGTCATTCCTGGCTTCCTTTTAGTGAAGGTAATTTTCTCTGCTGATATGATTTAGTTTCTTGTGTTTTTTATTTTTATCTGTTGTATGTTTTTTTGTTTGAGGGTAACTTGAGGCTTGTAAATACTATCTTATAGCCCATTATTTTAGGCTGATAACAACACTGTTTGCATAAACAAACAAACAAACTAATAAAGATGCTATGCCTTAACTTTGTCTCACCCCCCACTTTTTTAACTTGTTATTGCTTCTATTTATGTCTTATTGTACTGTCTATGTCTTGAAAAGTCATTGTAGTTAATATCTTTAATTGGTTCATCATTTAGCCTTTCTATTTAAGATGAGAACAGTTTACACATCACAGTTACAATGTTATAATATTGTGTTTTTCTATGTACTTACTATTACCAGTGAGTTTTATACCTTCAGATGATTTCTTACTGTTCATTAATGTCCTTTTCTTTCCAATTGAAGTACTCCCCTTAGCATTTCTTGTAGCACAGTTCTGGTGTTGATGAAATCCCTCAGCTTTTGTTTGTCTGGGAAAGTATTTCTCCTTCATATTTGAAGGATATTTCCATTGAATATACTGTTCTAGGGTGAAATATTTTTGCCTTCAGCACTTTAAATATGTCATACCACTTTCTCTTGGCCTGTATGGTTTCCACTGAAAACTCTGCTGCCAGACATATTGGATCATCATTATATGTTATTCGTTTCTCTTCTCTTGCTGATTTTAGGACATTTTATTTATCCTTGACCTTTAGGAGTTTAATTATTACATGCTTTGAGGTGGTCTCCTTTGGGTTAAATCTGCTTGGTGTTCTATAACCTTCTTGTACCTGGATATTGATAACTTCCTCTAGGTTTGGGAAGTTCTCTGTTATTATCTCTTTGAATAAATTTTCTACCCCCATATCTTTCTCTACCTCTTCTTTAAGGCCAATAACTCTTAGATTTGTCCTTTTGAGACTATTTTCTATATCCTGTAGGCATGCTTCATTGTTTTTTATGATTTGTTCTTTTGTCTCCTCTGACTGTGTATTTTCAAATAACTTGTCTTCAAGCTCACTAATTCTTCCTTATGCTTGATCAATTCTGCTATTTAAAAAACTCTGATGCATTCTTTGGTGTTCTAATTGCATTTTTCGGCTTGAGAATTTATGCTTGATTCATTTCAATTATTTTAATCTCTTTGTTAAATGTATCTGATAGAATTCTAAATTCCTTCTCTGTGTTATCTCAAATTTCTTTGAGTTTCCTCAAAGCAGCTGTTTTAATTTTTTTCTGTCTGAAAAGTCTGTTATCTCTTTTTTTCTAGGATTGATCCCTGGTGCCTTATTTAGTTCATTTTGTGAGCTCACGTTTTCCTGGATGGTCTTGATACCTGTAGCTGTCCATCTTTGTCTGGGCATTGAAGATTTAGATATTTATTGTAGTCTTTGCAGCCTGGGTTTGTTTGTACCCATCCTTCTTGGGAAAGTTTAGATACTTGGAAGGACTTGGGTGTTGTCATCTGAGCTGTGTCTGCTTTAGGGGACACCCTAAGCCCAGTAATACTGTGATTCTTTCAGCCTCATAGAGATACTGCCATGATGGTCTTAGACAAGATCTGGAAGAGTTCTAGTTTGAACCAGTTTTGCTTTCTGCTACAGTAGTGCAGCACTGGGTTCAATGCCTCATAATTGCTGCACTCTCCCGCTCCCCGGCACATAGAAATGCTCTCTACACCACACCACTGCTGCCTGGGGATGGGGGAGGGGTGGCATCTGTGATTCAAGCCTGTTTTTCTGACCTCTTTAGTGCCTCTTTCAGTGAATGAAGTTAAAACCATGTACTGTGAATGCTTACCTGATTTTTGGTTTTTATGAAGTTGCTTTTTTTGTGTAGATAGCTGTTAAATTGGTGTCCTTCTGGGACAGACAATTGGTTGAGGCTTCTGTTCTACCATCTTGCTCTGCCCCCTCCTTCCAGATTTAATCTTTATCAAGATTGTTCCCGTACATTGAAAGAGATTCTTCTAGGGTCTCTGTAGAAGCACCTTAGTCGTCTGAACATTGAGATGAAAGTTTAAAGACTTGATCTCATTGTCATCTGTTTCAAGTTCTCCAGTGTATTTAGAAGCAGCCATTGCATACCAGGATTCTTGTAGACATTACTATTATTGCCATATTCATCAACTACCGTAGCTATTTGGTTCCCAAAGCATTGGTACAATAAGTAGTTACCACAAGCAATCATAGGTGACAATTTGTCATGTTACCACTGCATGCTATGAATTAGCAGTAGCTCATTTGCCATTGGCAAGGAGTTCAGCATTGTGTTCAAGGGTCCAAAGAAAACTAAACTAAGTCCATACAGTTTTGAGGGTCTTTTTCCTGTGACTACTTCCATTCTCAAGTATTGTACCAGTCAATGTCCAATCAGGAAAATAGACCATGGTAGGTATATCAGTAGAAAAAAATACAGACCATTGGTTATACAAGTATTGAAGGGCTAATGAAGAAAAAAAACAGTGAACTATCATAGAGATAATAACTATAGAAAAACAGCTACTACAGCAAAAGCTGAAGGAAAAAGAGAAGAGTTTAAGGTTACCAGAACTAAAAGCTTAAAGTATAAATCTCAAGATGCAGGGCTTATACTACGGAGGACAGGGCATACTTGATTGCTGCTAGTTCCTTAAGAGTTCATAAGAGGAAGCCCAGAGAGCTGAGACTTATGCCTCAGAAGAGGGGTCATTGCCTAGCTGCTGGTGGTACCTCTGATGGGTCATAATGAGCTGGTTTAGGAATGCTGAAAGAAGCTGAAGGATAGAACTAATTGCTGCATCCAGGGTGAAATATTCTCAATGAGCATTATGGATAAGTACAGAAGCAAATAAGAAAGCAGAAGTACCTTCTTCCCTCCTGTCTTCCATCTCCTTCTAGAGTCCCCAACTGCAGAACCCACCAGGAGGCCAGACAATAAAGGAGAAAGATTGTTTGCAGACTCCCAGCACTGGCAGCACAGAGCAGAAGCTACAAGGATGTACTTGAAAATAAAAGGCAAGAGCCTAATAACCAGTACAAATATGTCTTACAAAAACTGAAACAAGAAAGGTAGAAAATGTATGTTTTGATCATTAAATTTTTCACGAAAGAGGACTCAAAAATCTTTCTCCAGTCTAGGCACGGTGGATCACACCTGCAATCCCAGCACTTTGCGAGGCTGAGGAGGACAGATTGCTTGAGCCCAGGAGTTTCAGACCACCCTGAAAATATGGTGAAACCCTGTCTCTATAATAAATACAAAAAATTAGGCAGGCGTGGTGGTGTGCCTGTGGTCCCAGCTACCTGGGAGACTAAAATGGGAGGATCATCTGAGCCCTGGAAGTCGAGGCTACAGTGAGCTGTGGTTGTGCCACTGCACTCCAGCCCGGGTGACAATGCAAGAGCCTTTCAAAAAAAAAAAAAAAAAAACAGTGCCTCACCTCACATCTGTAATCCCAGGACTTCGGAAGCCTGAGGTGGGCAGATCAAGAGGTCAGGAGTTCAAGATCAGCCTGACCAATATGGTGAAACCCCGTCTTTACTAAAAATACAAAAATTAGCCTGGCGTGGTGGTGTGCACCTGGAGTCCCAGCTACTCTGGAGGCTGAGGCAGGAGAATTGCTCAAACCTGGGAGGCGGAGGTTGCAGTGAGCCAAGATTGCACCACTGCACTCCAGCCTGGGTGACAGAGCAAGACTCCGTTTCAAGAAAAAAAACTCTTTCACCATCGCAGCCTATCAAAGACAAATGGCTTCTCCAAGAGGTTCTACCAATTATTCAAGAGGGAGAAAATAATTTCAATCATACACAACCTCTACCTAACAGACAACATGAGGTTAGCATTACCTTTATATCAAACTCAACAAGGATAGATATTCTAATCCCACTCATAAACATAGATGCAAAAATCGTAAACAAAATACTAGCAAAATGAATGCAGCAATATATAAAAAAGGATAATAAATCTTACCAAATTGGATTTATTGCAAGAATGTAAAGTTGATTACGTTAGTAAATAAATTGTTGTAATCTTACATACTAAGATATTAGAGAAAACAACATTTGAACATTTCAATACATGAAGAAAAAAGCTTGATATAATTTAATATCCATTCATATATTTTTAAAAAATACTTCTAGTGCTAAGAAATAGAAGTAATTTACCTAGCATGATAAATTTTATCTATTTAAAAATTATAGAAAATATAATATTCAATAAACTTTGAAAGCTTTCCTTCTGACACATGAAACAAATCTACCTCCATTTCTTCTCAACCCTTTACTAGAGATGCCAGTCCATGCAGTAAGACAAAACACAGAAATAAAAGGGATATTGAATGAAAAAGAAGAAATAATACTGTCATTATACACCAATAATATAATTGTACACATTAAAAATCTAGAAGAATCTACAAGTGAATTATTTGAATTTGTAAAAACATTTCAAGATAGATAGACAGATATACTAAGTACCACTCTATGATAAGACAGAGTAATCTGTATTGAACTAACACTCTCACAGATAATATGTATAATATGTATATTTTTTAAACAACTATTTGGAAGTACTGAAGATCAACAAAAAGCAGTCAGAAACTGGTGAAGAGTCAAATATGAAAGAGAGAAACTGTCCAGGATATGTATTTGCCCAAGGATACTCTATGGCGCACATGGCGTGAGTCAGCTAGGACTCAAACAGAAAGGTTATGGCTTACTAGCTTAAGGAGCCAAAAAAATGGGCAGTCAAAAATAACCAGAGCAGCTGCGTAGTAAGAGGTGAAATCCTGGAGAAGAGTAAGTAATGAAGAGGGCCCCCGAATTGATGTATAATTTCACCCAAAACCCTGACCAACTCCTGAACTGCACATATGTCAGGGAGATCCGGAGAACAATGGGAAACAACAACCATAAGGCTAGGCTGAAAGAACAAGCAAGGATTTAAACTATTGCCTATTCCAGGAAGGTGGTTTAAAGCTGAGCCCAGCCAAGTTAACTACTTGCTGAAATAAAAATTAACATTCTTCAGAAAAAGATAACAAAATCCAGAATCTCTATGTCTTATCAGCAATGTCTGGTATATGTAAAATATTATTATATATGGGGGATAATTTAAAAAATGTAACCTAGAGTCAAGAAAAAAAAATTTAATGTTGTCTATAGAAACCAACCACCAGATGACCCAGATGTTAGCATTAGCAGACAAGAACTTAAAGAAACCATTAAAAATACGTTCAAGGACTTTAAGAAATTAATGTCATAATGAACAAATAGATAGGAATCTCAACAGAGAAATGAAAACTATAGAAAAGGTCCAAATGAGAATTTTAGAATTGAAAATTGCAATATCTGAAATGAAAAGATGATTAGATAGACTTAAAAGCACATTGGAGACAATGAAAGATGAGGCCAGCAAGCTTGCTGGTAACTCATTAGAAACTATCCAATTTGGACAAAAAGAAGGAAAAGTCTTCTAAGGAAGGAACAGAACCTCAATCACCTGCAGGACAATGTTAAGATATCTAACATATGGATAATTAGAGTTCCAGAAGGCAAGGAGAGAAAGAATGGGGAAACATAAATATTCAAAGACATATGGTAAAATTTTTCCAAATTTATGTGAAAAACATAAGGATCTAAGGAGTTCAGCAAACCCTTGGAAGGTTAGTTACAATGAAAACCACATGTTGACAAGTTATAATAAAACTGTTGAAAACTAATGATAAATAGATAATATTGAAAGCAGTCAGAGGAAAATGGTATATTACGTACAGAGAACCAACAATAGAAATTACGGCTGAGCGTCATGTAAAAAAAAAAAAAAAAAAAAAAAAAAACAGTGAAAGCCAGAAGACAGTGGAAAGATATATTTAAAGCTCCAAAAGGAAAAGAAAAACTATCATCCCAAAATTCTATATCAAATGAAAATGTATTTCAAAAATGATGGTTTGGATCAAAGAAAACTTCCACATATATGCACATTTAATATATGATAAAGGTGTCACTGCAGATTAATGAGAAAGCAATATATTTGTCAATAAATGATCTGAAGAACTACATATACATTTGGTGGAAAAAAAGAAATTGGATCCCTAACTCACACCATACACAAAAACCAATTCAGGATGGATTAAAGACCTAAGTATAAAAAGCAAAGCAATAGAGAGTTTCACACAGGATATAAAACCATCAGTCCCAAACTACTCACTGAGGTTCCCCCAGGACATCGTGTTGAACTCACAGCGGTGCCATGGGATATTTTAAATTTTTGAAGAAAACACAGGGATCCTTGACCCCTGTCAGACACTGAATAAATGATTAGCTCTAGACAGTTTCAATATTAAATCGAGCAACGGTCCCCTCAATGGCATTAAGTCTTTGCAAAATTAGGCTTTCAGCAGTTGCTATAATAAGAAACAAACATCCCATAAAAATCAATATGAAATAGGAAATCAGAATGGTAATATCCAGTCATATTCTAAAACTTGAGAAGTTGTACATCCCCTTAGTAAGTAAATGCAATCATTTAAGGATGAAAAAATTCATTGTTTTTCTTTCAATCAATTTGTATTATTTTTTCAAATGACTACCAAGTTGTTAGAAGATAAATGCTTATTAAGTTGCTTGGAACTAACTACCTAATAAATGGAAATTTTGGGTATTTCTTTTGGCCTAGGCCTTCCATGAAAAAATAACTGACACACAAGGGTATCATGAACTGAGAAAGTTGAGAAGCTCTGATATCGGAGAATATATATGTGACCTCAGGGTGGGAAAGAATTTCTTAAACAGGGGACAGAAAGTACTAATCATGAAAGAACTAAAACATAAATTAAAATTCCTTAAAATTAAGAACTTCTATTCACTAAATGACATCATAAAGATATTAAAAAGGCAAGTCGCAGAGTGGGAAAAAATATAAATCATGAATAAAACTGACAAAAGACTCTCTCCAGAATATATAACAATTCCTAAAAATCAGTAAGGGAAAGAAAACTTTACAGAAAACGGGCAAAAGGCTTAGACACATCATAAAATAGGAAATCTATATGACAAATAAACATGAAAAGTGCTCCTTTTCATCAGAAATCAGGAAAATACAAATTCAAACCACAATAAGAAATATAAAACTATAAAATTTCTAGAAGAAAACATAAGAAAAAGTCTTCATAATTTGGGGTAAGTGAATAACTTTTAGATAAGGCACAAAAAACTCAAAGCATAAAAAAATGATAAATTGGTCTTTATCAAAATTTAAAACTTTTTTTTTCTTTTCTTTTTTTTTTTTTTTTTTTGGTAGAGATGGGGCTTCACCATGTTGCCCAGGTTGGTCTCAAACTCCTGGCCTCAAGAAATTCTCCTGCCTCAGTATCCCAAAATGCTGGGATTATAGACATGAGCCATCATGTAAGGGAAAAACTTCTCTTCAAAAGACACTCTTAAGAAAATAAAACTACAAGCCATGGACTGGAAGAAACTATTTGCAAAATACATATCTGATAAAGAATTTGTATCCAGAATATATAAAGAATTTTTATCAATTCTAAGTAAACAATTCAATTTAAAAATGGGTAAAAGATTTAAACAGATACTTTACCAAAGAAGACATACAAATGGCCAATAAGCAAATGAAAAGATGCTCGACATCATTAGCCACCATTTTGCATTATTTAAATGTAAATTAAAATATGAGCTACCACTGCACAAAGGCACACACACACAAGAATAGCTAAAAATTTAAAAGACTGACAATACCAAGCATTGGAAAGAATGTGAAGCAACCAGAACCCTCACAGACTGCTGATATGTAAAATTTAAAATGATAAAATAAAAAAAAAACACTTTGGAAAACCACTGGTGATTTCTTATTAAGTTAAAATTACACCCTATGACCCAGCAATGCCACTCCTACACATTTATTAAAGAGTAATGAAAAATATATCAACAAAAAGACTCACTGTATGCTTTAGAAGCTTTGTTCATCATTACCCAAAACTGGAATCATTCCAAAAGCCCAACAACAAGAGAATGGATAAACTGATTTGTGTATGCAATGAAATACAACTCTGCAATGAAAAGGAACAAACTGCCAATCCATGCAGCAATATGGATGCATCTCAAAAGCAGTCCACTAAGTGAAAGAAACAAGACACAAAAGAGTGTGTTCTAGTTGGTTCCACCGGAAGAAAAGGCAAAGCTATAGTGACAGAAAGCAGATCAGTGACAGGAGCAGGGGACTGACTGCAAAGAGGCATGAAGGAACTTTTTGGGCGATATAAATGCATCTGATTATGGTGGTGACTGTATGACAGCATACAGTTGTGAAAACTCATCCAACTGTGCACTTCAAAAGGGGGATTATTTTACTGTTTTTCGTCTATACCTCAATAATTGTAAAGGCTTAAAATATTTAATTAAGGATTTAATTTTTAAATTTTTAATTAAGGAAAAAACCACAATGAGCTACCCTTAAATACCCACCAGATTAGCGATACATTTTTAAAGTCTGTTGATATCAAACACTGGCAAGGATAGAGTCCAGTAACCGTTGCAGTTTGAGTTCCCAGGAAGCAAGCTCTGAGACAGAGTTTGGTGTAGGAAGTGTTTATTAGGGATCAGCTCCTATGAAAGGAGGGGAGGAGCAGGAAGAGGCAGAGGAGCCCAGATAGACCACACTCCGGAGCCAGTGCTGCCCATCAGAATCATCCCACAGTGGTACACAGTGGCCAAGCCTTCCCACCTCCACCCCACACAGCCGTGACAATGACAATTCGAATATGTATGTCTTAGAAGCTTTGTTCTTCATTACCAAAAACTGGAAACAGTCCAAAAGCCGATCAACAAGAGAATGGATAAACTGTGATTTGTGTATGCAATGGAATACTACTTCAATGAAAAGGAACAAATTGTCAGGCTGTCCCAGGCAGGGCAAGACCCTGGGAAAGGCTGCTCTGCAGTGGAGGTAGGCTCTGCAGGAGCTGAGTTGGGCAGCAAGTCTTTCTGGAAGGGAAATCTGCACAGCACACCTTTGGGTGTACCACGGAAACATGCCTACTCTGCTGATGGCATTGTAATGTAACACAAGCATTTTGGACCCCAGTTTGGTAAAGGTGAGGATGCATGTGACCTATTACTCAGCATTCTGCTCCTAGGTATGCATCCTAGTGAAATGCAAGCCCATGTACACTGAGATAAATATTCATCACAGTACTGTCCATAAGGGCCCCAAACTGGAAACAGCTCAAAAGTTCATCAGTGATAGAACACATTACATAAATTATGGTACATTTATATCATGGAATAATCAATAAAGAAGCACAGGTCAATAAAAGTACATCTACATATACATATAAAATGTACAGAACTTTATGGATCAGTAAAAAATGAACTAGCTACACCAGTAAGCAAAAACATGGATAAATCACATTAACATAACATTGAGCAAAAAAAAAAAAAAGGCACAAAAGTGTACATATAGGATGATGTCACCCATGTATAGATTTAAAATGGGCAAACCATATGGTTTGGAAATGAATATATAAATTAGAAATCTATGAGGAAAAGCAATGGAATGATTTGCACAGAAATCAGAAGAGTGGTTACTTTGGAGGGAGTGGGTGTTCTGATTCGGGTCATAGCTCCAGGTAAAACCACCCATTTTAGCCATCCCTGGGTGTCCACTTTCTGAATATGAATCAAGCCACCTATATAGGTTTGGAGTATTTTTATTTGCATTTATTTCCCAAAAAGAAGGAGACATGTCACATATGTAATTGTTAGAGGAACTGGGCATGTTTAGCCTGAAAAAAAGAGAAGGCTTAGGGGCCATATAACGGTTGTCAATTACCTAGAGAAAAGAAAGTACACTTACCACCTGCTTCTCCACAGGGCACAGCTCAAACCTTGGAGAGAGAATTTTTTTTTGTTGTTTTGGTTTTACGTTTGTAGAGATGGGATCTTGCTATGTTGCCCAGGCTTGTCTCAAACTCCTGGCCTCAAGCTATCCTCCCACCTCAGCCTCCCAAAGTGCCGGGATTACAGGTGTGAGCCATCGCACCCACTCATTTTTTTTAAAAGTGTCTGATGATCCAAATACAGGAAATGGTACTCCAAGCTCAGCAGTCCATCCACTGGCCTGTTTCATCTGAGGCTGAAGTTAAGTTTAGTGGCTTCAACCTCTCTTCCAGTTCTGCAGCCTCAAGGTACAAAGAACTAGCCTGGAAGAGGATGGGCTGATGGGAGTCAGGAAGCCGTTCCACATATAACAGCAAAGAATGAAGGAGGACATGTTTTTGTTTTTGGATTTTGGAGGTTTTTTTTAGACAGAGTCTTGTTCTGTCGCCCAGGCTGGAGTGCAGTGGCTTGATCTCGGCTCACTGCAACCTCTGCCTCCCAGGTTCAAGCGATTCTTCTGCCTCAGCCTCCCGAGTAGCTGAGACAGATGCATGTCACCACCCCTGGCTAACTTTTGTATTTTTTGTAGAGGTGGGGTTTCACCATGTTGCCCAGGCTGGTCTTGAATTCCTGACCTCAAGTGATCCACCCACCTCAGCCTCCCAAATTGCTGGGATTACAGGCGTGTTTATTTTTTAAAATAAATGTCAGTTAATGGGCCCTTACCGTGTGAGCTCCACCCACCTGGCCATTTCTATCTGGGAAACTCCTGTTGCATTCAGTTAGGCAGTGTGCAGCTCCCAGGTGAACATGTTCTGCTACAGTCCTTCAGGCCAGGCCCTCAGGAGGCCCAGCATCTCCCTCAGAATAAGAACAGTCCTGGGGCTGCTGACTGTGGTTCCCAGCCACCCTGAAGTCCACCAGAGACAGTGCAGGGTCTTGTCTTCCAAGAACTGCCCAGGTGGATGCCCTCCCGGAAAGATGAAGAGCATTGACGCAAGGCAGGGGGTGCCAGTGCCACCGTTCCCGATGGTCACAAGGACAGGCCATGGGTTCACGGGCGTTGTCTCTTTTTTGGTTGTTTCGTGTGCCAGTGCTTTATTAGGGAATGCCGTCTCAGGAAAGCAGGAGTGGGAGAAAAGGAAGGAGCTGGGAAGAAGGGAGAGTCAGGAGAAGAGGGGACCCTGGCTGAGTGGGGCACGGCTTTATGGAAACTGATTGCTTGGTGTCAAAGGATATCTTCAAAGAGGCCGAGGGAAGCCACTCCATCTTCAAAGAGTCCACGCAGGGGAGAAAAGGAGAACAATTTACCCACTGGTGGCCGTCTCCTATTGGTCAAAGTATGTTCCCCGCCCAGGGTGTTAACCCCAGTGTGCTTCAAGGATGCACGTGCCCAAGTGCTAAGTGGGAGCCGCAGTGTTCACTTCATGCCTAAACAGCAACAGAAAACTCCAGGGTAAGAGGCAAAGGACAAGATGCATGGGCAAGAGCAAGGCATGTGTGCATCTGTTGTACTCAGGGACCCTGTGAGGAACTAGAAGAAGCCACGACAGCAGGCTCCTCGGGCAGCTGTGGCTCCAGCAGCAGCAGCAGAAGCAGCAATGGAAGCCAGCTCCAGGCTTCAAAGATCAGCACAGGCATTTTCCAGGGCCCCTCTGGCAGGACAAGTGTTCCCTCCCACTGTGATGCAGAGACAGCAGGAACTGCATGCAGCCCACAGCCCAAGCCAGGAGTCACCCTTGACTTTCTCCTTTCCGGGCTCCACATCCTTTAGTGTCTACATTATCTCATTTAAACAATCAAGCTCAATTTAAGCCTTCAACCCACATTGCTACAATCACCATGACTCAGAAGATTAATCCACCCACGTTTACCATTAGCAATGAGAGACTGTTCTGGCAGAAGGTGAGCTCACCTCAGTTTGGACAGGCTGCAGGGTGTGGGTACAAGTGATCAGGTTCTTATTCCAGACTAAGTGGAGGAGCCTGCTGTCTCCCACTGCCAGTCACCTTTCATTTCTTTGTCTGCCATCTCCCTTGCTTATAAATGATAACCTTTCCCACTGATCCCCAGGTAATAAGTAGCATTAAATTTGCCTCTCCTATGGATGAGACATGGAACTGGAAGTTTTGCCGACTTATTTAATTTATTCATCTTATCACCGTTTTACTGATAAGCAAAGCAAAGCTCGGAGTATTGAGGTAGACTACACAAGGTCACACAGCTATTTAGTAAAAAAGAGCAAGAAAGAACTCATACCACCTCAGATAACCAACTGAGTTCTCCTCCAACCTTCCACTTTTACGCCAAGGCCTTCCTCCATGGAGAAGCTGACTTGCTACTTCCTCAAGAAAAGGCCCACCTGACCGTCCAGGTCTAACTTCTTGCCTATTAAGACCCATCGCCCTCCCCAAGTTCCTCAATAAAACCAAGAGTTTTTCTCCATTATACCCCAAAACAAATACTTCTTACATGTTGAAAAATGTAAGTCACTCCATCCTCCCTACTCTTTTTTCTGCTTAATTTTTGTGATGCCCTCGCTGGTAACAGAGTATGAGGCTCAATCCGTCCTTATTTATGTATTTGCCGAGGAAGCACTGGATGGAGCTTGGTGGCTGAAGGTTTTGCGGGTGAAATCCATAAAAACTCAGCAAGTCTGATGACTTGGGAAAAGACTATTTTCGAGAGGGCATGATGTTCTGGACTTTTCAGCTCCAAGGAACCGGGTCAGCGTGCAAGCAAAGGACACAGGTCAGCTGTACGCACTCGGGGTGTAGCCCACCAAGCTCTCTCAGGCTGGGGACATAATCCCACCAGGGCCCACTGAGCATGCCCGATCCCCAGGCCCCCTCCAGAAGCACAAGTTCATATTCACCGAGATTGCCACCGCACCAGTCAAGCCCTGAATCACGCGTGTGACTCACTTGTCAGCCGATTTCTCTGCAGAAAGCTCTTAGCAGTTAATTTCTGGCTAATTTATTATCCTTCAGCTTAGCCCTACAGCGCCATTAGCTAGGAGCCTGCCACGACTGAGTGAAATATTGTCTAATTTATTATCTTATTACTCCTCTGGAACAGGATCAATTAATTACCCATTAAAGTATTTCAACTGCGGAGATTTATTAGGGGCCCTCTGCATTTTAACAGATGATTAGTTATACATGTTTGTTTGCTTGAAGAGCAGAGACTAGCAAATGAATAGAGGCAATGGGAAGAAAGAGAGAGGGAGCGAGGGAGAGAGGGAGACGGTGCGGCAGGGGGCGGCTAATGGATCTCCTCTAACTCCGTGAAAATGGAGCAGTCAATGACAAGAATTATCGACTCATTCACTTGCGGTTTTGAGATAACCATATGTACAGGGGAAGGGGAGGAGGGGGAGAAAAACCCTCACTCAACTGCTTTTTCCATTCAATAAATTCGCTTCAGAATATATTGGATTGGGGTTTGATGGCTATTTCGTGTTTTGCAGAGTGCTGACACTGGTATGATTCAGTAATTATTGTTTCTTTTAAGTTATTGCTGTAATTTTGCTCTCTAAGATCCCAATCAATTTCTGCCTCTCAAGGGCACGCTTGAAAAGCGATATTTGAAAACAGCCCTCTGATAGATTGTGCTGCTAGACAGTGGCTGAGACAAATAGCCTAATCTGGCACAAATTAGCTTGGCTTCCACAGATAGTTTTATACAGCAATGTAAATTATATTGTCAGGCCGAGTCACTTTCCTGCTTAGAGAGCAGCTAACAAGAAACCATGGAGACGTTATTGGTGCTGCCGTGCACTCCCAGGGCCGCTGCAAAGGCATTTGTAAGGAGAGGGGGAGACGAGAAGAGAGAGAGAGAGACTTTGAGTAACAAAAGCAAGGTAGTCAAGCAGAAGTGAGTTAGAACAAGGAGGCGTGGATCAGGTTCTCCAGTTCTCTTGGTTGGACTGAACTAAGCCCTGGGAAGGGGAGGCTGCTGAGTGTGCGACGGGCCAGTCCATGCCATAGGGGACCGCACGCTCCACTTGCAGGGCTGAAAGCAGGAGAGGCAGTGCTCTGAAAGCAGCCGTGAAGAGATGATCTGAACCCAATACTCCTCTCTGCCTGGAGAATTGGTTTGCACTGGACTGAGCCGGGGGAGGGATGAGGAGATGTGCTAAGCCCAGCAGAAGTAACAACGCGCTGAGAAGAGCTGGAGGAAAACCAGCTGAGCAGAATGTGCTGGCTGGGCTGCACTGCCCATCCTTGGAAGGGCCTGGCAGGATGCTCCGACCAACCCGGAGCAGGCTCCTTGTGCGGGGACGAGGCCCCAAAAGCCAGGCGGGCACTCAGCAGCGCCTGCATCCTCCACTGCTGGCTCCTCCTTCCTCTGGCTGTGGAGAGATCTCCCCTTCTCTGTGCTTCTTGACTTCCGCCCTCAGTTCAAACCCTGCCTCAGCCCCTGCTGCTGGGCCCACCCTTGAGGAACACTGCCTTGGGGCTATGTGACAGCTGCCTAATCAGATTCCAAGTTCTCAGAGGCCTGCCCTGCACACCATTGTGCTGGCAGGCCCAGCCCCCAGGGCAGAAAACATTGCTAACCTACCCAGGGGCCACAGAACCCGCTCTGGGTATCTGCCTAGGCTGGCCTGATGACACAAACGCAAGGAAGAGTCAGTGTTAGGTGGCAACAAGGTACCAGAGGTGAGCAAAGAGACGTCCCCTCCACCCATCCCAAGGCCTTGCCTGGTGGGCTACGGGGAAGGTGCTTTCTTACTGCCCTGAGCCCTTGGACCTACGTGATTGCTGGGTTTGGTTTTTTGGAGATGGTCACACAGTCCTTCATCCTTTCAGTTCCAAGCCTGCCCTGAAGCTGTAATTGATGGTCAAAGACCCATCTTTGTCAGTGACTGAATATACACTTCTAACTGAATGTGTCACATGCGTTTTAAGTAAGGGCACTCAACAGAAAGATTTCTTAAGGGAAAACAGCTTCTCCTCAAACTCCTTGTCTGATAATGGTCCAACAACATTTGCTCCTTTCAAGAAAGATTTTGTTTTGAGTTTCATTTAGTCTCACCTGCCCCATCCAGTTATCATCTGATGTTTCTGGAATACTCTCAGCCACAGCTTTCACATTCCTGCTGAGTAGTCACTTATTTCTCAATGACTCTAGGAGGGCGGTTGGTATTACTACCTCTGCTTGGCTTATTTGGGAAATGAGAGTCGCATGTGTAGATGACAAAAATACAACATAAGCAAGAATGATGTCAACTCCTCATCCAATCTGATAAAAATATCCTCGTCAGGCAGAAGGGCACTTTTATTTATTTAACCCTGCCATGTGACAGATAACACGCCAGATGCTTTACGTAATTTGTGCTTTCTAAATGAACAGGGTAACGCTGTAAAAAAAAAAAAAAACCCCAAAATGTATGACAGCTCTAGCACAATAGAAATGCATTTGTCACTCATGCTTATTCTAAAACGGCATCTGTAGGAGTGGGGTAGCTCTGCTCCAGGTAGTAACTAAGGGCCCCAGCAGCCTTGAACCTTGTGGCTCTACCATCTCCAACATGTGGCTTCCAAGCTTGTTGTGCTCTTGCTGTGTGCCAGGTCTGAAGGGGAAAGAACATGGAGGTTTGTCGAGGAAAGGGCTTTGTGGGGAGGGGGCTGCCCTGTAAGTAGACTGCATCAGCTTCTGCTCACGTTGGATTGATGAGAATTAATCATAGACACACTCCCAGATGCAATTCCTTGGCACTAGCTGAGCAGCTTCCAGAAACTATAGAAGAGAAGCAAGACTCTTTGGTGGACAGCTGGTCCTCTGTGCCATACAATCTAAGCATTATTATCCCCGTGAGATAGAGGAGAAAACTGAAGTATACTATCCAAGGTCACATACCTAGTGAGTGCAGAGCTAGAATTTAAACCAAAGCCTATGCATATTCCACTCTATCAAATTAAATCCTACAGGAAAACAAAATTGAATCAAGAACATAAACTTCCGAGTAAATGTCTTCAGTCATTCTGCCCAAGACTCAAGTTGGAGAATTGGTTTCAGAACACCTACTTCTACGTGATTTTAAAATATTGCATGTGGACCCCTGAGCCAAACTGACCTTGGAACCCAGGAAACAGATCTAGATTTACCTCTTTTAAGAGCAATGGCAGAGATTACTAGCCGGTTTTGCAATTGATGAAACTGAGGCTTAGAGAGTGTAAGTGAATTGTGTTAAGTCACGCAGCTGAGCAAGCAGTAGGTAGGACTGGAACCTCGTCTTCTCACTCTGAGTCAAGGGCATAAACCTCAGCCTTCCAAACCTCCCATCTCATTGAGACCTTTCCCACTACAGCTAGAAAAGAAATCAGAGAACATCATCCTCTCCATGTAGAAAGTCTGCTTAGAGCACCTATTACCTGAAGCTAGAAAGATGGGTGTTTTTGAGGCTCCCACTAACTCTTTCCCTAAATGGCCCCCAAAATGACAAGATTGAGGACTCCACCAGTGCAGAAGTCAGAAGAGTCTTCAGCAATTTATGCGGGAGAAGGACAAAGTTCCTCGAAGGCAAGGATTATGTGCTATTTTATTTATATCCTCAAAGCCTAGTACAGTGTCTGAAAATCTCAACACTGTGCAATAAATATCTATTGGATGGATACACATCTGAATGAATAGATGAAGGCATTCTTCAGTTTCCACTGACAACTAGTAATCAAGATGACTTTCAGACAGAGAGGGACAGGGAAAAATAAATCTCTTCTATGCATCTGTTGGCTTTTCTATAACTCATTGCATTATTTTTGTTTGTTTTTTCTAGTGATTATCATATACATTCTTAACTTTTCACAATCGACTAGAATTACTATTTTGCCTTTTCATGCGAAATATAAAAAGACCATGACTCTATAGGTCTGTTTCCCATCTCTGCCATCCTTTCTGCTGTTGCTGTCACTTGTGTCACATCTACTGTTATAAACCCCATAAGTTGATGCAATATTTTATGCTTTAAATGTGTCACATGCATTTTAAGGAAATAAATAAAAAAGGAGTATTTTATATTTACCTTTCTTTTTTTTTTTTTTCTTTTCAGACAGTGTCTCACTGTGTCACCCAGGCTGGAGTGCAGTGGCACAATCACGGCTCACTGCAGCCTCGACCTCCCCAGCCTCAAGTAATCCTCCCACGTCAGTCTCAGAATAGCTGGGACTACAGGTGTGCACCATCATGCCCAGCTAAATTTTTTTGTATTTTTGTAGAGATGGAGTTTCACCATGTTGCCCAGGCTGGTCTCGAACTCCTGGGCTCAAGAGATCCACCCACTTCGGCCTCCCAAAATGCTGGGATTACAGGTGTGAGCCAACATGCCCAGCTGTATTGCACAATTTTTATGCTCTTCATCCTTCCTGAAGATCCACTTTTCCATCTGATATCACTTCCTTTGAGCCTAAAGAACTTTCTTCAGCATTTTTTGTAGTGTGGGTCTGATGAACTCAGCTAGTTTTCTTTTATCTAAAAATGTCTCTTTTTTACTTGTATTCTTAAATAATATTTTCACTTGGATATAAATTCTGGGTGAGCAAGTCTTTTTCTTCTTTTATAATTTCGAAGGTGGTCCTTTATTATATTCTGTCCTCCATTGACTCATTGTCCTCCTGTATATACTGTGTCCTTTCTCTTGAGAATTTTTTTCATCTTTTAGGTTTTCAGCAGTTTGACTATGATGTGCCAAAGAACGATTTTCTTCATATTTATCCTGCTTGAGGCTTGCTAAGATTCTTGAATGTGTAAATTTATGTCTTTCATCACCTTTGGGAAATCAGTGAAGACTAATCTCTACTTGGTCAATATATTTCATTTTTCATATTTTATATTTTCATATTTTTCAGTATACTTTTGCTGATTATTTCTTCAAATTATTTTTTCCTACTCCATTCTCTCTCCTGTTTTGGAACTCTGTTAAACATATGTTAGATATTTCTATTTTGTCTCACAGGTATCTGAGATTCTATTCATTTGTTATTTGTTTGGGATTTTTTGTTGTTGTTGTTCTATTCTTAGGATTGCATACTTTTTATTGCTCTATCTTCAAGTTTACTGAGTCTTTCTGCTTCATCTCCATTCTGCTTTTAAATCCGTTAAGTGAATCTTCACTTCAGATATTCTACTTATCAGCTCTATTTGTTTTTTTAATAGTGTCTCTACTGAGATTTTTTTAAATTTATTTCAATCATATTTTCTCTGATGTTAATGAGTACATATAATAACTACTTTGAAATCTTATCTATGTATTCCAACATTCAGACCAAGTAGGGATCAGTCTTCAGTGATAGTGTTTTCTGTTGAAAATAGCTCACATTTTCCTGGATCTTTCTGTGTTGAATATTTTTGGATTATATTCTGGACATTGTGAATGTTGTGTTGTGGTTACTCCGGATTCTGTTATATTTCACAGAAGAGTGTTGAGTTGTTGTTATTGTTGTTGTTGTTGTTATAGTGGGTAATTAGCTTTGTTAGACTCAGATTGCAAACTGTCTCTTGGGTGTCAACTCAAATCTTAGTTCAATTCTTCTATCTTTAGCTGAGCTTCTTGGATTGTACTCCATACATGCTTGATTCAGGGTCACCAGAGATCTGCATGAAGTTTATATTTAGCAGCTGTCGTTGCCCGAATCTCTCATCTGGTTCTTCTGGCCAGAAAGACTGCAGGTTTTCTATAGAAGTTTTTAACTTCCCTATGTGGTGCTGACTGCAGCCAAAGGCCTCAGTAAGGGGAAAACTTATCCCATACTCTTCCTTCTTCCAAATATCAATATCCCTGGAGAATCTGCTCACCTTTGTTAACTCTGCAGTGCCTTTGGGTAGCTGGTATTTTAAACTTTTTCCCTAGAGTTTAAAGTTATTGCCTGTTTGTAGAGGGTTGGTCTGATAAGAGTCTGCTTAGCCATAAAGAAATTGAATTATCTCAATATATTTTGAGATGGGGCCAAAAAAGTCAGCTATTTCAACAAGACCTCTTCTCATAATTCCTTGTCCTACTGTGTTTCACAAAACTTTCACAGGTGAAAGAGCTGTATGTGGTGGGGGTGCAAAAGGACAGACTCCAATTATAAATTCAGACATTACTTGACCTTTAATATGGAACATTGCAACATCTTTAACACATTAAGAAGCACTTATCGAGTGTCCACTATATGCCAACCAGCGGTCCTAATGGATAGTACATGTCAAAGCTCTTCCAACTCTGGTTAATATGAATATATAGATTGTCCTGTACCACCTAAGGCACAATTAATAGTGATAGCTACTATTTTGAATGCCAAATGTGTGCCATGTGCTGACTCTAATCATCACAACAATTCAGCATTTTTGTCATCTCTATTTCACATAAGCAGTGTTATGAAGTGGAAAATAACCAGGTGTTGGAATCAGACAGACCTGGATTTAGCTCTAGCTTTGACATTAGCTAAATGACCACATCCTAAGGCAAATCACTAATGTCTCTGAGCCTCAGTTACCTTACCTATAAACTTGAGCATTCAAAGCTGCTATAATGCTAAGAAATAACAGGAATACAAGACCTAATAGAGAACCTCACTCAAAATGGCTACTGTTATTTTCATGGCTGGAAATAACTTAAGATTAGAATGTTTAACTTGCTCATGATCGGGAAGCTATGTTGCCACCTAATAAGTGTCAAAACTGGGTTTCAACCCATGTCCATGCACTTTCTTTATAGTTGGCTACATTATCTTCATAATTATAACCAATTATTGAGCACCTATTCATATTATGTTCAACAAATATACTAGGTGCTTTACATACCTGTAGCTAACCTTGAAACTAACCAAGAAAATTAAAAATGCAAGACCCTCAGATCAGGCAAATTTTCCCCTCTTAGAATTACCAGAATGGTAGGTCTTTAAGATAATTCTTACCTTCCCAGAGTTAAGGTCTCCCCTTGGGGGAATCAATGTTATTGATGGAGGTGCTGTCTACCCCAAAATACCCCACCCAGAGAAGGATATGCTATCTACCCCAAAATGCCCCACCCAGAGAAGGATATGCTATCTACCCCCAAATACCCCACCCAGAGAAGGATACACTGGCTATTCTGGAGAAGCTCTGTAGATGGCCACCTGGTACCCACTTTAGTCAAGAACACATTCCAATGCTCAGATGAGGTTAGAGAGAAAATGAAGTTTCAACAGAAGAATATTTAAGCCTTCCCAAGCCAGTGACAGAGACGGCAGCCTTCTGTTTCTTCCTGTGCATAAGGGAAAGTCAAACTGGGTATTATTCACACATTTTACACCTTGCATTTCAATCAAGTCCCAAGTTATAATAAAACCTCCTTTGTCAAGCCCGTCATCAGTGGTTTCAAGATTATTGAGATGTAGATATAGACCTCCCACACCCACATAGTTATTTAAAGTGATCTTTGAACTCACTTAAGAGCAATTACCTAGTCTGTTGGCCAGATTCCATCTCTCTCCTGTATAGTATAATGTATTTTATTATTTCTGTTTATTACTCCATAATTGTTGACTTACATGTTGGTGTAACATCGCAGTAATATTGTCAGATCTACTGGTATATCTATTTGTACATATATTTGTTCAACAAGTAATTATCAAATGCCTGCCTGTATCAGACACAGAAGCTAGAGATATGCATAGTTGTATTTCATATTCCCTGTCAGGCCTGACACAGTAGACAGGACTCTGGCTCTGAACTCAAGAGATCTGGACTCATGCTCTGGCTTCTTTATTGATTAAGTCAAGGACTTTGGTTAAATCTCTTAACTTCACCAAGCCTCAGTTTTTACACCTGTAAAGTGGAAATAATTCACCTGACATTTCCGACAGAGTCTCATGAGGATCAATAAAGTTATATAAATAGGAAGGGCAGCCAAGATGGCCAAATAGGAACAGCTCTGGTCTACAGCTCCCAGCGTGAGCGACGCAGAAGACGGGTGATTTCTGCATTTCCATCTGAGGTACCGGGTCCATCTCACTAGGGAGTGCCAGAGAGTGGGTGCAGGACAGTGGGTGCAGCGCACCGTGCATGAGCCAAAGCAGGGCGAGGCATTGCCTCACTCGGGAAGCACAAGGGGTCAGGGAGTTCCCTTTCCTAGTCAAAGAAAGGGGTGACAGACAGCACCTGGAAAACTGGGTCACTCCCACCCTAATACTGCACTTTTCCAACAGGCTTAAAAAATGGCGCACCAGGAGATTATATCCCACACCTGGCTCAGAGGGTCCTACGCCTACGGAGTCTCGCTGCTTGCTAGCACAGCAGTCTGAGATCAAACTGCAAGGTGGCAGCGAGGCTGGGGGAGGGGTGCTGGCCATTGCCCAGGCTTGCTTAGGTAAACAAAGCAGCCGGGAAGCTCGAACTGGGTGGAGCCCACCACAGCTCAAGGAGGCCTGCCAGCCTCTGTAGGCTCCACCTCTGGGGGCAGGGTGCAGACAAACAAAAAGACAGCAGTAACCTCTGCAGACTTAAATGTCCCTGTCTGACAGTTTTGAAGTGAGCAGTGGTTCTCCCAGCATGCAGCTGGAGATCTAAGAAAAGGCAGACTGCCTCCTCAAGTGGGTCCCTGACCCCTGACCCCCGAGCAGCCTAACTGGGAGGCACCCCGCAGTAGGGGCAGACTGACACCTCACACAGCCAGGTACTCCTCTGAGACAAAACTTCCAGAGAAACGATCAGCAGCAGCATTCGCAGTTCACGAAAATCCGCTGTTCTGCAGCCACCGCTGCTGGTACCCAGGCAAACAGGGTCTGGAGTGGACCTCTAGCAAACTCCAACAGACCTGCAGCTGAGGGTCCTGTCTGTTAGAAGGAAAACTAACAAACAGAAAGGACATCCACACCAAAAACCCATCTCTACATCACCGTCATCAAAGACCAAAAGTAGATAAAACCACAAAGATGGGGAAAAAACAGAGCAGAAAAACTGGAAACTCTAAAAAGCAGAGCGCCTCTCCTCCTCCAAAGGAACGCAGTTCCTCACCAGCAATGGAACAAAGCTGGACGGAGAATGACTTTGACGAGTTGAGAGAAGAAGACTTCAGACGATCAAACTACTCCGAGCTACAGGAGGAAATTCAAACCAAAGGCAAAGAAGTTAAAAACTTTGAAAAAAATTTAGACGAATATATAACTAGAATAACCAATACAGAGAAGTGCTTAAAGGAGCTGATGGAGCTGAAAGCCAAGGCTTGAGAACTACGTGAAGAATGCAGAAGCCTCAGGAGCCGATGCAATCAACTGGAAGAAAGGGTATCAGTGATGGAAGATGAAATGAATGAAATGAAGCGAGAACAGAAGTTTAGAGAAAAAAGAATAAAAAGAAATGAACAAAGCCTCCAAGAAATATGTGACTATGTGAAAAGACCAAATCTATGTCTGATTGGTGTACCTGAAAGTGACGGGGAGAATGAAACCAAGTTGGAAAACACTCTGCAGGATATTATCCAGGAGAACTTCCCCAATCTAGCAAGGCAGGCCAACGTTCAGATTCAGGAAATACAGAGAACACCACAAAGATACTCCTCGAGAAGAGCAACTCCAAGACACTTAATTGTCAGATTCACCAAAGTTGAAATGAAGGAAAAAATGTTAAGGGCAGAGAGAAAGGTCGGGTTACCCACAAAGGGAAGCCCATCAGACTAACAGCGGATCTCTTGGCAGAAACTCTACAAGCCAGAAGAGAGTGGGGGCCAATATTCAACATTTTTAAAGAAAAGAATTTTCAACCCAGAATTTCATATCCAGCCAAACTCAGCTTCATAAGTGAAGGAGAAATAAAATACTTTACAGACAAGCAAATGCTGAGAGATTTTGTCACCACCAGGCCTGCCCTAAAAGAGCTCCTGAAGGAAACACTAAACATGGAAAGGAACAACCAATACCAGCCACTGCAAAATCATGCCAAACTGTAAAGACCATCGAGGCTAGGAAGAAACTGCATCAACTAATGAGCAAAATAACCAGCTAACATCCTGTCATAATGACAGGATCAAATTCACACATAACAATATTAACTTTAAATGTAAATGGACTAAATGCTCCAATTAAAAGACACAGACTGGCAAATTGGATAAAGAGTCAAGACCCATCAGTGTGCTGTATTCAGGAAACCCATCTCACGTGCAGAGCTAAGCAAATGGAAAACAAAAAAAGGCAGGGGTTGCAATCCTAGTCTCTGATAAAACAGACTTTAAACCAACAAAGATCAAAAGAGACAAAGAAGGCCATTACATAATGGTAAAGGGATCAATTCAACAAGAAGAGCTAACTATCCTAAATATATATGCACCAAATACAGGAGCACCCAGATTCATAAAGCAAGTCCTGAGTGACCTACAAAGAGACTTAGACTCCCACACATTAATAATGGGAGACTTTAACACCCCACTGTCAACATTAGACAGATCAACGAGACAGAAAGTCAACAAGGATACCCAGGAATTGAACTCAGCTCTGCACCAAGTGGACCTAATAGACATCTACAGAACTCTCCACTCCAAATCAACAGAATACACATTTTTTTCAGCACCACACCACACCTATTCCAAAATTGACCACATAGTTGGAAGTAAAGCTCTTCTCAGCAAATGTAAAAGAACAGAATTAAAACAAACTGTCTCTCAGACCACGGTGCAATCAAATTAGAACTCAGGATTAAGAAACTCCCTCAAAACTGCTCAACTACATGGAAACTGAACAACCAGCTCCTGAATGACTACTGGGTACATAACGAAATGAAGGCAGAAATAAAGATGTTCTTTGAAACCAAAGAGAACGAAGACACAACATACCAGAATCTCTGGGACACATTCAAAGGAGTGTGTAGAGGGAAATTTATAGCACTAAATGCCCACAAGAGAAAGCAGGAAAGATCCAAAACTGACACCCTAACATCACAATTAAAAGAACTAGAAAAGCAAGAGCAAACACATTCAAAAGCTAGCAGAAGGCAAGAAATAACTAAAATCAGAGCAGAACTGAAGGAAATAGAGACACAAAATACCCTTCAAAAAATTATTGAATCCAGGAGCTGGTTTTTTGAAAGGATCAACAAAATTGATAGACCGCTAGCAAGACTAATAAAGAAGAAAAGAGAGAAGAATCAAATAGACGCAATAAAAAATGATAAAGGGGATATCACCACCAATCCCACAGAAATACAAACTACCATCAAAGAATACTAGAAACACCTCTATGCAAATAAACTAGAAAATCTAGAAGAAATGGATAAATTCCTCGACACATGCACCCTCCCAAGACTAAACCAGGAAGAAGTTGAATCTCTGAATAGACCAATAACAGGAGCTGAAATTGTGGCAATAATCAATAGCTTACCAACCAAAAAGAGTCCAGGACCAGATGGATTCACAGCCAAATTCTACCAGAGGTACAAGGAGGAACTGGTACCATTCCTTCTGAAACTACTCCAATCAATAGAAAAAGAGGGAATCCTCCCTAACTCATCTTATGAGGCCAGCATCATCCTGATACCAAAGCCTGGCAGAGACACAACCAAAAAAAGAGAATTTTAGACCAATATCCTTGATGAACATTGATGCAAAAATCCTCAATAAAATACTGGCAAACCGAATCCAGCAGCACATCAAAAAGCTTATCCACCATGATCAAGTGGGCTTCATTCCTGGGATGCAAGGCTGGTTCAATATACGCAAATCAATAAATGTAATCCAGCATATAAATAGAACCAAAGACAAAAACCACATGATTATCTCAATAGATGCAGAAAAGGCCTTTGACAAAATTCAACAACGCTTCATGCTAAAAACTCTCAATAAATTAGGTATTGATAGGACGTATCTCAAAATAATAAGAGCTATCTATCACAAACCCACAGCCAATATCATACTGAATGGGCAAAAACTGGAAGCATTCCCTTTGAAAACTGGCACAAGACAGGGATGCCCTCTCTCACCACTCCTATTCAACATAGTGTTGGAAGTTCTGGCCAGGGCAATAAGGCAGGAGAAGGAAATAAAGGGTATTCAATTAGGAAAAGAGGAAGTCAAATTGTCCCTGTTTGCAGATGACATGATAGTATATCTAGAAAATCCCATTGTCTCAACCCAAAATCTCCTTAAGCTGATAAGCAACTTCAGCAAAGTCTCAGGATACAAAATCAATGTACAAAAATCGCAAGCATTCTTATACACCAATAACAGACAGAGAGCCAAATCATGAGTGAACTCCCATTCACAATTGCTTCAAGGAGAATAAAATACTTAGGAATCCAACTTACAAGGGATGTGAAGGACCTCTTCAAGGAGAACTACAAACCACTGCTCAATGAAATAAAAGAGGATACAAAGAAATGGAAGAACATTCCATGCTCATGGGTAGGAAGAATCAATATCGTGAAAATGGCCATACTGCCCAAGGTAACTTATAGATTCAATGCCATCCCCATCAAGCTACCAATGACTTTCTTCACAGAATTGGAAAAAACTACTTTAAAGTTCATATGGAACCAAAAAAGAGCCCACATTGCCAAGTCAATCCTAAGCCAAAAGAACAAAGTTGGAGGCATCACGCTACCTGACTTCAAACTATACTACAAGGCTACAGTAACCAAAACAGCATGGTACTGGTACCAAAACAGAGATATAGATCAATGGAACAGAACACAGCCCTCAGAAATAACGCCGCATATCTACAACTATCTGATCTTTGACAAACCTGAGAAAAACAAGCAATGGAAAAAGGATTCCCTATTTAATAAATGGTGCTGGGAAAACTGGCTAGCAATATGTAGAAAGCTGAAACTGGATCCCTTCCGTACACCTTATACAAAAATTAATTCAAGATGGATTAAAGACATAAATGTTAGACCTAAAACCATAAAAACCCTAGAAGAAAACCTAGGCATTACCATTCAGGACATAGGTATGGGCAAGGACTTCATGTCTAAAACACCAAAAGCAATGGCAACAAAAGCCAAAATTGACAAATGGGATCTAATTAAACTAAAGAGCTTCTGTACAGCAAAAGAAACTACCATCAGAGTGAACAGGCAACCTACAAAATGGGAGAAAATTTTCGCAACCTACTCACCTGACAAAGGGCTAATATCCAGAATCTACAATGAACTCAAACAAATTTACAAGAAAAAAACAAACAACCCCATCAAAAAGTGGGTGAAGGACATGAACAGACACTTCTCAAAAGAAGACATTTATGCAGCCAAAAAACATGAAAAAATGCTCACCATCACTGGCCATCAGAGAAATGCAAATAAAAACCACAATGAGATACCATCTCACACCAGTTAGAATGGCAATCATTAAAAAGTCAGGAAACAACAGGTGCTGGAGAGGATGTGGAGAAATAGGAACACTTTTACACTGTTGGTGGGACTGTAAACTAGTTCAACCATTGTGGAAGTCAGTGTGGTGATTCCTCAGGGATCTAGAACTAGAAATATCATTTGACCCAGCCATCCCATTACTGGGTATATACCCAAAGGACTATAAATCATGCTGCTATAAAGACACATGCACACGTATGTTTATTGCGGCACTATTCACAATAGCAAAGACTTGGAACCAACCCAAATGTCCAACAATGATAGACTGGATTAAGAAAATGTGGCACGTATACACCATGGAATACTATGCAGCCACAAAAAATGATGAGTTCACGTCCTTTATAGGGACATGGATGAAATTGGAAATCATCATTCTCAGTAAACTATCACAAGAACAAAAAACCAAACACCGCATATTCTCACTCATAGGTGGGAATTGAACAATGAGAACACATGGACACAGGAAGGGGAACATCATACTCTGGGGACTGTTGTGGGGTGTGGGGAGAGGGGAGGGATAGCATTAGGAGATACACCTAATGCTAAATGACGAGTTAATGGGTGCAGCACACCAGCATGGCACATGTATACATATGTAACTAACCTGCACATTGTGCACATGTACCCTAAAACTTAAAGTATAATAATAATAAAATAAAATTTAAAAAAAGTTATGTAAGTAAAAGCATCACAATTATAAAATAGTATATATAAATGTGAGCTACTATTACAATTAAGTATTATATATCATTTCTGTTTATTACTAATTGTTTCTTTCACTGTACATTTGTAATAATTTTATGAACAGAAGCTGCTATTGTTATAATTGTAATACGTAAGCCATACATCATTATACAAAGACTTTGCTTAACGTAACAGTGGGTAAATAAATAAAGGAATTATTTGAAGGTAGCATGTTTTTACATATCTTATTAATCAAATAAAGAAGGTAACCCAGCCTTCTTGGAGCTTACAATACAGTCGCAAATACAGATCCCCGTCATTGAATTATTGGCTAGATCAGTGTTAGTAAAGATGAATGACAAGGGGCAGTAGGAGCACAGACCAAGGAGACGGCCCCAGCAGGAAGGAGGAAGGTCTCATTGAGAAAATCATCCCTAAACTCAGCTTTTAAATTAAATAGTAGTTAACAAGCAAGAGAGGGAGACAAGAAGAGTGCTCCAAAAGAGAGAGTAGTGTATTTGACAGAGCAGAATCAAGTGCTAACATTACTGACTGTAGGAACTGCAATCAACCCAGAGTGTTAGGACTGGAGAGAACCAAGGTCAGGGAGGCATGAGATAACCCTGGAGAGACTGGTAGAGGCCAGATCATGCGAGGTCCTCTAGAGCACATGAAGAATTTGAGGTTAAGGAAAAGCCACTGAAGGATATGAAACAGGAGGAATATGATCACGTTTCCATTTTTATAATGGAACTTTGACAATGAAATGGAAAATAGATCTGAAGGGTCAAGACTAAGTGTAGGAAGGTCAGTTAAGAACTTTTGCAATGATCCAAAAAACAGGAATGATGTCTTGGACTAAGCTGGTAACAACAAGGTAGACAGAAGTGTGTGAATCTACAAATATTTAAGACCAGGTGCAGTGGCACGCACCTGTAATCCCAGGACTTTGAGAGGCCGAGGCTAGAGGATCACTTCAGCCCAGAAGTTTGAGGCTGCAGTAAGCCATGATCACACCACTGCACTCCAGACTGGGTGACAGAGTGAGACCCTGTCTCAAAAAATAAATAAATAAAATAGAATAAAAAAAATTTCAGAGGTATGAGTGACTAGGGTTGGAGAAAGATTGGATATGCAGCAGTGAGGGAAAGAGAGAACTCAAGAATGATTCCAAGTTTCTGGTTTGAGCGACTGGGTATGTGATGAGGATACTTACTGAGAGTATGATCGAATCATAGAAGCAGCAGGTTTGAGGGGGAAAATAATGAGGTGAGTCTTGGAGATGTTAAGCGTGAGGTGCCTGTGGCAGAGGAAGCTAACCGTCCTCCCAATAATCATTCTGAGGGACTGCGGGTTATATGTGCTGTAGACACTCAGCTCACCTGAGTCTCTGTCTCCAACTTTCTATTAGGCAGTGCCACGTGGTTGCTTTGCAATACCAGAGACAATACACAATATAATGGCTCAAATAAGACTGAAGTGTACTTCTCTTGCACAGCATAGTCCTGAGTTTCTGGCCATGCCAGGGAGAGCAGGTGAGAAGGTGCAAAGAACCTTGGCCTTACAAGCCAATCAGACAAACTTCATCCCTGTCATTTTCCTTGGGTCATTTTAATAGATTTACTTAATTTCTTATTATTCTATCATTGGGTTGATAACGCCTAGGGCCTTCTATTTTTCATTTTCAAAATAGAACATCCCAGGTTTTAACTGACTACTCAGTCACCCAGGTAATACCACATTGCCTAACTTAGCTGTTGCCTAACTCAGCTGTTGGCCAGGCTGGTCTCGAACTCCTGACCTCAGGTGATCCACCCGCCTCAGCCTCCCAAAGTGCTGGGATTACAGGCATGAGCCACCACGCCCGGCCTACTGAGTCACTTTCTTAAGAGGAAGCGGATTGCCTTCAGCTTCCTCTCCCACTTTGAACGTGCTGGAAACAGTGCATTCAAGACATCTTTCTCTATGTGGAAAAGTGTAATACTTTAAATGGTGAAGTCACAAGACAAAAAAAAAAAAAACTAAATCTCTGGGCAACTTCATGGACCCACTTGGTCTCCCTGGAAAGCCCAGGAATTCTGGACTACGATGTGAAAGAAAACTAAACTAGTCTTAATTTGAACCATTGTACTGTGTATTCTCTTTGGTACGGCAAAGGAGTCAAGAAGAGCTGCCTAGTAGAAAGTTGGAGGAGAGGCTCATGAGAGTTGGAGAGTCTGCAGCCTTCAAAAGGCCATTGAAGTTGTGGCATGTAGACACATTGTCTAGACAAGGGGGAAAATAGAGAAAGGAGAGACTTGGTCAAAACCTTAAGGACTCCAACAAGGTGTCAGGGACCAAACCCCAAGCTAAAGAAGTAAACTGACAAGTGAACCAAAAGGCAAGCAGACCCCAGGAGAAAGTGATGTTCCAGAAGAGAGTGATCACATGCTAGCAAGGGGGCCCACAAGATGAGCACCTGTAAGATTTAGTGTCTTGCAGCTCTTTGGTGACCCTGGGGAACAATTTCAGAGACATTGGTAAAGGACAGAAGCCACATCCAAGTGGACTGCAAAGTACCTGCAGTGATGACTATGACACGGTCATTCAGAAAGTGTGGCTGGAAACAGATAGAAAGAGGTAGTAAATCTAGAGATTATGGCAGGAACATGATTTTTAAGATGGGAGCAGTTTGGCCATGTTTAAGTGCTAATGAGAAAGGAGAGCATGCGTGCAATCTGTAGTTCCAGATCACAAGGGGTGAGAAAGAATGGGATGATCTAGTGATCCAAAGTGGAGGAACTGGCCACAGAGAGGGTAAAAAAGATCACTTCTATCTTAACAGAGGGGAAGGAGTTTATCCAACTACGTATCCACTCCTCTAATCTGAGTGCAGATTAACAACTTCTTTTTTTAACTTTTATTTTAGGTTTAGGAGTACACATGCGGATTGATTATATAGGTAAATTTCATGTCACAGCAGTTTGGTGTACAATTATTTCATCAACTAGGTAATAAGAATAGTACCCAATAGGGCTTTTTCAAACCATACCCTCCTTCCGCCTTCCACCCTACAGCAGCCCCCAGTGTCTATCATTCTCTTATTTGTGTCCATGTGTGTACTCAACGTTTAGCCCCCACTTATAAGTGAGAACATGCAGGATTTGGTTTTCCGCTCTTGCGTTAGTTCTCTTAGGATAATGGTCTCCAGCCGCATCCATGTTGCTGCAAAGGACATGATCTCATTCTTTTTTATGGCTGCATAGTATTCCATAGTGTATATATACCGCATTTTCTTTATCCAGTCTACCATGGACGGGCATTTAGGCTCATTCTATGTCTTTGCTATTATGAATAGTGCTGCAATAAACATACACATGCATGTGTCTTTATGGTAGAACTATTTATATTCCTTTGAGTATATATCCAGTAATGGGATTGCTGAGTTGAATGGTAATTCTGTTTTAAGTTATTTGAGAAATTGCCATACTGCTTTTCACAATGGCTGAAGTAATTTACATTCCTAACAGCAGTGTATAAGCAAAAACCTTTTTTTTAATCTTCACTTTAGACAAGCTAGTTACCAAATCAGTCAAGTGGGACTAATAAGAGTTTTTGAACAAACATTTATAATAGTAAACTCTCTCTTATAGAATTTTGAAAACACCCTAATCAGTGGATGCTGGATGCTGAAACTGTCCACATTTTATTATCTATATTAATGTGTATATGCAAAATGCTTGCCATTCCCAATTCGACATTTAGATTAAGAGCCTCTTGAAGGCAAGAATTTGATAGTTTTTATCTGACTCCCGAGTACTTCATAGGTGCTCAATAAATATTTCAGGATTCAGTTAAAAACTAGAGACTTTACAAAGCTTTTTTATTTTTATTTTTATTTTTTTTAGATGTAGTTTCACTCTTGTCACCCAGGCTGGAGTGCCAAGGCACAATCTCAGCTCACTGCAACCTCTACCTCCCAGGTTCAAGTGATTCTCCTGCCTCAGCCTCCCAAGTAGCTGAGATTACAGGCATGTGCCACCATGACCAGCTAATTTTTATATTTTTAGTAGAGACAGGGTTTCGCCATGTTGGCCAGGCTGGTCTCAAACTCCTGACCACAGGTGATCCACCCGCCTCAGCCTCCCAAAGTGCTGGGATTACAGGCGTGAGCCACCGAGCCCAGCCAATTATTTTTCTTTGCCAAAGAATTCATCACTGGGTACCTTCAAATAGTCAGCAACCCTGGTGCATTTAAAATTTAATATAAACTTACATTCAAATTTGGGATATCAACTTGACATTTTGAATTGTTAGCATTTGAATTCTATGAATTATTACCATAGAATCCAGCCACTCTGATGTTTTAGGGGCATATCTATTAAGTAAAATCAAGAACCCAGAGCCTTTGTAGTCAGTGATAAGAGGTATAGGATTGAAAAAGATAGCAGTCAAAGAAATATTTCTGAAATTTCCAAAGCTAGGGATGGAGGGAAGATGCAAAGAACCCCAACCTGACCAGCCAGTTGGATAAGCCTTATCCCTGTGCCTCGAGTCATTTTAATAGATTCTTTTAATTTCTTATCATTCTATTGTGGGTTGACAAAGTCCAGGGCCCACCTATTTGTCTTGCCCCTGGAGTGAGTTTCTTTTTGAGGCCAAGAAGTGATTATGGGAAGGAAATATGCAGCTATGCATGCTCTGGTGCCAGTTTTTACTTAAGCTCTAAAAATCACCCTGCCATGCCTTTGGTTTCTGAATTATTAGTCTATTCACACTTTTTGCCCCCTGTCAGGAGATGGAACTAAGACACACTGACAGTTCCTGGAGAGCCGTGTTTCTCTCTTCTGGGTCACTGCAAGTCAACCTCAAGAACACAGCTCGGACGATGTGGTTGATGGGAACCCCAGTCTTCTGTCTTTATTTGCCTTCGGGAACAGAATAGGCAAGTGGCTGGGAGCATTAAAACATCACTTCTAGAGAATCACCATCCAGTCCAGTCCCATCATTTTGTAAACAAGGACACTGTGCCCCAAGATGGGGAAGCAATTTGCCCAAGGTCATGCAGCCACGTCAGCAGCAGGCTGAGGCTGGGATCTGAACTCCTGACTCCTGGGCCAAGGTTTCCCCTGGAGATCTCCAAATTAACACATTAACCCCTTTTCAAGTATTTGGTTCCAGCCATTTCTACCTTTCCTACATGTCTCTAAGAGGAGAAGAATGTACACATTCCTATCCACAGGCTCTATGTTTTTCTAAGACAAGTATTCAGTTGGGGCAGAATCTGTCCCTGAGTGACATGTACTTTCCATTTTTCCATCTTACTGTTTTCTACAAAGCCCCCAGGAGGTCACGGAGACTGGAGAACTCGCCTTAGTGCTCTGCCTTCCTTATTAGCGTCTTCACAGCACCCCTACTCCCTCTCCAAAACATTATTCCCAAATATCTAACCTGCCTGGCTCCTTTCCCATTTTGCAATGTCATCCTCTCAAAGCAAGGCATCTAGGACTGTGAGGTCTTCACAGTCCAAAGGCACATGTTGGCCAGGGAGTCAAGAGAGTCCTTGAAAGTAGCCTCTGAACTTGGAAGCAGAAGTCACACCTTTAGGGCCCCTTTGTGTCTTTCAGGCCCTTTCAAACGTGCATACACAGATAAATATGCACACACATACATAAACAAGCATGCATGTATGCAAACTCACACTTGAAAATGTGTATATACACAAAAGCATGCACACATGTATGCAACACACACGCACACACACACACACACACACACACACACACGGGACAGCTAAAAAGCCAAAACCAAACAAAACAAAACAAAAAAAGGCCCATGCAGGAGAGGAGAAAATGTCCCCTTTCTATCTGCAGGCTGCCTCCAGCAAAAGCATTCCTAAATACGATAGGTTAAATATATTGCTGCCATTACACTCTACAAGAAACACATTCCATAAAAACGAAGGTGCTGTAAATTATACAAATATGATGCTAACAAGCCAGGAAACGCGCTGCTAATGAGGTCAGCTACAGAACTCCCGCAGCGCTGCAAATCATATGCCAATCCTGCATATGAGGTACAAGAACGGCATTGGGTCAGCATTTTCTGAGTGTGTTTGTAACCTGCTGTTTGGTGTATGGTTACACAGGTAGATAAAAAGCCTCCACTTCTCCCCCCAGTGGCACCCCCACAACTTTGTTTATGTGTCAAATATCCAAGTCACCAGACGAGCACACTCTGCATTAATGTACCTGACTATTATGCCTATTGTTCTTCTGCTCAGAGTAGAGAATTAGTCACTCAGATGTGTAAATATTGGTTACAGTTTTGAAGCGTGCAAGCTTTGTGTTCCTATCAGCCCCATTCCTGGAGGAATTATGCATGCTGTTGGCACTGGGTTTTGTACACACTGTATTTGCTAAAGCTCTAAAAATCAAATAAACATGTTCTCGGCTCCTGAATTATTAGTCCATTCACCATCTTTCCCCGTTAGCGGGGGAAACAATAAACACACCAAAATATGGCATTTAGGAACTGCAACAAGATTTCTGCTTGGCATTTACAAGTTGGAGAACAATCGAAACACCCTTCCTCTGCCTTTGTCATGCAGCCTTCAGCACAGAGAGCCGAGACAGCTTTGAAGTCCCTCCTGACCTCTTAGCAAATGAGATCTTTACCTAGGGTCAATGTGCAGGCTCCATTTCCAGACAGGTGTCAGACAAGGGGTTCAGTGCTGCTCCCAGGGATGAGCCAGGGAGGGACTCAAGAATCTAGGCATTACCAGCTGGGCCATATAGCAAGACTCCATCTCTACAAAAAGAATTTAAAAACAGTATTAGCCAGGAGTGGTGGTACACACCTACAGTCCCCGCTATTCAAGAGGCTAAGGCAGGATTGTTTGAGCCAAGGAGTTCAAGGCTGCAGTGAATTATGATCATGCCACTGCAATCCAGCCTGGGTGACAGAGCAAGACTCTGTCTCTTAAAAAAAAAAAAGGGAAAAATAAAAGAATCTAGGCATCAAAGAAACCCACTCCACCCAAATTCAGAGGGTAGAGCCACATCTACCAAGAGCAGCCTGACTCCCCCCTCTTAGAGTTCTCTAACTCTGTACTCCCTGCCCAAGGTTGGGATTAGCAAAGTCACATGATACAGTTTAAAAGGCATTGTTCAAAATGGTTAGATTCACCCCATAAACCAAAGAACCCCCAGACTGGCAACTATTTGGAAGAAAAGAGGGCTGCCAGTTTCATAGGCCAATCCCATTGTTTCTTGGCACATTTTTTTCCAATACTAAGATCCAGGGCAGTTAAGGTTTAAAGCCATTGAGGGTGAGTGAATAGAAAAATTGCGAAGTTTATAGTGAGATGCTCAAAAGGATACAAGCGAACATTTAGCAGATAAATACGATCACAAAAATATCTCCTACCTCCCCCAACGCTAAGCAAGGTATTTATGGTAGAGCTTAAGTTTAGAGCCAACATCAGGGGTGGGGGGTATTTTTCTGAACCGCCTGGCCTAGCCCTAGTCTCAGACACCTGTTTATACTCCATCTCAAAGGTTTTATTGAGTCTGTGTTCTCCCCAGTCTAGGGGCCCTGCCGTGGATCTATTTGTATACACACATCACAGGTTTTGGAAAAAACTTCAGCACATAAATGCCATTATTTCCAACACAGTTGGTGTAAACCATATTTACTACCCAAACACTCAGCTAAAAATTGAGCTGCAAGGAAACAGTTGCAGCCACAGCAACAACAACAACAAAAAAGAAATCAGTGACAGCTACAAACCACAACCACAAATCAAACACATTTGTACAGTGGCCTTGAGGTGGGAAGCACAAAACAAAGGCGTAGCAAGATGGCAGGCAGCGGCGGCGGCGCTCCACACACTGGAAGGAAAATTCGATTAGTAATTCCCTACTCTAAATTAAATACAGACTGCCTGTGGGGAGCACACAGGGATGTAAAAAGGAGTGGGATAGGTGCAGAGGGAGGGGGACACAGTAAGAGAATCACTAGTTTTTTCTCACTACCATAAAATCTCAACAGTCTATGTGGTTACTACAAGGAAATCTCAGGGTCTATACAGAAAGTGCTGGGACTGTCACTGACATTCAACAGCCACCTAATATCCAGCGTCGTCCAAACAAGACGGGACATCCAACAGGCAGCATCTCTGCAAGTCAAGGCTAGACCCGTGCCCTGGAAGTGGGAATTGTCTTGCTTGTTACTCCAGTGAAGAAAGAGAAGGCCACAACATCAAAGCCACACCCACACCCCAAGTGGGAATTTTCATTCATTCCTTTTTTTTTTTTTTGACAAGCATTCACTAAGCACCTGTTTTGTAAACAGTAAAAATGATGTGTTTGGCACTGTAAAGGACAGAAATATAGGTAAGACCTCATAGTCTAATAGAGAAATAAGAAACATTCATAAGCTCAGCACAGTGACTCACACCTGTAGCCCCAGCACTTTGGAAGGCCAAGATGGGAGGATGGTTTGAGCCCAAGAGTTCAAGACCAGCCTGGGCAACATAGCAAGACCCATCTCTACAAAAGTACAAAATAATCAGCTGGGTGTAGTGGCATGCACCTGTAGTCCTGGCTACTTGGGAGTCTGAGGTGGGAGGATCACTTGAGCCCAGGAGGTCGAGGCTACAGTGAGCAGGGATCACGCCACTGCACTCCAGCCTGATCAACAGAGTGAGACCCCATCTCAAAAAATAAATTAATTAAATTAAATTAAAATAAAGGAAAATTATTTTAAGCAAAAAAGAAAATGACGGTTAAGTAGAAAAAAATGATAATAGCTTTTTTTAAACTGTCAAAAAAGCAGTATATGATTGACAACCCAGGAAGAGAATGATGTGAGCTGTAACTCCTGACTGAGTCCCAGGTAAAGAGAGAGTACTATAGGCTGGGGGCAATCCAGGAAGGTTTCAGGAGGAAGTGGACCTTGAAAGTAGACTGAACTGAGCTGGACAGAACAGAGTCAGGAGGAGCAGACTCAATGCAGGAAAATTACAGGTGTGAACAGCCAGGAGATGGGAACAAAAGTAGGCTGTCTGGGAAGTCTAAAGCGACCGTTTTGAAGGATGTGCAGATTTGTAAAGGGGAAGGGAGGCAGATAAAGTTGGAAAGGTTGTTTGTTTCTGCTGAACATTAACCAAGCTAATAACGTTGGAGATTTGATCATAGTTGAAAATTACCTGTAATAAACACTAGGCAGGCTTCAGTAGAAGATAACCCTTATTCCTGTATTCCTCATGTGTTTCCACAGAGGGAGAGGGAGTCACTGCAGAAGCAGGCACAGGACTGTGTGCAGGAGGATGGAGGCGTCTGTCTCCAGCCTGTGTGAGTCCGTCGTGAACACTTGAGCACTGGGGTCTTTCACGCCACCTCCCTTCTGGAAAGCACTAAGCCAGCGTAGTATACTTACCAACTGCCTCTGTCTCCTGTCAGGCAAAATGCATGTTCAGGGGAAGGCAGGTGAGGGCCAGTGGAAGAGGGAGACAGAGAGATATTGTTCTTCCAGGCCAGGCAGAAGGTACTTGAACTCGGTAGGAAGGTCGGCTGTTTGTAACGGGAATGAGTTGAAAATCGCCATCACCTAGAACAGACAAAGTGTGAAATATGCATTTTTCTCTTTTGTTTTATACCATTTTTATGAGACCTCTGTGTAGATGCAGCAAGCAAGCCCTTGGCTCGAGCCCTGCAGGGTTGGCAGATTTATTACTGAAGAAGAAAAAAAATGAAAACAGTTCAGCTGTCTGGCCAGGTAGAAGGGATTATCTCCACTTGAAAGAAATAGACAAAAAAAGACTTGCTGGGGTGGTGAGAAGGACCCTCGCCCTGTCCAAAGCTGTGCACCCTCCACTGCAGCTAAAATCTGCCACTAATTCTTCAAATGGTTCTTATTTCCACCTCCAACCTGGCTACGAAAACCAAACTGCCTCTCCTGCAAGTCCCCTCACTGGCTCTCTTTGTACCAAACCCTCTTGGTGCCTGTCCCAGCATGGTGGAGTTGCCAGCCTGATGCGGATGTTGATTCTTCTACCACCACCAAGGGGGTGGGCCCAGACCCGGAAAGTGCTCCCCAGCTGGGGCACCTGGTGGGACCTGGGTCTAGAGCAGCAAAGCACCACAAATTCCAGCTCCTGGAGAGGCCTCCAGTCAGGAACTTGGAGCACCTCCTCTACCTCCTTTGGCCTTTTCCGGGGCCCTACCCTACCCAGGGCTCAGCCCAGAATCAGTTCAGCCTTGAGTCAAATACCCCATCTTATTTTCAGAAATAGTAAGACTGTCAGAGTACCAAAAATGGCTGTTACAATTTACAAAATGCCCTTTCACTCACATTATCACATTCAATCAACTTTTCATTTTAACAAACTTCATTCTTACCATGTGCTAGGTACCATGCTAGGTACCAGGCATAGAAAGGGGTCATGACGACACAGCTCCAGCCCTCAGGACTCTCACAGACCAGTGGGCTGGCGTCTTAGTCCTCAGGCTGCTATAGCAAAATACCTTAGACTGGGTGCCTTATAAATAACAGAAATTTACTGCTCACAGTTTAGAGGCTGGGAAGTCCAAGATCAAGGTGTTGGCAGATTCAGTGTCTACCAAGGTTTTCCACTGCTTCATAGATGGTGCCTTCTTTCTATCTTCATGCAGCAGAAGGGGCAAAAGGGCTCCTTCAAGCCTCTTCCGTAAGGACATTGATCCTAGGCATGAGAGCTCTGCCACCTTCCAAAAAATCCTCACCTCCTAATACTATTGTACCAGGATTAGGTGTCAGCATACAAATTTGGGGATGGGAGGGGGGACATAAACATTCAGACCCTAGCAGCTGGCTTCTCCAAGCCCCCATTCAGGTAGGTGTGATTTTCATGCCTACTGCTTCCTGCTTCCTGTCCTCCCTTCCCCTCTCCAGCCCCTGCTTCCTGTCCTCCCTTCCCCTCTCCAGCCATCCTTGGAAGACACTTTTCCATCAGTTCTCTTCTCCCAGGAGCTCTATTGCTGCTCACCGTTATCAAAGGCCACACTCACCCAGAGGAGAAGAGGTAGATAAGAGAAAAGACACTTCCTACATCCCAGGACCTGAGCCTGGTGCCTTGTCCCTGGCTTCTTACTACTAGCTTTGTCTGGTCATGGAGAACTGGTTGGCTCTCCCCACTTCTGACTATACCTCCCAGTCCCCCAACCCTTGTCTGACCCCTAGAAACTGAGATCTTGAAGTCCCAGCTGGGGTTCCTTTTCTGAGACCATTGCAGACAAGGGAGGCTCAAGCCCTCACCCTCCCTCTTATCCATCAGCCTCACCCCCAGCACTGGCCTCTCCTGCACCACTGTCCTGCCAGACTCCACCTCCTTGCCCCAGACCCCTACCCTCTCTCCAGCCCCCAAAGAAGTGAGGGATGAGTGTTTGCAAAGTGCTGTGAGGAGGAAAGAAGCCAAGTACTTCCCATCCACAAGAAGAAAGCAATTTTAATTGAAAAACGGAATCGCAGATTACATGCAAATCTTTGTTGGCAAATTTCAATTACCGCCAAATTAAATGCATAGCTAAGCTAAGCATCTTCGGGACACTCCATTTAATGTTTTCCCGGGATGTGTCCACAGCAATCAGAGGCAGCATGATAGGTGTCCTTCTAAAGAATGAGCCCCCAGGGAAGAACTCCAGGATGCTCAAGCTCTAGCTGCATGGCGCCCATATTTGGACCTTCTACGAGGTTATCTCAGCTGGGAAGTGGCCCAGGAGGGAAGAAAAGAGAAGAGTTCTTCCTGGCTTTACCCCTCCAGCCTCCTGTCCTTCAAACAAAAGCAGGCACCAGCAAGGGAAAAAAGAGGAAGTATTCTAATAGTAATAATACTGAAAATTACCCTCCAAAAAATTGCCCTGTCTTGGCCTATTGTTTTACAAATGAGAAAACAGAGGCTAGAGCATACCTTGAGCAAGCTCAGGCAGCTCGCCACAGGGCCAGGACAGGAGCACAGGTTATCCATGCCCAGAAAAGGATTTCATTCCTAGATCACCCAGTTAACCCTAAAGAACAGGGCACACACTCTGCTATGGCCTGGGGATGATGATGCTGTTTTCATTCGGCTGTTTTTCATTTCACTCTCATACTCTACTTTGTATTGGCAACTGTATCAGGCACTTTGCCCCCTGCCACATGTCCCTCAATACAGTTCAACACACATACACTGGGTGCTTCTACACACCAGGCACTGTGCTAGGTACTGGGACTAGAAGACCAGAAACCCAACCACTCGTGCATCCCACAAAGCTGTAGGTCATATCCTGCAAGCACTGTGTCTTGCTGTGAGAGTGAACACTACAATCACCACATCTGAGACTTTGGTTTTAAGCTAGGCTCTCCAAGCAGATTGTAAATGCCTTAAGGAAACAACTGTGATCATTGATCTAAGCAACTCTACCCTCTAGGTCCAGCACCCTTTAGAACCTCCCATACCGTGCACTCACAGAAAGTAATACATATTGGAAAGAAATCTGTAAGATCATGGTAGTTGCTGCTCAAAAAACATGGGGATAGACATGTGAAGTATCGCCCTGCATTAAGAGGTGCCCCTTGATGCCTTCCATCCAAACAGTAAGCTACTTATCACTAAGAGATTGTTTGATGCTGGCCAATACTCATGTCTCTAGAACACACCAAGGAGCATTCACTTTGGCAATAGTCATGCCCATCACAGCACCTGTCTTGGCCTAGGGTACCCCTGCTCTGGCCTGGTGACAGACCCCAGGACCTTTTGGACACCTGGGTGTAGACAGTGTGAGAAGGAGGTGATCTGTAGGCCTGGCCCCAGAGTGGGAAGCCACACGGTTCAGGGAGCTGGAGCAGCTGCCCTCTCCAGGGCCCCCATCCTCAGTCTGATGAGATAAGCCAGGAAGAGTCTGACAGGCCAGGCTGCTGGAGAGAAAGAGAGTCCCCCTCAACAGGGCCTGGGGCTACCCAGCTAGGGCCGCCTCTCACTCTGACTCCGCCTCTGCAGAGCATGTGGGTTCTCATGGCCTTATCTGCCAGATGGCTCCCGGAGGGGATGATTTATTAGGTGCAGAAAGCTCGCTGATAAATTTTACTGCAAGTCCCCGGCAGAAGACTGGGGGTAGCAACAGCCCGGCGCAGGCAGCTCTAATGGAAAGTGCCGTCACCAAAGAGCAAAGCATTATTTATGACTGTCTGTAATGCCGTTCGGGGGAAATTCATCATCGCCTCCCTGCTCCTTGCACGCAGGGACAGCAGCACTGGGCGGGTGGCAGGGGGAGCACAGGACAGGTGGGGAACAGTCAGAGCTTCTCTGGGAATCTGCCAGTGGAGAGCAAGGCCATATTTTCCCTGGGTGACCCAACTCCCCTTGTCAAGTATCGACCTGCAATTCCCTTTACCTCCCCTCTTTTCTCCCCTACACTATTCTCAACCCCCGCCCCACTTCCACCACCAAAACACAGAGAAGAGAGAAAAAGAATAATGTTTCGCTGTTCTGCATATGGAGTGCAGATTCTTGCATGTCAGCACGGGTGAGGGCAGTCCTGCCCAGAAGCAGAGATCTAGACCAAATGACCACCCAGTTCCCTTTAAGCTCCGAGCAAGAAAGGGGATGTTCTCCCATTTTGCAGTGGCTAAAGAAGGCAAGACAGTGACCCAGCTATGCTCTCCCGCAGTCAGAGGCAAGGAGCTCACGAGGCTGGAGTCCCAACTGGACCAAGAAGCGTGTTCCCTGCCCCTTCAGCTGGATGGAGACATTTGGAGGGATGCCCTGCCCTAGCCCACCTCACTCTCACCATGTCAACAGGTGAGGTCTTAATCCCTGTACTCCCTTGTAGCACATATAGAGTAGTCATGGATTGCTATCTGCCTTACATTGGAATTATTTATGTCCAAGTCTGTCTTTATTATCAAATTAAGTGCTCCTTGAGGGCAGGGGCTGTATCTTACTACTCATTTTTATATTCATCTCAGCAGTAAGCAAAGCTCCTGCATGCACATGGTAGCCTTGATAAATGCGTGATAATAAAATTACACTGACAGGCTTAGGACATTCTGGGGCTGTGGCCTCATGTGTTCGCAGTCATCTGTCACCATGCTGGTATTCACAGCAATTTAAAGGAGTTCATCCCCCCCGCCTGTCAATCAGCATGGTATAATGGAAAGACCACTGGATTAAGAGTCAGGAGGAATGGGTTCTAGTGTTCAGTAACCCCAGACATTTTTTTAATACATAACATGGGCCAAGTCAGATTTTGCCACTAGCGCATGATTAAACGTGGGCAGCTCAGCTTACTCCTGTATGGGTTGGCGTTCTGCAGAGTAAAGGATGATAAAATCTGCTCATTCTAACTCATAGGACTTCTATGGAAATATGCGTATGATGAGAAGCAGATCTGAGTTCTAGAAAGGGAGGGAACAGCTTGTATCAAATGGTTCTCTATGCCAAGAAATGTGCTAAAGGGCTCTGTGTGTGCCATCTCATTTAAATACCTTCACAATAATTCTGTTGGGGTAGATTTTATTATTATGCTTACAATATAAATTTGAAAATGGGGTGTCAACTGCTTCACTAACTGGCTGGGTATCCTTGAGTTGAGTCATTTTCCCTCTTGGGGCTTCTTTCTCATCTGTGCAATAAAGTTGTTGGACTAGATGCTTGATAAGATCCCTTCAGGTTCAAATCCCTGTGAATCATCTAGTGATACTGTTGCCCAAGCAGCCCAGGCTGTTCTAGCCCATGGGAAGGGTGGGGTGTGATGGGTCACCAGCATTTCCAAAAGCAATGAGCTATGTATGAAGGGGTCTACTTAACTTTTTGCTTGAAGATTTCACCCCAACAAGAAATATCAAAGAATGTAGTACTACAATCCACTACAACTGTCTCCCGAGAAGAAAAGAATGTAACAACCTCAGGCCAGAAAGGAGGCAGGCCAGAGGTCAGGGGACAGTAGGCATCTCAGGAGCCCGGTCTGGGTTGCCCACCCTCTGACCATTCTGACCTGGTGAGGACATTGACAACAGTGCCACTGATGAGGCCCCATCGGTCTCTTTGCCAGCTCCCTGGCTAACGTTTTTTTCAAGAGTCATGACATATTAGATCAAGTAAATAACTTTATGGCCTCTAGTCCAAAAGATTTGCATGGAAACGGAGGCCTTCTAACTCACAGGACTTCTGTAGAAACATGAATATGGTGAGAAGCAGATCTGAGTTCTAGAAAGTGGGGAAACAGCTTGTATCAGATAGTTCTCCAAGAAATATGCTAAAGGGCTCTGTGTGTGCCGTCACACACAGAGATCATTTTGTCTTGGGTAAAATGACTTGCTCAAGATAACAGAGTTACTGAGTGGCAGAGCTACCAAGAAACCAAACCTCCTGACTACTCATCAGAGTTCCTTCCTTCCTTTCTTTCTTTCTTTCTTTCTTTCTTTCTTTCTTTTTCTTTCTTCCTTTCTCTCTTTCTTTCATTCTTTTTTCAGACAAAGTCATGCTCAGTCATCCATGCTGGAGTGCAGTGGCACAATCTCAGCTCCCTGCAACCTCCGCCTTCTCTGTTCCAGCGATTCTCGTGCCTCAGCCTCCCAGGCACACCACCACACCTGGCTAATTTTTGTATTTTTGATAGAGATGGGGGTTTCGCCATGTTGCCGAGGCTGGTCTCGAACTCCTGGCCTCAAGCAATCTGCCAACCTCGGCCTCCCAAAGTGCTGGGATTACAGGCATGAGCCACCGCATCTGGCCTAGCACTCTTTCATACACTGGACGATCATTCAGTCTAGTGGGCACCAGATGGGTCCTTTTCCATGTACGCTTCCCAGAATCCACTCTACAGGAGGAGTGGCCAGGTTGTTCCATGGAAACATGTTCGGTGGAACATGTGTTGCTCATACACATGGGAAGCCACATGTGTAAGAACCACATTGGTTGTTTTGGGGGCTTTTTTAACAACAGGGTAAGGAAGAGCCTTTAACTTTGCCAAAATATAAATTTGAGGACTGAAATTAATCCTAACACAGTTTAACATACTTTATACATAAAAAAGTAGACAAATAATAGGCCTAGTGCTAAACTTGATGAAATTCTATCAAGTCAATGAGAACACCAGAATTTAACAGACCACTACTACTACATCTAGTAAGCGTCCTTCTCAGTTATGTCTTGAAGTTTGCAACTAATTATGGAGCTTGATTTTGGTCCCAGCAATGTCACTAAACAGCGTATTTCTTGGAAACAGAATTTAGAATGTAGTAAATAAGAATAAACATTTTGGAGTCAGACAATTTTAAAGAATCACATCCATATCCTGTGTCTTTCAAGGAAAGTTACTTAAATTTTCTGAACCCAAATTTCCTCTTCTGGAAATAATGATCATTTCTTCATAGGATTATTTTAAAAACTGCTTTAGACAATGTATATCTTGTCCTAGTGAAGTGCCCAGTGCAGAATAGATGTACAATATATGATACTTATTATTATGACTCTAACTTTCCAAAAGTCAAGTAAACTCAAATATTGACCACATAACCAGTTCTATGGTTTGAATGTTTTTGTCCCCTCTCAAACTTACGTTGAAGCTTAGTCCCCAGTCCAGTACTATTGGAAGGTGGGGCCTAATGAGAAGTGCTTAGGTCATAAGGACTCCACCCTCATGAATGGATTCGTGCCACTATAAAAAGGGCTTGCAGGAGTGAGTTCACTTTCTTTTTCCCTTCTGCCATGTGAGGCCACAATGTTCAGCCCCACATGCCCTTCTACTGTCTGCCATATGAGGATGCAGCAAGAGAGGCCTCATCAGACACAAGATGCTGGTGTCATGATCTTGGACTTCCCAGACTCCGGAACTGTGAGAAATAAATCATATTTTTTATAAATTACCCAGCCTCAGGTATTCTGTTATAGCAGCACAAAATGAACAGAGACAACGAGAAATTTCAGGATAATTTATCTTCCTGGTCAACATAAACTACTTTTCTCTCTTCTTTAATTCTTAAAACCAAGCCCAAACAATATGGATGCAAGATAATTCAGACACATCCTAAAGATTGATCTCCATGAAGCATGACTTATGTTAATCCAAATGGCCAATCCCTTTGGAAATTGCAAACTCATTTCCAATATGCAAATGAATGCAGTTTTTCAGTATCTGGAACACCATGGAATGTAAGGTAGCTCAGCCATGGGAAATGAATATGGCATTTTTGGCCAACCATCCAAAGACGTAAACAAGGGCTGAAATATTTCTGTCATTTAAGTCTCTGGTTCCCAAACATAGGTTATTGGCTGGTCTCAGGAATAGTGCAGAAGAATTACTTAAGATGTTTGGTAAATATGGTGTTTCCAAGCTCCAAGACCAGAAATTCTGATTTAGTCTAAAATGGGGCCCAGGAATCTGCATTTTAAACAAGTGAGCAATTCAGATGTACATCCAGGTTGAGAACTGTTGATCTAAGCCAATGATTATTTTTCTGTGTGTATTTTATATTTCTTCACATATCTCCTGCCTCTTTCAACCTCATATTTATACTATTAAATCACAGGGAGGACAGGAGAGTGAGAACATCTTTATATTAGTCTTAAAGCCCCCTCCGCAACTTCCATTTATATTTAGAAATTCTCAAGGTGCTAGATGATACAAAATTTCTCCCTGCTTTAAGTCTTTGTATTTCATGAGAAAGCTACTTGGTATTTCAGATAGTAGTAAAGTTTTAAGACTTTAAACAGAAAATGGCAAAGAGGCTTCATCTGGTATAACACAACTGGCTGAATAGCAGGGACTGCCTGGAATACCTCAGGGCACTCTGTCTGACAAGAGGCCCAGCTCAGGGGGAAAGCATGCTGGGTTCAATTAGTGATGTCTGGCATGGGCAAGGACAAAGTCAAGAAAACATCACTTCCTTCCAGCTCCACTTCAAAGCACATTACCTTCAAAAGAGGAAGAGTATGAAAATTAATTTTTAAATGATATTTACATTTAAGGTTTCCAATCATCCTTCAGTTGAGCACTTCTTTTCCATTCTTATAATTTTTCTAGCTAAACTGAATGTGCATTTCAGAATCTGTATACTCTTGGTCCAGAGAAAGTAGGCAATAATGTGCAATGAGACCAGAAACCTCTAAGAGGTGCTGGGCCCTTTGGACAAGTGAGCACCAACCAGCACTTCCCTCCTCCCACCCCAGAATGCTTTGCAGGAAGCTGGCTTTTGTAGTTTATCTGTGTATGTGTTAACAAGGATGGACTTCAATGTGAATAAAGGAAACTTTCCCCTCTCGCTGCCTTGCCTTGAACTATTTCTTCTATCTTAAATGCCTTCCCCATCCTCTAATGTGTTTTTATTGCAACTATACCAATCATCTAAGGTCCAAATCAAGACCTAGCTATCTTCTAACAAAGATTTGATGAAATCTCTTTTCCAGTTGGAAGTATTCTCCCATCGTATTTAGGGACTTTATAAAAGCACCCCTGACCATCTGCCTTGTTATCTTAGTTAATTATATGTTTGTCTACCTCTCCTCCTAGATGGTGAGCCCCATTGAGTAGAGATAGGGACACAGTCATATTCATTGTGATAGCCTCACAGTGCTCAGTGTGGTGAGTTGCCTTTGTTAGCACTCAATTGAATTGAACTCAAAAGGCAGCTAGACTTTGTTTTGTTTCATAAAACTATAAAGGAAAATAAGGTATGGGTGAATTGTGCAAGGGAAAGTCTTCTTTGTGTTGTGTGTTCTTCCTGATGTGTCTGTGTACAGGGAAGCCTGCATGAGGAAATGCCCTAACTATTCACCCTCCAAGACTTTCCCTCTGCTTCTTGGGATAATGCAAAAGGAACACCAGCATTGGACTGCCCCTAGCTGAGGGCATGTTCAAGGAGATTTGGTTCCTCAGAAGACTTTACCAATCTGTATAGTGCACAGACTCTACTGCAAAGGATAACTTGCAGGGATTAGCAAAGTAGCTAATGACACACTTTCCCAAGACAGTGCTAGCCTGGAGATGTGGTCAGCAGAGCAGCCAGGGGGCTGTTTAGGGACATGAGGATGGGGAGATTAAAACTTCAGACTAAGGAAAGACAATGGAGGTAGCATGAGGCATATTAAAGGGAAACAGAACTCCAAGGGTTCTGGGGGAAATGAAGAACTGGGCAAGGGGAGGGCAGAACCCCATCTCAGGTCCAAGCAGCAGTTGGTTCACCACCATCCCATCTTCAGTTTGGGCAATGGAATGGAAGTGGAGTGATATGGTTTGGCTGTGTCCCCACCCAAAGACTTGGAATCAACCCAAATGTCCATCAATGATAGACTGGATTAAGAAAATGTGGCACATATACACCATGGAATACTATGCAGCCATAAAAAAAGATGAGTTCATGTCCTTTGTAGGGACATGTATGAAGCTGGAAACTATCATTCTCAGCAAACTATCGCAAGGACAAAAAACCAAACACCTCATGTTCTCACTCATAGGTGGGAATTGAACAATGAGAACACTTGGACACAGGAAGGGAAACATCACACACTGGGGCCTGTTGTAGGGTGGGGGGAGGGGGGAGGGATAGCATTAGGAGATATACCTAATGTAATGACAAGTTAATGGGTGCAGCACACCAACATGGCGCATGTATACATATGCAACTAACCTGCACGTTGTGCACATGTACCCTAGAACTTAAAGTATAATAAAAAAATTAAAATTAAAAAAAAAAAGAAACCTAATTTATTACTGTAAGGTAATAAACTTCCAAAATGGAAGTTCCATATATTAAATTCAATACTACAGTGCTCTTCTGGGGCTGTAGGGTGTGAATTTGGGTTTCTGATGCTTCTCCCTTAGTCTCCTCTCCCATTTTTTAACCAAATTAAATCAGTTGCCCTCAATTCTTTGTTATTATTGCATTTGCGCTGATCTTTTTTTAGTAAGATGTCTTTATTGTAATGAAAATAAAGTATTATTCTTACGACTTTTGGAATTGAAAAAATATATATATACTAATTATGAGTCACTAGCTTTTCCTCAATACAGTATAGGTAAGAAAATACATGATTTCTGACAAGACAATGACTAAAAAGATAAACCTATCCAAATTGTGTTATTTTCCCTCTTAGTTCTCAAAGTCATACTGGACAGAGAGTTTAGGTTTTACCAGAATAGAAAAATTAAATGAAGAAATTGAATGAACGTCTGTTGCATAACTATGTCCCATCCATTATGCCGGGCACATTTATATAGGTTATCCCATTTAGTCCTCACAAAATCCCAGAAAGGAGGATCAATTTCTCTTCTGTTCTAAAGGAGGAAATGAAGCTTCAGATGTTAAGAGACTGGCCCAAGAAGCAAATCTAACAAGTGGTAGAACCGGGATTTGAACTAGATCTTCTGATTCCCAGCCAGCATCTTTGCACTCTTTCATGGTGCCACTCTCTTGTAGGAATTTTGGCCTCTTGGGACCAAGGCAAGACAAAAGGGCAAGTCGGGGGCCAGTTAGTCAGGGTGATTTCCAAGAGCCATTCCCCTGTTCCACTGGCAGTGTCCTCTGCTCTACCCTGAGCCAAGCCTTTTAAGGGCTCCAGCCTCCGGGTGGCTGTAACTTACCCTGGAGCAATCTCCCTCTGCCTTATATTGACAGAGGGGAATATACAGAAGAGGGGGACAGAGGGCTTCCTCCTGGCCACACCCCAAAGGAGGATTGACTTACAGAGGCACAGAGAGAAGAGGTCTCCTCTCAGTGTTGTTCTAATGGGGCCCCCTCCCTTCCTTACAAGGATGCTATGAGGACAAATGAAGTAATATACCTGAAGTGTTCTGAGAGCTTCCTAAGTGCTACATAAATATAACAATGGAGTTGCTGATGCTGATCACAATAATAACTACAGTGATGATGAGCCTATACCCACAGTCATTATTTAAGGGAATATTTCAAGTGAGAAAACCCCACCAAAATCAATCCACTGAAGTTTATTTAGAAGAGAGGCTGCTAATAAAAATGTTATGGGAATGTGAGCTCTTGGGAAATAATGATGATTTTCTTCTATTAAAAGACTCATCAGATCCATTTCCAAAGTACAGCTCAGTTATTTGTGGGTCCTTTGCTGCTCCACAGAAGAAGTTCTCGTTTAAAGAGAAAGAGGAAGCTGCTCTCACTGAAGCTCCAGAATTTGGAGATACAACTGGCCTGTGTTTCTAGAGCCACTGCCAGCTATGCCCATTTACAGAGGAGCCTGCACCAGCAAAGCATCTGTTTTTTATTTTCTTCTTTCTTCTCTCATCTCCCATCCCCATCAGCAGCTGCTAAATAGCTTGAGTTTAGAGTCATTACTAATGGAACAATAATGGGCTGGTGCTGTCTTTTTCAGAGCTGGGTAAGGTTACACTACAAAGATAAATCTACCCACGTATGAAAACCCAGCATGGAGTGAACATGGAGTTACCCATTGCAGCAGCTGTCCGCTCCCACACAGTATGGGTCTGATCCCTGCTTGCTTGCATTACCCTGTTTAGAGACATAAGGATGGGGATATTAAAACTTCAGACTAAAGAAAGACAATGGAGGTAGCATGAGGCATATTAAAGGGAAACAGAACTCCAAGGGTTCTGAGGAAAATGAAGAACTGGGCAAGGGGAGGGCAGAATCCCATCTCAGGCCCAAGCAGCAGTTGGTTCACCACCATCCCATCTTCAGTTTGGGCAATGGAATGGAAGTGGAGTTATATGGTTTTGCTGTGTCCCCACCCAAATCTCATCTTGAATTGTAGCTCCCATAATTCCCAGGTGTTGTGGGTGGGACCTCATGGGAAATAATTGAATCATGGGGACAGTCCCCCTATACTGTTCTCATGGTAGTGAATAAATCTCACAAGATCTGATTATTTTATAAGGGATTTCCCCTTTGGCTTGGCTCTCATTCTCTGCTCTCTGCCGCCATATAAGACGTGCCTTTCACCTTCTGCCATGATTGTGTGTCCTCCCCAGTCATGTGGAACTGTGAGTCCATTAAACCTCTTTTTCTTTATAAATTACTCAGCAGTGTGAAAACGGGCTAATACATGGAGAGAAGACTATTCTAATGCCATTTCAATCCTGGACTTCTGAATCCCCCTGACCATGAGGCATCACCAGGAGAGAAAAAGATAACCATCAGCAGCATTTTGGAACTCAGTGATGAGTCTTGCTTCTGATTCCTTGCAAATGTCTCCAAAAAACACCATGAAGAAGTGGACTACAGGATAGGTGAGAGCTGAGATCGGCTGCAGAAGGAAACTCGCCACCATTATTTTCCTTCAAAGATGGAATTCGCCACTGAAAAAAGCTAGATAAGGAAGCCACATGGAGTGATGCTAGGCTATTTGTATTGTAGTGCCCACACTCTGGGGTTTACACAGTTGTGGGCTAAGGTGACCCAGCTTGGCCCTGGAATAAACACAAGGCAGTTTCCTGCTCACAGGTGAGGCCAAACCATGACAGGCAGACCTGGATCTTCACCAAGGCTCTGTGCACCTTGAATGTGCCATCTCCTGGTATTTGCAGCAAGAAAGGGAGGATTTTCAGGACATCTCTCCTTAGTTATCACCCTGACTCAATTCAAAAATTAGTGAAAAATGGTTGCCATTTTATTGATTCTCAGAAAGCAAAGAGACCTGCCCAATAACACCTCCTGCTCTTCTAAATTCAGCGTTCCAAGGTGGATTCAGTGCAGAACTGGATTTTTTCCCTTCAACTGAGCAAGCTAAGAAATATACATATACCATTATGTGTTTCCTGATGGTAATTTAAAACTTTTTTTATATTAAAATACAGATGTGTGATGATAGAGCATATAAAACATGGAAGAATTTTTAGCATTAAACACTAAACTTCAAATATTTAACACCTACACTGAGATGTTTCAGGCCAGGGAATCCCTGGGGACTAGTGTCCACCCCCTCTGCCCTCACTTGAGTGAAAAGGTTTCAGAAGCACTGTGCTGAGTTGAGTTCCCTGCTGCCTGTCCACTCTCTAGCTAAGGGATTCAATTTCATTATCTGTAGATGAAGCTGTAAAATCTTTAAAGTGTGGACATATTCTGTGGAGATTTGGTTCTGGAGCTTTTTCCCCAGAAGCCTTCAAGGAGAGAGGAGGCACACTTCGTTTAGAATGATTGAACCGTGGTCTGTATATCGCAGGAGGGAAAAAAAAAAAAAAAAAAAAAACCTGATTTCCAAAAGCCTCTTAACCTTGTTAATTCACAATGTTTCCTTTGCCCTATGCAAGACTTTCTCTACCTAGAAGGGTGCAATGATCGGTAGGTCCATCCCCTTCCCTTTTCCCTGTTCTCTTCATCTAAATGATGCTTTTCACTTCCACTCTCATCCCGTCTTAACAAGATATTAGGATTTCCTTCCCGAAGAAAATGAGGCCACTGTCTCTCCAGCTTCATTGTCACAGAAACCAAGCTCTTTACAAAGGCATCCACATGCAGGCACTACCACCCTCATCTTGCCAATGGGGACCCTGCCACCTTACTCTATGCTCCAAGTCCCCAAACTAGTGAATCCAGATGTCCAAGTCTGTCATGGAGTCAGAAAGACAGGGAGCCACTGGCCTGGAACTGCAACCTGATAACCAAAGAGAATCCTCCCATCCCCCATCCAGGCAGAATACAAGATGCCTGCATTGGGCAAATGCTGCTCACACTCGAAATATTTCAGAATGACTGCGGGAGGGGCCTTGTATTTCCTTAGCACTTGGGACTTTCCTAAATGCAGTGGCTAGTCTAAAATCATGTGCCTGGCTCTGCACAGTGGCACATGTTGATAATCCTAGCAGTTTGGCAGGCCGAGGCAGCAGGATCACTTGAGATCAGGTGTTGGAGACCAGTCTAGAAACATAGCAAGACCCCCATCTCTACAAAAAAATATGAAAAATTAGCTGGGTGTGGTGCCTTGTACCTGTACTTCCAGCTACTTGGGAGGCTGAAATGGAAAGATGGCTTGAGCCCAGGAGTTCAAGGTTGCGGTGATCATGCCACTGTGCTCCAGCCTGGGCAACAGAGCAAGACCCTGTCTCAACAAATAAATTATATATATATATATACACACACACACACACACACACACACACACATATATATATACACATATATATACACACACACATATATATATATATACACACATATATATATATGTGTGTCCCCAAAACCATTTCATCTGTACTTATTCAAGCCTATACCAGAGTGACCATTTGTTTAGCTAAGGGGAGTTTGGGTTTGCAGAGCAGAACATGACCTAAGTGCCATCCCTGGCTGGTGTTCAGCCAATCAGACTTTCACTGGGATTCTGATCTCATTCTGAGCTGGCCAAGTCATTCTCAAAAGAAATGGGGACTTCTCACTTATCTTTGACCCAACATCCTGGACTCAGAAACAATTTTGAACAAAAGAGAGGGAAGCTTTAAAAAGAAGCTTCAATAATGTTGGCATGCAGTGCAAATTGCCGTGTAGATGGCTTGTGCAAAGGGAATTCAATCTCATTTCCAACACTCTCAGATTAACACTGCTATGATTTATTCCTGAGCCCTAATATTATGTGTGAGGTGCTAAAGCATTTCGGTTGGGTGTCACATCCTGTCACCAGAAAGCTTAACTATTTTCAGGATAGTTCTTGAACCACAGACATGACTGTACTCAACCTTGCCCACAAAGTATGTATCCATACAATTCCATTGTCCTCAAGACAATGGAAAGAAAACATAAGATAAAGTTTTTTTAAAAACTTTTATTCACTCATTTATTTAAAAATTCTCACTGAGCTTATATTATCTGCGGACACTCGGCCTAAGATCTTTGGTCCCAGTGTGGGTCAGCAGAATGACCAGTAAAATATGCGTTTCTTATGTGAGACTTCAACTGCATTTTTGTTGTTGTTGTTTTTGAGACAGGGTTTCACTCTGTCACCCAGGCTGGAGTGTCATGGCATGATCTCAGCTCACTGCAACCTCTGCCTCCTAGGTCCAACCGATTCTCTCCCACCTCAGCCCCCCAAGTAGCTGGGACTACAGGCACACATGACCACGCCCAGCTAATTTTTGTATTTTTAGTAGAGACAGGGCTTTGCCATGTTGGCCAGGCTGGTCTTGAACTCCTGACCTCAAGTAAGCCGCCCACCTCGGCCTCCCAAAATGCTGGGATTATAGGCATGAGCCACACCGCCTGGCCGAGACTTCAGCTGAAGATGCACTGGGGCAATACACTGGAGTGACACCTTTGTTTCCTCCATCACTTTCACCATCTCCATCACCCCACCCCCATTAAACTAGACCTTACCCTTTACTCCCAGGGAAAGGACAACAGAATAGGAATGCTGACAAAAACAAACAAGAATTCTTCATTTTCCAGTTTCCAGGAGCAGCCCCTGCAATATAAGACTTCTCTGAAATACTTTTGACTTGACTGAATGCATCCCTCCAAGGTCTCACTCTGTCACCCAGGTTGAAATACAGTGGTGCGATCATAGCTCAATGTAACCTCAAACTCCTGGGCTCAAGCGATCCTCCCATCTCAGCCTCCCAAGTGTCTGGGATCACAGATGCGCGCCACCATATCTGGCTAATTTTCTACTTTTTTGTAGAGACAGGGTCTTGCTATGTTGCCCAGGCTAGTCTCAAACTCCTGGGCTCAAGCGAGCCTCTTGCCTCTCCACTGATTTTAGAAGGCAACACCTCAGTGAGATGGGACCTCACTGTATCTCCAGAAAGAGTTACTGTCTATAAACTACCCCAGGCTGAAAATCTAAGTGCAGAACCCCTACCTTCCCACTGGTGCGCACTACCCTTGTCCTCCTAAATGTGGCAAGGAGACCACATGGGAGCCTCTCCACTCACTTCCTTAAGCACAACCAGTAGAAGTCATTTTAAATGTTTAGCACCTAATCCTAGTCACACCTATAGTTAGGATAATGATTGCCTTTAGATGCAGTGGTTCCTCGGCAAGGCAGCTGTTCCCTTTCCATGAGCCCCCTTTCCCAATGAAAGAAATTTTCACCCTTCTGGCTGGAGGGTCTCAGATTCAAGCTTTTTAACCCTCTCCCCCAAACGCTATTACCCATAAGAATAGTAATCACATCACCCACAAAGTGTCTAGGAGATACTTTAGGACCCAAGAAGCTTCTGTTTCTAGGTGGTAAATCTATTTACTTTCAGCTAAGAGTCAGGTCACTCCCATATCTTCCATATACTCTGTCAGGGTATGGGGTATCTTAGACCTCAGTCTTCCCCTCTGCCAAATGGGTCGTGCAGCATAAATGGTATCCACGAGGAGACCCAGAGAGGCGAATCACAGTCTCAGAGAAGTGACCGGATGCCAGAAGTGATGATGTGCTTTAGCGATCATTAAACAGAAGGGAGCCCCAGAGAGCGGAAGGAACTCCCCCAAGTCACAGGCAGATCAGAACATAACCTAAGTGCCATCCCTGGCTGGTGTTCAGCCCATTCAGACTTTCACTGGGATTCTGATCTCATTCTGAGCTGGCCAAGTCATTCTCGAAAGAAGTGGGGACTTCTCACTTCTCTTTGACCCAACATCCTGGACTCAGAAACAATTTTGAATAAAAGAGATGGAAGCTCCTAGTTCTGCCCTGACGGAACTAGGAGCCCCGCCCCACCCCCTCCCGCAGTTACTAGATTCCCTGACCAGGGCTCTTTCCCCGACACAAAAACTCTTCAATACACAAATGCCTTCTAGTCCCATCAGGACCTGGGGATGAGAGTCCAGGGAGCCAGCACCGTCTTGCCCCATGCGGGGAGAGGGGTGGTGACACTTTCAGTCCGCCGCCAGCAGCCACTGGGGAGGCCCGGCTCCAGCACGCCCCTCCGTCCCCTGCCTGGATAGAGGCTTCCACTCCGCGTGTGTAACTCAGAGCCACATGACACTGAAATGCTAAGTGAAGAGCAATTAACTTTTGCTTCTGAAAACCCACTTTAGCTTTCCATAACTCTTCGGGGGCCATTTCAGCTCAGCCAAACCTCCCGCACATTCTCCCTAAGCAATAAATTACCTTCCTGGCTTTAATTAGCTGCTGGCGCGCAAGCGGGGCTGGGTGCTGACGTGCTGCTTTCCCACAGGTCCCATTCTGTCACACAGACTCCAGGAGAAGGCGGCGGCGGGGGGCGCTGGGCCCCCTCTGCGAGACCAGGCCTGTAGCAGACGCCTCACCTGCCCGCGGTGTGAGGGAGGAAGCCTGAAAGTCCAAGCCTCATGGAGGTTAAAGTCTAATGTAGACCAAGTCCAAGTTCGATGGAGAGCCTTAGACTCCTCCTTTAGGCCTCTTGACCCCTTAGCGATGTGCCCTCAGACCCATGTTCCCTCTCTCCAGCCTTCTCTTCCTTCAGTCGGCCCCCAAAACACACACGCATGCAGACACACCAGCCCTCAGATACCCGAGCTCTTCATCTTCCTCATTCTTGCTAGGGGAGAAATTACTGACAGAGCTTAACATATAAACCCTCCCAGGAGACTTTGCTGTATAATTGTGAGCTAAGCTTGAGTCAGAATGAATAAATCTCTAAGTACGGGGTTTAGTCACATCTGTGGGCCGAAATGTATTGGCTGAGGAAGAAAGAAGTAAAACAGCACCTTCAGAATCCCAGACACCATTCTAAGCCCAAGATTAAGATTTGGGGTGCAGCCAACCCTATCTCTAACTAGAAATGGGTCCCTCAGCAAGTCCCCTCCCTTCTTCAGTCCAGGTGCCCATGAGAAAGCTGTGACGGGTGAACCCAAGTGCCTCGGGGCCCTGCCGTACTGTGATTCCGGAGGTCGGGCATGTGCACACAAGAGTGTGAGTATGAGCGTGTGTGGGGGTTGGTGTATGAATGTGTGTGTCAGAGTGTGTGTGTGACTGTGAGTGTATGTGTGTGTCAGTGTGTGGGTGTGTGAATGTGTGTGTCAGAGAGTGTGAGCGTATGTGTCAGAGTGTGAGTGTGTCCAAAAGTGTGTGACTGCGTGTGTGTGCAGTTGTGTGTGTGTGTGTGAGACTGTAGGTGTGTGAGTGTGTGGGTGGGCATGTGAATATGTGTGTGTGTGAGTGTGTTAGGGTATGTGAGTGTGAGCTTGTGTGTGTGAGTGTGTCAGAGTGTGTGTAGTGTGTGAGTGTGATAGTGTCCGTGTGTGTGAAACTGTGTGTGTGCGTGTGTTAGGGTATGTGAGTGTGAGCTTGTGTGTGTGAGTGTGTCCGAGTGTGTGTAGTGTGAGTGAGTGTGATAGTGTCAGTGTGTGTGTGAAACTGTGTGTGCGTGTGAGTGTGTGTGAGTGTGTATAGGGGAGTGAGCAGGAAAGACGCATCCTAAAGTAGACCTTAGTGCATCCCTCCTGCTTTCTTCTAGAGACTGCAGCATCTGGGCTGAGGGGGCAGCACTCCTGGGGACCTGATTTCCAGGGGGCGGCCAGGCCAGCAGGAGCACCACCCGTGACAGCTGGCAGCCAAGGCACCCACGCTCTTCAACCCGGAGGCTCTCCCTGACCAGGAAGGGCCTGGGAGAAGTAAGCCTCTTTCTTGGTCTGCTACAGACATTTATGCTAATGGTGCTTCTCTTCCGGGCCTAGCTTTCACCTCCTCTGACAGGTAATGAACTCCCCAAGTCCAATTACAGGCCACCTCTTCCATCCTTCTTTTCTCAAGGAAAAAAAAAATTGAAAATAAAAAGTCCAAACACAGAAGGCCCACAGCCAGGCCCTGCATGTCAGGCCAGTGACAGGCAGGCTGGGCACAGCCTCCCTCTGATTAAGAGGATGAGCACCAAGCAGGCCTAGGAGCCCCAGCAAGTCCTCACTACAACTTCTCTCCACACCTCTCAATGAACAGGCAGCTTGTCAGGAACAAGGAGACGCCGGGCAGGCAGTGGGGCAAGATTGCAGGCAGGTACCCAGGCTGTCACCACCGCCAGACAGGGCCCGTGTCACCCCACCCTGCCTGCCAGCGCCTGCCCCTGCCGTCTACATCTTCCCCAGCCTTTCACACACCCCACATGGTGACAAGTGAGCACTTCCATCAGCCAAAGAGAGTGCAAGGACTGGGTGGCTTGTGCAACTTCCCTTCATCCTGCCCTGGAGTGGTCTGGTGCTAGAGGTGACCTGGAGTCCACCTTCCTCATCCCGTCTTCCCAAAATCAGTGATGCCCTCAAGAGATTTGTGGCAGGCGGACCCGGAGAGTCGCAGGGGCCTCCTAAATGGCCTGTGAGACAAACTGAGCTTTGGCTGGTACTTTGGGAATCATAGAAAATGAGCAACAGAGGCCTGCTCAGGTGCAGAAATTGACCAGGCTCTTTGAGTCAAATCACCCTGGCGCTCCTTGGACCAATTAACCACACACCTGCTCCTCCCTGCAGAGATTCTAGGCACCAGCAGAGATTCTAGGAGGGCCTCACGATTCCACTCCCGCCCCAGCATAATCCCATGCATTGAGATGTCTCACTCCAGGCCCCACAGGTAAGGCCCTTGGTGTCCTCCTGTAGGCTTGGCCTCCCTCAATCACAGGGACCAGGCTCACTCAGCCACGCCTCCCACAAAAGCCCAAGCCTTGCATGACTGAGTTGATCTCCATAACCGCTCCCTACTCGGTGATCTCAGTTAGCCTCTCCTTGCCAGTTTTCCTGGGAAATGCCCCACCTGTCACTGACTCCCTGTCTGTCTCAATAGGTGAGTGGTACTGGCTTTGAGGCCTCCCACAGGTGGAGAACCCACACACACCACACACAATTCCATGCCTTTTCCAGACCAGATGATGCCTTCTACACAGACAGCCACGTGAATTTTGCCGCTTGGAGTGGGGTAATGTTGTAGCCCCAACTCTTGCCTGACAACCAGGATTAAATTAATACTTATGTGCAACTACTGTGTACTCGGTACCTTTGGAAAAATGCCCCTTATCTTCTCCTGAGATTGGTCTAGAAGGAGACCTACTCTCCTTGGCATAGATTTGTGGCTTTGGCCATATCCAAAGAAGGCTGGGTAGAAGCCTATGTGTCCATCCCAGAGAGAAGTAAATCATCTGGGATGCCTTAAACTCAATGTGAGGTGGGAAGCGAGAAAGTGGACCACATTGACAAAGGCTGAAGGGTGAAGAATGATAGGTGAGGCAGGTTCCATAACTCCTAAAGGGAAGGGACTGCCTTGGTGGTCTTCCTGTTCCTCAAAAAAATATTTGCTGAATGAAGGAGACACAGGAATCAGGTTATATGGTGGCTCTCCTCACGTCTTCAGCACCAGAAAGACTTATTATGTGTCCTCTTTAGGGATCAATTCAACCCTCATCACCCCTAATGATTGCCCCCTAAGGAAAGAAGGCCACGAAGAAGAAAGATGCTGGGGAAATGAGATCAAGAATAAAGGATGGTGAGAGAACGCACTTGGGCCAAATCAAGAAACATGTTACTCCTCTCCACCTTACACCAGGAACTCTGGCCTGCTCAGCAATAGCCAAGCAGCTCTAGGAAGCCATCATGTGTTTCATAAATTGCAAAATTGGTACTAGAAAGAAGGAGAGAGGGAGGAAGAGAAGGAGAGTGAGAAAAATGATCCGCTCCCAACTACTCGCTAAGCTACAGAAGAACTCACAAATATATAACCTTTCATTTGCAATGTGGTAGCATCCCCCCTTGGAAAGGGGAATATAAAGTTATGGAGATGTAGATAAACAGAAACTAAATGCCAGCTCCCATCCATGACAAGGAAGAACATATATCAAATTCATTAATTATGATCCAGTTTGTGCTTGCACTGTGAAAGATAATCATTTACCATCAAAGAGATGCCCTTCCCTTATTAAAGCCGCTGAGACTCTCAGGAAGTGCTCAAGGGTTTGAAATTCTGTATTTGAATTTCACACATGCTCTTTACTGCTGGGACCAAAACTCAATCAACACTTGATAGTGCTGACACCAACATTCAAGCCACAGGGGTCTTCACTCCTTTACAACAGACCTACAGATTGGGTCTGGCTAATGCATTTGCTAATTTGTTCTCCTCTGGATTCGTGTGTGTGTGTGTGTGTGTGTGTGTGTGTGTGTATGCACGCATGTAACATATGCAAAAGCCTATATCTTTTTTCAAATGGAGTTGAGGTAGGAGTAAAAGAACCGAGGAACAACTAACTTCATCTCTCACATGCCCAAGGCCTGAGAGGAACCCAGCCGCCCAGTAGTGGAATCCATGTCTTCGCTTTCATCTCAAAGCCAAACCAACGTGAACAGGTTGCTTAGAGACCAGGCTCCTCTTTCAACTCTGGGCCCGAGCCTTTGGTCCATGCCCAGACAGGGCTTGAGTTAGAAGCTGGAGCTCAGAGGTTATTGCTCTTTCCTTCACAAGTTCTTTGGCAGTACCTTAATTCTGATTTGCCTTTTCCAAGCCTGTTTCTTGCTCTAGGATTCAGGCCGATCCAGAGAAAGTCATTGGGTTTCCTGACTCACGACACTAAGTGTTCAATGAAAGCATATTAAATGGTATTGATGCCATAGATGGACTGCAATGGACTGGAACAGATGGAATATAGTTTAGAAAGAGCCTACTGCCAACCAAAGAGACCTTTCCTTTCCTCAAGCTTCCCACTGAAAGCGTAGAGATTTCTACAGAGTCTATAGCATACTATAGCATACAGCACACATAGCCTAACATACACTATAACATATAACATAGTCTATAGCATATAGCACATGTAACATAGCACATACTATAGCATATGAATAGCCTATAGCATATAGCATACATAGCCTAACATATATTAGGTTGGTGCAAAAGCAATTGCAGTTTTTGCCATTGAAAGTAATGGCAGAATATAATATAGCATATGCTATATTACACATACTATATTGCTGTAGACCATGCTATATGGTATAGTATATGCTATGCTATGTATGCCAAATGCTATCGGCCATGCTATATGCCATAGTAATGGCAAAAACCGCAGTTACTTTTACATCAATCTAATACTATAGAATATAACATAGTCTATAGCATGTAGCACATGCAGCATAGCATATAGTATAGCATATAGCATGGTCTATAGCTGATAAGGTTTGGCTGTGTCCCCACCCAAATCTCATCTTGAATTGTAGTTCCCATAATCCCCACATGTCATGGGAGGGACCCAGTGGGAGGTAATTGAATCGTGGGGGCAGTTTCCCCCATGCTGTTCTCATGTTAGTGAGTAAGTTCTCATGAGAACTGATGGTTTTATAAGTGTCTGGCATTTCCCCCGCTGGCACTCATTCTCTCCCCTGCCACCCTGTGAAGAGGTGCCTTCTACCATGATTGTAAGTTCCCTGAGGTCTCCCCAGGCATGCAGAGCTGTGAGTCAATTAAACCTCTTTCTTTTATAAATTACCTAGTCCCAGGCAGTTCTTTATAGCAGCATGAGAATGGACTATAGCATATAGCACACGTAGCATAGCACATACTATAGCACACAACATAGTAACATAGTCTATCACATACACAGCCTAACATATACTATAGCATATAACATAGTCTATAGCATATAACACATGTAGCATAGCCTATACTGTAGCATGTAGCAAGTTCTATAGCATATAGCACATGTAGCATAGCACATACTCTAGTATGTAACATAGTCTATAACATAGAGCATTTATAGCATAGCTCATACTACAGCATATAGCATGGTCTATAGCATATAGCATGCATAGCCTAACATATACTATAGCATATAACATAGCCTGTAGTATATAGTGTATATAGCATAGCATATACTATAGCATATAAAGCATGGTATATACTGTGGCATATAGCATGGTCTATAGCATATAGCACACATAGCATAGCATATACTATAGCATATAGCATGGTCAATAGCATATAGAATTGTGATATAGCATAGCTCATACTATAGCATATAGCTTAATGTATAACGTATAGCATATAGCATACAGAGCATACTATATACTATAGCATATAACATAGTCTACAGCATATAGTGATAAGGTTTGGCTGTGTCCCCACCCAAATCTCACCTTGAATTGTAATAATCTCCACATGTCAAGAGTGGGGCCAGGTAGAGATAATTGAATCATGGGAGTGGTTTCCCCCATATTATTCTCATGGTAGTGAATATGTCTTACAAGATCTGATGGTTTTATAAATGGGAGTTCCCTTGCACAAGCTCTCTTGCCTGCCTCCCTGTAAGATGTGACTTTGCTCCTCATTTGCCTTCTGCCATGATTGTGAGACCTCCCCAGCCATGTAGAACTGTGAGTCCATTAAACCTCTTTCCATTAATAAATTACCCAGTTTCAGGTATGTCTTTATTAGCAGCATTAGAACAGATTATTACATAGAGCATATATAGCATAGCACATACTATAGCATATAAAGCATAGCATATACTATGGCATATAGTGTGGTCTATAGCATATAGGTTACATAGCATAAGATATGCTATAGCATATAGCATAGTCTACAGCATATAGCATATATAACATATAAGATATACTATAGCATATAGCATGGTCTATAGCATTTGGCATACACAGCATAGCATATACTATACCATATAGCATGGTCTATAGCAATATAGCATATATAACATAGCATAAGATATACTATAGCATATAGCATGCTCCATAGCATTTGGCATTCACAGCATACCATGTACTATAGCATATAGCATGCTCTATAGAAAACTATAGTCTATAGCCTTTTTGACCGTAGGCTGAGTGAGGTAAATCTGCCTTGAAATGAAATTTTTATGCAGTATCAAAGATAATAATAATAATGCTGAATCCTCTCACTGCCTAATGAGGTGCTGTTGTTATCTTCATTTCGCCATAAGAAACTCTGGCCAGAGAGGCGAGGTAACTTGCTCAAGGTCATACAGCTAAGAAGGGACAGAGAAGGAATTCAGAGCTGGCCCTCTGTGAATAAACTAGGTGTGGGCAGGCAGAAGGCCTGGCCCTCTGTGTGGAATATTATTTGTGTGGCACATCTTCCCAACCCCAGAGGACCCATAAGAGGCATGAATGCAACACACCCTCTTGAATTACTGACAGAGGGAATTCCTCCCTGCGATTTCTCTTGCTTTGGTATCAAGCACTGAGCTGTCCTTTTGGCTCTCTCGTGAACAGGCGAGGGCAGGTCTGACTGTGTTGAACAGAAGGGAAGGCTGAAGCACAGAGAGGTACAATACAGTGAGAAGTCCGAGGTCAGGCCCAGATTATAACTTGAGTCATCTGGCCCCATCCCCAGTCACTCCCAGCCCCAGGGCACAGCCCTGCCTCCTCCTCTCCCACCTGTGTCTGTGACCCGCCAGCCTGAGGCACTGGCAGCCTGAGGCATCAGGGATCAAGTCTTTCGGATAGAGTTCTTGACACCAGATGCTTTTGGAGTGGCCAGGCAGGGCAGGAAGGATGACTCTTGTAGGGGAAGGAAGGACACCATTTCCAAAAATAGAGTAAGAAAAGGCCGGAGGAGTAAGCAGTGTGCCCCAGAGACAAGAAGCGCCAGGTCCAGCGGGAGAGAGGGAGCTCAAAATACCACATCCAGAGAGCCCAAGGTTCCACTCGGGATCAACAAGCGCCCACTCCACCCCGAGTGCCAATTACTCACATTTTCCCACACAGCACCCAGATTTCCTCCTCCCGGCTTCATGACCTGGCCCCAAAGGCAATTTTTAAAAGGGGATTTCTATGCCTAGGCTGTGTTGTTATTTCTCCCTTCTTTCAACTCCCATCGAAGCTTCTTTCTGAAACTCTCTAAAGAAGAAAAAGTGAGATGTATAATTTACATATCCTAATGTGTATGATTCTAAAATATGACACTCTCCCTCTGCAGGGCCTCCTTCTAGCAAGCTGGTCCCTGGTCAATACCCTTGCTTGCCTCCCACCCTGAACATCTAACTGCACCTGCTACGTTCCAGACACCAGACTCAGCACTGACAGCAATACAAAGAAGTAGAAAACAAAGTTACTGCCCTAAAGAGAATTGAAGTCTAGGAAATTAAGAGTTCTTTTTCTGCCACTACAAACTCAGGCCAGTGATGACCTGTGCCTCAGTTGTCCCTCTGAGTCCTTTGGCAAACTGTGCTGTCCTCTCTCATAAAGACCAGGTAGCGGGAGCTAGCCACTCTTTCAGGGAATGATGATAGTGGATATTAAGTACCTACTCAGTGCCACGCACTGGGCAAGAAGTTTGACAAACATTCCTTAGGTCCCCAAGTGTACTCTTCAAGAGAGGTACTGTCATCTCCACTAAGAAGTCCTGCCTCTGGGAAGTCAAGCAAACTCTCCACAGTCCCCCAGCGAGTGAGGGCAGAGAGGGGATTTAAATCACACACCCCAGAACGTGGTGGAATCACCCCTGAATAGAGTGGGTAGTTGAATCACACTAATAATTGGATAAACTGTCAAGACCAACTTCCACGGCATTTACTGAACACATGCAAAAAAAACGCAATGTTTAGATTGATGGCATAAATGAGGACAACCTGGAAAGCAAATATAGCAATATCCATCAAACTTCTAAAGGCACAAATCCTACATACCAGAAATTTCATTTATGTGAATTTATCCCACTGTACAAAGATGCTCATTGAAGCACCGTTTGTAATAGAAAAAAAAGCTGGAATCAACCTAAGTGTCTATCAATAGGTAATAGGTTAAACTGGTTCATCCATAAAATGAAAGATTAATACTGTGCATTCATTAAAAAGAATGAGATATGCCTGCTGATACTATCATGAATGCATGTTTAAAAATGTTCTTTAATGAAAAAGCAAGTTTCAATATTATATGTACAGTATGATCCTGCTTACAGTTAAAAGCATTTTAGGCCGGGCAGGTTGGCTCACTCCTGTAATCCTAGCACTTTGGGAGGGTGAGGTGAGCAGATCACCTGAGGTCAGGAGTTCGAGACCAGCCTGGCCAATGTGGTGAAATCACGTCTCTACTAAAAATGCAAAAATTAGCTGGGCGTAGTGGCGGACGCTTGTAATCCCAACTACTCAGGAGGCTGAGGTAGAAGAATTGCTTGAACCCAGGAGACAGAGGTTGCAGTGAGCCGAGACTGCACCACTGCACTCCAGCCTGGGCAACAGAGCGAGACTCCATCTCAGAAAAAAAAAAAAAAAGCACTTTATATATAACATACATACATACATATACAATATATCACACTTAAAATGCCTAAAACAAGGTGACCCTTTCAACAAGCCCAGGAGGTGTCAAATGAGGAGACAAGAGCCTCCAGGAGACTAAGCCATTTCCCCAAAGTCATTCAACTGGTTCAGGGGACTCGAAGAGAAGTTTTCTGATGCTGAGCCCAGTGTTCCCCCCATCATGTGGACAGGGCTGGAGGGGCAGGCAAGGTTGAGTGAGAGTGCACGGGTCTTTCAGACTCACCACCAGCCCAGGTAGTATCTCCCAGGAGAAGGCAAGAGGGTGTAAGCCCCAGAAGTATCTGAGGCTGGAGGGCAAGGCTGAGTCACAGAAGCATGACAAGATGAGGAACAACAAAGGGGCTTCCAACAGCTTACTCAGGGGACAATCCAACGCCAGCCCCACCAACAGGCCTTGGACGCCAGCAAGGCTGAGGGCACTGAAAATTCCTACAGCCTTCTGAACTCTCAAGCAATGACTCCATCAATCTATGAATACTTGTTGAGCACCTATTCTGGAAAAGGCACAGGATGGAGCCTCAGAGGAGCCAGAAAAATGAGCCTGCTGAGCTCTCACTGTCTTCCGTGTGCTGCTGTGTCTCCTCCTAGGACTGTGTTTTCTCTGTGAGGAATGTGTAATCCCTCTTGTTGGGGAGAGAACATGCAAGTGCATAAAAATGTAATTAAACCCGCAGTAGGAGGGGCTAAGATCCCAGCGGAGTGCCAGGAATATGAGTTTTAGGTGCCCAGAGAGAGGAGGAAGGAGAGAATTCCAAATGGCTGGCAGAGCCAGGGAAGGGCATAGCCCTTCGTTCCATGGGGTTTTGAGCACAAAAGCAAAAAAAATTCTCCCTGTCTGCCAGCTATGACAGAGTGGAGTTAAAGCAGGATTTCACACTGGGGGTTGTGCCTCAATTAGGGGCGTCATTATCTGAATATTTAATTACATAACAGAAAACATCAGATTGCACCACATGTAGCAAAGGTAAGTCAACACAAAAACACAAGAAAAATGCGTGCATCCACAGATATACGTGTGTGTGTGTGTGTATGCTGGGCCACAGCGGAAAATATGTTTCTTGCTGTGGATTATGGTCCAAGTTTGAAATACACTGAAATAGAATGGAGAGGGAAATGGCCCTGGAGAAAGGTACTTCATTTAAGAAGGAAAGGAGTTAGCAAAGGTGAGGACTAAAGAAGAGAGAGAGCATGGCAACGATTCCTGGTCTCTAGCTCCCCTCCTGCTGGCGTCCTGCCCACATCCCTGGCCAGAGTATGTTCCCTCCATGCTGGCCTCCCCTATCCTCTCTGCACCCCCAGTCTGAATCCTTCCCTTCCTGCAAACTGGCAGTGATTATCCCATGGCCTTGGCTCCTCAGACCTCCCACATCTCCTAGCACCCCACACCAGGCATCTCATTCTTTAAGTGTTTCATGTGCAAGGCCAGAGAACCCTGGGCCTGGAGTAGCTGTGTGACTTTGGGAAAATCACTGAGCCTCTCTGAGCCTCTTAATCTGGCAGCTATGAATGATAACTGAATGCATCTTGTCTCTTTTATAATACCATAAACATCTCTCGAGGGAGAACCGTATCTTCCACTAATTTGGTAAACCACTGCCCATTGGTGTTGTGAGTAGTGCTAGACATATGTAGATACTTGATATTGTTACTTAACTTGGAAACTGTGCTGAGTAAAAGGAAAAAGAAATTAATTAACAAACACCAACACCATCACCTTCTATACTGGCATGATAGCAACAGCTGACACACACACAGAACAGAAGAGGCAGTTTATAAGCATGCAAGTTATATAGTTACACTGTACTCCCAACACACACTCAGAAATAAACCATGGTCTACTTGTCACCATCTTGAAATTCTTAATAATTTCTGAGCAAGAGACTCATATTTTCACTTTGCACTAAGCTTTGCAAATGCTGCAGTCTGTCTTAACCACATCTACAAAGACACACTAACAAATACATTTTGGGAATGTGTTGACTCCTTTAAAATTCTCCCTTCCAGGAGTTAGAACAGGTGGTGTTGACCTGTAAAGCGTGCATATAAAATTTCTCATCTGGCCAAGGGCAAGATTCCCATGTCAAGCAGCTGATCTCCCCTACAAGGGAGCTGCCAGACACTGGTTTGCAATGACAGGGCTTTGCTCCAACCGTGAAATTCATTTGTGTGCAATGAGTACTGAGCCCTGTCTAGTGGTTCTCACAGTGCCTCCTAGACCCACAGGAAAGCCAGCCTTTGAGATAAAATCTTAACCATCCTGCCCGCTAAAAAGAATCTACGCGAAAAGACGAAGGTGGTCCAAATCACTCCTGTTTCTCCCTACAAATACAGTCAAAGCAACACTAGATGAGCAGAAGCTAAAACACAAAGCTCGGGAGTGTTAAAAAAAAAAAAAAAAAAAAAAGGCTGAGCCTTGGTCCAGTCCTTTGCCCTCCAGAAAAGCCATGCTCAGATGGCTAAATAATACTGTTTAGTGGAGATAAGGACTCTAAGAGCTCAAATAAAAGGCAAATCGCTGCAGGAAAGGCTTGGACAGGAGGTGGAACTTCAGCTGTGCATGGAGGCAGCAGCATCAGCAACGGCTCCAAGGTGACCCCTGAACCTTGTCTGCAGGGAACACCCAGGAGAGTGGCTGCTGGAGCAGATGGAGCAAACAGAGGTGCTATGTGGGGAGTAGCAAGAAATATAAGGATTCCTCTGGGGGTTATTCTCATGATGGCCAAGGTGGCTGGACTTGATCTTATGGGTAATGAGAAAACAGATAGACACCAAGCCTGGTTCCACCTAGGGATAGAAAGCCCAAAGAAACCTACTGCAAGGCTGAACTCCCAGCAGAAAGGCCACCTGCTCCAGGAAGCAGCTCCTGCTCACCGTGTGCAAGGAGCCTGGTCCAGATTCACCACCTGAAGCCACACCAAGGGCCACACACATCCCACAGAAGGAGGGAGGCTGGGGGCAGAAAGGCCAGGTCTGCCTGTGAGAGATCCTTGCTCCACCCACCCTGGGCCTCTGCCCCTTCTGCCTGGCTTTCCAGATTCCAGCTGTCCTGCCTGGGAGGCTCCTCCAGCTGTGGCCAAATTAGTCACATCTGCCCTGGCCCCTCATTGGTTTCTCACCACATATGTATGGTACATTGCAATTTGCAAAGTGCTTGTCACAAAGATTGTCTCATTTAATCCTCAAGAGCCCTGGGAGGCTGGCTGGAGAAATGAGAATCAGGAATCCAGGACTGCAGGCATCTGATTCTAAACCCATATGCCTTTTTCAAGTATAGTGATTTCCCCTTTATTTGGGCTCATAGAGCCCTTATCTCCACCACAGTGTTATTTAGCTATCTAGGCATGGCTTTCGTGGAGGGCAAAAGACTAGACCAAGACTCAGCCTTTTTTTTTAAACACAAAAATCACAAAAAGAATCCTGGTTACTTAACTTCTGTATGCCTATGTCCTTATCTGTAAAGACCTGGGTCACTGTGATTAGAGTACTACGATTACTCTATCAGATTATTTCTTCATGTGCATCCCCACTACCTGTGATCTTGACAGTGATATGAGTCTTTGTCTACCCAGCACCTACCACATGACCCAGCATGGTTGGCCTACACATAGGCTGAGTGATGGGCTTACACCTGACATCCTTGCTCAATGGTGCAGATGGCATCAATTGCTGTCAGATGAATTTAAAAAGGAGAAAGGGAGGGAGGGAGGGAGGGGGGGAGGAAGAAGGAAGGAAGGAAGGAAGGAAGGAAGGAAGGGAGGGAGGGAGGAAGGGAGGAAGGAAGGAAGGGAGGGAGGGAGGAAGAAGGAAGGAAGGGAGGGAAAGAAGGAAGGGAGGGAAAGAAGGAAGGGAGGGAAAGAAGGAAGAGAGGGAAAGAAGGAAGAGAGGGAAAGAAGGAAGGGAGGGAAAGAAGGAAGGGAGGGAAAGAAGGAAGAGAGGGAAAGAAGGAAGAGAGGGAAAGAAGGAAGTGAGGGAAGGTAGGAGGGAGGGAGGAAGGAAAGAAGGAACGGAGAGAACGTAGGAGAGAGGCAAAAAGAGAGGAAGGAAGAGAGGGAGAGATGGAGAGAGGGAGAGAGGGAGGAGGGAAGGAAGGAAGGAAGAAAGAAAAGAGGAAGGGAGGGCATGAGGGAGGAAGAAAAGAAGGAAGGGAAAGAAGGAAGGAACAAATGAACAAAGGAAGGAAGGAATGAAGGAAGGAAAGAAAAGAAGAGGAGAAGAAGGGAGAGAGGGAAGGAGGAAGGAAGGAAGGAATGAAAAGCGGAAGAGAGAGAGAGGGAGGGAGGGAGCAGACTCCATTTTCTCCTTCGTTCCCTCTTTGCCCCATCCCAGGAGAACACAGTCCTTCTGACTTTCATGTACACTACGATGGTTATAATAGCAGTTTTACATGCTTCAAGGGACTGTGGTGCAGAGGACACAGGAATGGGTGGTGTGATCAAGTACTGTCTTAGCAAAGCACTGTGTGCAAATGAGACACTCAAGACAGCATCATTAGCATATGACAGTGCCATTTCTGGGCCATGGTCCACAAAACCTTAACAACAAGAACTGCAAGTGTGAGGACTGTGTGCAGAGAGGGTGACTCCCCAGCGGGAGGGCCAAGGGACCTCTTCTGACTTACAGAGCTGTGAAGCCCTAAGACCCCCTCCACACACACACACACACACACACACACAAACACTAACATTCTCCCTTCCCATCACCCCAGGTCAACTGCAAGACTGAAAAGTAGTGACAAAGTTCCTGCATAGGTTTCTTTTAATTAAGCTCACACACAAAAAGAACCGCTCTGGGTTTTGTCTGTTGTAACTTTTGTTCCCTGGTCTGTTTGTACTTATTCAGAAATTACATAATTTTTAAAAAAATATATTAAGTAAATATGCACATCAGCCTGTCAAGTTACCTGGGCTCACCTTCACTTGGGAACCACACTGACAGCCCCTTTATTTCTCTTACTTGTTTTTAAGCACAAAATATGTCACACCTGGAAGTAATTAGCATAATTTTTACTAATTTATAGCTAATTACACAATTACTTTTCTATGAAAGGTTCTGGAAAGACACTTGAAGTAAGTTTCACGAAATCTAGTGGCAAGAAATTGCTTGAAAACATTCTGTTAGCTTCAAACATTTAGGAGGAGGGAGGGGGAACGCCCAATAAAGTAATTCTCTCCTATTTCAGAGTGTTCAAATATGACAGGGATATAATTTCTCCAGTAATTTACAAAACAGAATGTCTAGATGTCTCTGCTAAGCCAACCTAATCAGAGACTGCTCTAGGGAAAGGCTCCAAAAAGAAGCATTGTCAAGAGCACCCAACACAGAACCTAAAAGGCACTGTTTTTTTTTTTTTTTACTGCAATTGGTTTCCTAGTAGAAATAAAACTTGGCAATGACTCTCCCTCCAGGAGTAAATCAACCTCTTGATAGAACGTGACCCCTGGCAGGTGCCTTGCTCAGCTCCTGAGAACAGGTGAGCAGGTAAGCTCAGAAGATCTGTCATGGATTCAAACCTTTGGAGCCAATAGACTGTCAAAGTGAAGTTCCAAGATGTCAAGCCTGAGTGAATACTTTTTAAAGAGTGCAAACAGAAACAAAAAATATTCTCCAGTTCAACTCATTCAACTCACATTTTTTTATTTCAATTGAAAATAATGTTTATTTTTTCAGATTATTACAGAAATATGTTTTCATTGTAGAAAATTTGGAAAACTGACCATTGGAAAGAAAGAGGAAAACTGGTACAAATCATATTACCAAAAGACTAATGTTGAAGTCCTGTCATATTTTAATCCAGTCCTTTTTTCTATGTGTGTAGATATTCCATATTTTGTTTAATCAACTCCTTACATTTGTATATTCAACTCATTTACTTTTTAAACTTTAATAAATAACAATATGATGAATATTTCTTATACATAAGTATGTGTGCTCAGCTGTGCTAGTTACCCTTTAAAATTAATATTATTTCTGTAATTTTTTGTTTTACTTATTCATTCTGTATTTGTATCATCTATCAATTTCATAGCATTTCTCTATGAAATTATAAATTATCTAGATATTATCTAGATATGTTATTATTTAACAAACATCATATCTGAGATATAGTATATCTTTCCATGACTTGGAAATTAATTTAGATTTGTAAGGCATTTTCATTTGCTGAGTGAGCTAACAGTTATTAAAGGCTTACCATGTGCCAGGCACTGCGCTCCATGCATTACACGTGATTAGTTAATTTATCATCAGTATTAAAGAGTGGTTAAGAGCATAGACCTGGAGGTGGACAGCATGCGTTCCAGTCATAGCTGTGCTACTCATTGGTTTTGGGACCTTGTGAAAATTACTTTATTGTTCTGTAGCTCAAGGATCCCCTCTGTAAATCCATATAGAGTGCTTGAAAAGACTAGCTAAAGAAAATCACAAACCTCCCAAAAACACACAAGATCAGCACTCTTATTTCCATTTTATAGATAAGAAAAACAAGGCTTAAAGATAAGTTGTTAAAGGTTCCATGAGAATAAATAGGAGTAGGCTTTCACCTCAGTGTGATTATAGAGCCCACCTGCTGAACCTCTGTGCTATCCCATCTCTCCATGTCTATGGGGGATCATTAAACTAGGTTCTTTTCTGCCTGTTTTTTTTTTCTTTTCTTTCTTTTTTTTTTCAGCATCATTTAGCTAGTTAGTGACAGAGCCAGGACCCAAACCCACTTCTTATTACTGAGTATTTTTACTAATGCACTGTGATATTGCCTTCCATCATCCCAACAGACCTTCTGTTATGGCTTATATTGGATTTTTCCTGTTCTTGCTGCTGAAGCTATCTTTCACTAGTTATCTTGCTTTTCCTCACTCATCTCTTTAGATTCATCATTGCCTAAACACTTATTTCATTATTTTCTCCTCTCTTTCACAAAAAATATAAGGTGGCTTATAGAAATATCTACAGGACAATATAAAATAAAATGAAACAGATCAGAGCAAACAAAAAGACAGAAACCTAGTTAAATAATCAGGATAATTCAACCATTATTGGCACTGAAACCAGAGACATATTTCTCCTATGGCCTTTTGTGGCCAAAGGTAGTAAGTGTCCTTAGAGAACAAGTTCAGGGGATTGTGTGGTAGCTGGTCACTTCAGAAAAAGCAGATCTACAGTGATGCTGATAGCAAGCATCTAGGTATGAAGGTCTTTGAAGCAGCACTGCCCCCTTTGGAGACACTTCCTTGATAATATGCAAGACAGTCAATATACAACTACGTTTTCCTGCTCAATATGCCAGTGGAGCCTTCTATAAGAAGGCCTGATAAGTAGACCGTGTCCTTCAGGCCACATTGCATATAAATTGCTTTTCTCGATGTAACACAGTCACTTCCAACTGGCAGTGATTAGGTGCAGGTCCAGCACTTCATCGGGTGCCTTCTGGCTCACCGTAGTAAGGACTCTTCTGCATGTCATGCTGAAGGATGCCTAATTTTCTAGTTTTTTGGCGGGAAGATGGGGTGGCAGTGGCATTGTGATGCTTCCTCTGAGCACATGTTCTTGCCTACCATGTAGAAAAAAATGCCCTGGAGAAGCTGAGCTGCACGCAGCTCCCGCCTAAGCAGTCAGGGCCATAGACAGGAGCTGTTTTCTCCCCAGGATGGGGCTCCAAGTTGTCCCCAAGCCACCGCGGTGCCCCCTCAAGCGGGTCCTGAAGGAACCAGAGCTGCTTTCCTTCTCATTGTGGATGCCATCTCAACTTACATTTTTTAAGCCCCTACTCAGTGCCTGGTACTTAATAAGAATATTTACAAAGGAAACCATTGCTGCTTTCCCTCTTGTGCTAGTCCATTTTGCATTGCTATAAAGAAATACCTGAGACTGGGTAATTTATAAAGAAAAGAGGTGTATTTAGCTCATGGTTCTGCAGACTGTATAAGAAGCATGGTGCAGGCCGGGCACAGTGGCTTACACCTGCAATCCCAGCACTTTGGGAGGCTAAGGTGGGTGGATCATTTGAGGTCAGGATTTTGAGACCAGCCTGGCCAACATCTCTCCTAAAAATTCAAACATTAGCCAAGCATGGTAGCAGATGCCTATAATCCCAGCTAATTCGGAGGCTGAAGCATGAGAATCGCTTGAACCTGGGAGGTAGCGGTTGCAGTGAGCCAAGATTGTGCCATTGCACTCCAGCCTGGATGACAGAGTGAGACTCCATCTCAAAAAAGAAAAAAGAAAAGAAGAAGATGCATGGTGCCAGCACCTGCTCCTGGTGAGGGCCTCAGGGAGCTTCCAATCATGGAGGAAGGGAAAGGGAGAGCCACAGTGTCACATGGGGAGAGAGAGTGTGTATTAGTCCATTTTTACACTGTTATAAAGATATTACCCAAGACTGGGTAGTTTATAAAGGAAAAGGGTTTAATTGGCTCACAGTTCTGCATGGCTGCAGAGGTCTCGGGGAACTTACAATCATGGTAGAAGGGGAAGCGGGCACATCTTACATGGTGGCAGGTGAGAGAGAGCATGTAAAGCGAGAATAGTCCCTTATAAAACCATCAGGTCAAATGAGAACTCACTCACTACCATGAGAACAGCATGGGGAAAACCGTCCTGATGGTCTGATCACCTCCCAACTGTAAATGGGGATTACAATTCAAGATGAGATTTGGGCAGGGACACAGAGCCAAACCATATAAGGGAGCAAGAGAGATGCCAGGCTCTTTTAAACAACCAGCTCCTTTGTGAACTCATTACAAAGGGAAGGGCGCCAAGCCATTCACAAAATATCTGCCTCCATGACCCAAACACCTCCCACTAGGCCCCACCTCCAACACTGGGGCTTACGTTTCAGCATGAGATTTGAAGAGACAAATATCCAAACCATATCACTTAGTCATGCTGAGAAGGCAAAAAGGATGCCAAACAACCAGTGAGTCTTTACTGAACCCTGATTTAGAAAGAGGGGAACGCGGGGCAAAAGGGCCAGATGCAGCCCCTGCCTTGAAGAAACTGACAAACTGGAGACCCAAGCCACACCCAGGAAGCACGTGGTCTAGCACAGCCTCAGTCCTCATCCAAGCAGTGTCCACGGGCAGCCTGGGCTCCACGTGCTGCTGACATGGAAAGACAGCACTTGGGAAGCAATAGCCCAGGAAGAGGTGATGGATCCCCAGCTCTGTATGATGGGCTGGGGGTGGGAACATTCAGTCAGGACCACACAAGGACACCGGGGAGGCAGGAAAGGTGACGATGGGTAAAGCGTTCCAAATTCCCTGGCAGGAAAAGGAGATTAGGGAGCCAGTAGCACCCTGAAAGCCATTAGACCCCTGGAAAAGCCCCCTAGAGTCCTGAGTTCTAGCCCATATCTGTCCCAGGGCTGGATATTTGGTAATAAGGAATCCACGCCACGAGACCTGTAGGAGAAGTTGTCTGAGGTCCGCAGAATTGGTGGAGAGGGGAGAAAGCCTGTGGTACTTGCCTGCGTTCACAACAGGGGTGGTAGCACGCCAACAGGGCGAAAGCTGGTTCTTGGGGGATTTTTAAAAACCTTAGCTATTGCAATGATTTGTGAGCCTTGAAAGGACCATGGAACATAGCAGGTACATGGGATAGATGTGTTAGTAAGATTTCATGTGGGGTGCGATCAGGGAATTGTCTAAATAGTCATCTGCAGAGCCAGCCACAGTGGCTCCCGCCTATAATCCCAGTGCTTTGGGAGGGCAAGGCAGAAGGATCGCTTGAAGTCAGGAGTTTGAGACAAGCCTGGGCAACGTGGTGAGACCTCATCTCTACAATTTAAAAAAAAAAAAATTAAGTGGTGCACGCATGTGGTCTCAGCTACTTGTGGGGGTAACGCAGGAGGATTGCTTGAGCCCAGGAGTTAGAGGCTGCACGGAGCTATGATTGCAACACTGCACTGCAGCCTGGGCAACAGAGTGAGACCCTGTCTCTAAGAAGAAAAAAAAAATTCAACTGTAGCAGTTAGGAGGAGGACAGCCAACAACGAAAAGACAAACACAGGTTTCTAGGAAACTTCTCCACCGAGAAGGCGGAGATTCACCTGCCAAGTAATCCTGCTGTCATCTCCCCATCTTCTTAAGGTTCACATTCCTTCCTCTCGATACCTACCCTTGCCTCTCCTGTTGCAGGTGTCCTCGTACTAAAATGTATCAGTCTGCAAGTCGGCCTTGCCTCCTGGATTGTGAGTTGGCTGAGGACCGAGGCCACAGGATACACCTTTGCTCTCCTGCCTCCTGGCACCCATCACACGGAGCAGACCCCCAGTAAACATGAGCAAAATGGAGCTGAATTGTTCTGCAACTGCGTGTCTTGCTTTGAAGACCCCTGTGTAAGTCGGTGGCAGTGAGGTATTTGGAAGATTTCCAGTTTCTGCCAGGCCCACCTCAAGGCTACTGAGACATTTTGGCAAAGGCACGTCCTCTGCCGCCCACAGGAGAGTAATGTTAATAGTTTGCACTTGGCATATTTCTTTTCACTTTTTCAAATTACTTTCACAGCTGCCGTCATTTGACCCTTGCAAAAACCCTATGAGGCAAGTAGAGGAAGTCATTAACGGCCACTCTTTTTGCAGGTTTCCTCATTCCGTCAACAGGTAGCCTTGAGAGAGCACCTGTGGCCTCGGCATTGAGCTGTTCCAACGCTGGAACGCAGAGGGGAACAGGATGTGAAAGGCCCTTCCCTCACCTTGAGTACAATCTCCGGAGACAAAACACACAAACAGCAAGATAGTTATGATCCTGATAAATGTTAGGGGGAAAAAAGGCAGGGTAGTCGTGGCTCATGCCTGTAATCCTAGCACTTTGGGAGGCTGAGCGCTATTTCCTAGCACTCCTTGAGCCTGGGAGTTCGAGGCTACAATGAGCTATGATTGCACCACTAAACTCCAGCATGGATGACAGAGTGAGACCGCGTCTCAAAAAGAAAAGAAAAAAAGTGCAGAATAATGAGAGAGCAGTATCATAGACTGTGTGGTCCAGAAACCTCTCCAAAGGCATGAAGTGGATGTGCAGAATGAACATGCATGGGTCATGTGAAGAGCTACAGAAAGCAACCAGGGTACCCAAGGCCAGGCTCACACCTCCAGTCCCAGCACTTTGGGAGCCGAGGCAGGAGGATCTCTTGAGGCCAGGAGTTCGAGACCAGCCTGGGCAAAAAAAATGAGACCCCATCTCTACAAAATTAAAAAAATATATATATCAGCCAGGCCTATTGCTGCGTGTCTGTAGTCCTAGCTTCGCAAGAAGCTGAGGCAGGAAGATCATTTGAGCCCAGAAGTTTGAGGCCGCAGTGAGTGGGTTATGATCATGCTGCTGCACTGCAGCCTGAGCGACACAGCCAGACCCTGTTTCTAAAATAAATAAAAGAGAAACCAAGACCCAAGGGGTCTAAATGACTCACCTGGTATCCCACTCCAAGTCTCTCATTTTCTAAGTAGAGACCTGGATTACAAGGGGGGGTATGGGAAATGTACACACATGCACACACATACACACAGAGACATACACAGACACATACACACAGAGACACACACAGATACACACACAGACACACACATGCACACACACACATACACAGACACACATGCACACAGACACAGAGATACACACAGATACACAGACACACACAGAGACACACACAGACACTCACATGGACACACACACAGACACACACGCATAGAGACACACACACAGAGACACAGAGACACACACAGACACACACACACACCTCCCACATCTGTCAACTCTAAAGGAAGCACCAGACAGAGAGGCAGGCAGAACTCATCATAGCCAAGGCACCTTAAGGACAACTGGAGAAGGCTGGGCCAACCCCGGTACCTGCTCTCCGGCAGCCCTGCCAGGTGCCTGGGACACAGCCAGGAAACCGCCTCTCTGAGGAGCACCAGGCCTCTTCCCAGGCTGACGTGACCAACTCGTCTGCCCCTGTGAGCAATGTTTATTATTCAACAGGGCATGATGAGACGGTTCTGAGATTTCAGAGTCGGCTGGCGGTTTCATTACAAGCAATCAGGGAAGCTTTGGACAATTAGTGGGAAGGTTTTGACAGAGAGAACGTGCACTAGCCTGGTAGCTCTCACCAGCGCCCAAGTCAAAGCGCTTTTCTTTCCTTTTTTTTTTCCTGCCACAGAAATCTGCATATTCATTCTTCTAAACATCCGGGTCGCTGGTGACTTGGTGGTCAGCCGTTCTCTCCTTCCACTCAACAGATGGTTAATTGATGCTCTAAGTCTCTCTGCCTTAGACATTCTCCTTGATCCTCTACTGGAACACTTCTCCCAACAGCCCACTTGCTGCCCCCCACGCCACACAGGCCATCACTGCATAGCCAGCCATCACCCACACTGTGAACTTGACAGTGGCTATGAAAGAAATGTAAGAGGTGGTCCTGGGGAGTCTCTGCATCTCCTAGCCCATACATTGAGTAAGGGGCTGAATTTTTGGTTTATGGCAGACCTACTACATGCATTAGAGCATTCTGGGGACTTAAACACATTCTATATTCCCCACTACAGACCTATAAGCAAACTATGATATTATAAATCCCCATTTTACAAGTAAAGACACGGAGACTGACAGTGTCTGCATCTAGGAAGTTCCTGCAACCACAAAGTTGCAGAGCTAAGATTCCAAACCCTCATCCATCTGACACAATATCTGGCATCTCCGTGTGACAGGGTGGTGCCTCTGCTCTTCTCAGCCTCCAGGCCTCAGGATGGCAGCCATGGAAATAAATGCTTCCAGAAGGAATGAATCTTGGCCACTCGAGCAAATGCACAAGGGCAAGGCGAAGGTCTCCTAGAGGTGCAGCAGGGGTCTAGGACCTGGAGGCAGGCAGGAGTGTCTCATCTTGCACAGGAAAGGCTATTTATGTCCAGGGCTTCTGTGCTGGATAGCTGGTGACCATGGCTGAGGCTAAAGCTGTATGCAAGCCGCTGCCAGCCATGATTCACTAAGGAAGCACTCCCTTCTTGATTCCAGAGCAGGGACCCTGAGCCCAAGGCATCACAGCTGGTGGAATGACTCACCCCAGAAAACCACCTGGTTTGAGGGCCCCTCCTGATTATGCTGAGAAAGGCCCTATTCACTCCGGGAAGGAGACTCGGTGCCCTCCACGACCTTTGCTTCACCAGGATGTGTTTTCCCATAGGTAAGAAAGTTGGTTTCGAGAACCGTCTGATTTTTCCATATGCCGTTGTGTGTACAGAAGAAGACACAATGGATTTTAAATCATGAAACCAGGCTCCCAGTTCCAGCCTTGCACCTAACTGACAGCAACACCTTAGGCAAGTCACTTCTCTCTGGCTCTCATTTCTCCAAGTGGCAGATGGGGGAAGTGGGGCGAAGAGAGTTGCAAGCTTCCAGCTCTGGAATTCTATCACTGCAAGCTGCTCCCGAACAGTGTTTCCCTCCAATACAAACACTGCCGTAGGTTATCAGAGGGCTGGGAGGTGACAGAGAGAGAAACATGGGAGACAGAGAAACAAGGGCACAGCCGGATGGACAGAGACAGATCGAAATAGGGGAGGCTACCTCGCCAGGGAAAGGGAGAACAGCCTGGTGGCGTGGAGAGAAAATTGGAGCCCCTGATGTAAGCAGACTCTTGCCAGAATTGCTGGAAACAAATAGTGACAGATTGCTAACACGTTACAGTGAAAATTACCAACACGATGGGACTTTTGCACCATAACTGGCACCTCTTGTTATCCCATTAACAAAGCTGATGAGACCAAATTGCTAATAGGAGAAAACGTTCATGTTGGATTATATCACTCTTGTCCTGCATAAATAACACGACCAAAGCACAGACCAGAGGCACACAGAAACCTCCCAAGAGCCAATTTATTTTAGGCACAATTGGGGAAAGCCCTGGTATGCCCCAGCCTCTTCCATGACATCCAGAAACAACCGCACCCACCACCGGCACCATGCAAGGTGTCTGTTCACATTGCTGAGCTGGGCGAGATCGTCTGTCAGTCATTACATAAAACAGGAGCCAGTGACCTTTGCGAAGTACACAAGGTACGCTGGCAGGGCCAGTGGCAGGAAGGGAGGGACAAGTGGACAGTGGTGTGTCTGAATTGTAGAGTGTTAGATTCCAGGTCATTCCCATCTGCTCCTAGAACAAACAAACACATCAGAACTCACCACTATTTACATTTTTACCACCCCCATCTGGCCACTTCCCACTATAGCCAGGCCAGAGAGAGCCCCGACTCACAATTCCATCAGCCGCAGAGTTCAAGCTGTCATCTAAGCCCAGGGAGGTGTAAGGAACAGGCCACATCTGGTTCTTGGAAGTATATGCCCAGGCATTTAAAGCGGATCTTTCCTCTTTGGGCCATGGGTGGATTTCCTGCTCAAGCAACCTTCATCTAGAGAGGGCAAGATGAGGAATGTATTTGATGCTCACTTCTCTCTCAGAAAAACCCTCCAGTTGCCCAAACCTCTCAATGCTTTACAGCAGTTTTTTTCTTCCCCCTAGGATAATCACTGACTACCCCAAGCCCCCTGCCACCACCCCCAGAGAATGCGACTGGCTGTGGGCTGTACGCCCCGGTAGTCATTCAGAGATGTAATTGGCCAAAGATTATTCTGAGTAATTGAATGGCAAGGGCTTTTACATACCAAACAGGGACTTGTCTTTGTCAAAAAAAGTCTTTACAAAGTACCCAAGTACTGGGTGTCAGACAGGACAAGTTTTTTAATCATGTTAAAATGATTTATTTAAACGTCAAGGCATGTCACCTCACTTCCTTTCATTTTTCAAACTGTTTGTGTTTTTTCTGGATGATAAATTTATCTTCAGACAGCCTCAATATGACTAATTAACTTTGAAATATAAGAACCAGATGTGTGAGTTGGAGAGTTTTCTGAACTCATGCCAGACGGGCTGATGGGTTTTTTCTTCTCCTCCTTCTTCCCTGCCTTTCACCCCCACGCGCCCCCGCCCCGCCACTCCCCCGACTCCGCATTCCCTCTCCCTGCTGGCCGCCCTGAAATTACCAAGCAGAGACACATTCAGGAAATAGAATCCCAGGACCCCAGCTAGCCATGAGCACCCACCGTTTCTGCTCTGGTTTTAGCCTTTCAGGGCCCCGTTCTCTCCCTTGGAAAGTAACCCCAGAGTGTAGGCAGCGCTGTCTTAAGAAGAGGGACAGGGAAAAGATCCCTTGCCCTTCCCCCACATAAAAGTCAGTCACGCCAAACCATGGCACACAGCAACTTCTCTTCGAGAAAGTCCTCCCCTGGTACGTGCTCCCCAGATCCGCCAGCTCCCTGCTGCCTTTCAATGAGCTCCACGCACAATGCCCAACTTGTGGGGACAGGAGAGGCAGGACTGAACCCATGGCTGAACCGTGCAGCTCCTAGGTGGAGCGCTTTTCAGCAGAGGCCAGTTTGGGGGCTAGAAGCTGCAGATGTGCGCCTGCATCTGCACACATGTGCATACATGTGTGTGCCTGTGTCTGTGTGTGTCTGTGTACTTCTGTGTGTATATACGTGTCTATATGTGCATGTGTGTCTGTATCTGTGTGTTTGTGTGTCTTTGTGCCTGTGTGTGTGCATCTGTGTATCTGGGTATATGTGTGCCTGTGTCTGTGTCTGTGTGTGCATCTGTGTGTATGTGTCTGTGTGTGCACAATCTCTGTGTGTCTGTGCGTGCATACGTGTATGTCTGTGTGTGTTTATGTCTGTGTGCGTGTGTGTGTCTGCGTGTTTGTGTGTGTGCATGTGTGCGTGTCTGTGTGTGTTTATGTCTGTATGTGTCTGTCTATGCGTGTGTCTGTGTGTTCATGTTTGTGTGTCTGTGTGTGCATGGGTGTCTGTGTGTTTATGTCTGTGTGTCTATGTGTGTGTGTGTGTTCGTGTCTGTGTCTGTGTGTGCATGTGTGTGTCTTTGTGTGTGTTTGTCTGTTTGTGTATATGTTTGTTTCAGTTGTGTGTGTTGATGTCTATGTGCATAGGTGTGTGTGTGTGTCTTTGTATGTGTCTGTGTGTGTCTGTGTGTGTGTGTGTGTCTTTGTGTGTGTCTTTGTATGTGTCTGTGTGTGTCTGTGTGTGTGTGTGTGTGTGTGTGTGTGCGCGCTTCGTTCTCAGGGACAGGATGGCAGCTGAAAATAATCCAGCGATGGCAAAAACGAGGATTCATTTTTCCAGGACTCACAGAGCAAAGCAAAAGGGACCGAGTGAAAGGCCTGAGCTCAGCGCCTCAGTTTCCCCCCAGGCTACTACAGCCTGTCCCACCGGATCTCTCTGCCAGAAGTAGGCTGGGATCATGTGAGATCACCAGTCTGGAAGTTCTTGGAGCCCTTTGAAAGCCCTTTGAAAGCCTTTGAAAGGCATGATCTCCATCCTGAGGGTTATTAGGATAATTGCTGCCGTGATTAGACCGTCGTGACCATTCTCCTTAGCATGCCTCTTAATGGCTGGGATGCCCCACCTGGGATCATCTCACTCACTTTCAAAGTCAGTAGACTTGCTCCCCACTCCAGGCCTCAAACAGGAGCATAAACAGCAGACTCAACTCCTCTCCTCTTGGGAAGAATGCCAACAGAGGCGCCCTCCTCGGCTCAGGGAGAAGAAAATCCCCCGCTTCATGCCTAAGACTCCAGGCTGCTGGTGGAAAATGACTCAGCCACCCACGAACCCCAAGCACTTGTGTTCTTGGGGGACAGGAGAAGGGGTCTGTGTGGAAGTCCCTTCCCTTCACTGCACAGCCCTCAGGGTCTTTCCACCACCCCTGCCCTCTGCAGTCCCTCCTGCCTCTATGGAGAGCCTGGCTCCCGGCTCTGTGGACAGGGGGAAGAGGTGACGGCAGGCAGGGCTCTTGGAACAGCAGGAGGTGGGCCAAGTTCCCTGGGGCCTCCTGCCCCACCTGCCTGGTAGCAGCCCTGCTTCCTTCCCACAAAATACTTCTCTTGCTTTCAGCAGGGTGTCACCTAATCCCCAGGAAGGAAGGAGTGCCACCCTTCCAAGAGGTATTTGCATTTGAGCAGGAGTTTCTGGAAACCTAGGAGGAAAAGGGACTGGAATAAAGGAGGAAGGGGGCAGAGATGGAGACAGCGAGCTCCACACTTCTCAAATCAAATCCTGCCTCATCCTGATTCCTGCCTCATCCTGATACTGAGACCCCACATCGCACAGGCAAACAGATGGACCAGCATGGGTGGCCATGGGCACTGAGGTCAGCAGTGGCTCCCAATGCCGTCCTGAGAAAGAGGCAGGGAGGACTGAACTACAGGGGAGGGGCCCTGAGCATTCACATCGGGGCACGCCACCGTCGTCCAGTGTCTGCGTCCTCCACACTGGACACAAACAGTGTAATGCCCCCAGAACCTCTTGGGGAGTGGGAGAGTGAGGTTGTAGGAATATTGAGCCCCACAGCTTTACTTGGCGTCTTCCAGCATCCCCGGGTAGCCACACAGATAGATGAGCAGACACCACCGCAATAAGCTAGTGTAAGCTTCCCCAGCCATCACTGTATCTCCAGTTCTGCAGTACAGTCCCCGCCTCCCAAGAGGGCATCTTCTCAGTACTAAATACCCATGCCACCAGGACACTTGCAGTCTGCCACCTGCAGAAAGTTATATGCGGGGCCCTGGTTGGGGGTCTTTCTCCTGCACTCCCCACTCCAGGGGAGAAATTCAGATAATTTTCTGACCATTAGTAACATTTCCTGCGATGTCAAACTAAGATAATTATGGAGCTTACCAAATCGTAGGCTCCTTAACTCACGGATGGCTGGGGAATGGGGAAGCCTGGAAAATTCGGGAAGCCCACAGGCCGGGAAATCGAGCCACGGGTGTGCTGGGACTGTCTTAGGACCGTGGCCTCCTAAGGCCTGCACCTGAGAGCATTTCTCCCTCCCTCCCCACCTCCCGGCTGCTTTTTCTCTCCAAGGGAACAAGGAGTTTGCATCTGTGGGCTGAAAGGTGACCCCTCATTCTGGCCGAGGGAGCCCAGGAGCACCCATCCACCCCCACAGACCCACCCAGTGTTTTTTGAAACTGAGAGATCTGGATTTGCTCTCCCTGCCTGTACAACCAAGCGAGCCCCCCTTGCCTTCTGCCACTAAATGAGCATAACAAGGAGAGAAACTAGACGCTGCAATCGACAGAAGCCATCGTTTGGGAGCTGTCAGACTTGATGTCTCAGAGACCCGGGATCCAAAGGCCCGTCCCCCTATACAGCTTGAGATATTTAATAAAGTAAAGCCTCGAGGATCAAGGGGCTGCAATCCTTCCCACTCCTTCCCGCAGCTCGTGCTGGAGTTCTTTAAAGCCTGCCTTGCGTCTGCCTTTCTCTCCAGAAAGCCTTTCATGCCGCCTCGCCAGACTGACACTTTGACAAGTTGCCACGAGTGACATCTGATTTGTACAAATTTCAAGACTAATAAATCTACCTGTCAAAGCGGAAACTTTAAAAGGAGCTAAGCCCAGCGGGTATAGTTTAACAGAACTCAAGTTGATGAAACTGTAGGATGAAGAAATTATATCTGTCACAATCCACCCACATTAGTTCTGCAGAAATGTTGGCAACTGAAACAAACGTCTTTCACGGGCGTTACCGAAAAAAAAAATTAAAAATTAAAAAAAAAATTTTAATCAAAAAAGGAGATTGTTAATACCCCGAGTAACAAGTAACAGTTCTATTTTGTAAACTAACACATTTTATTTATTTAATTTTTAATTTTGTTGCAGATGTTAGACGTGTTTCTCCTCCTACCTCTTAAGCTGTGTTGCTGGAATCTGGACTTTCCATTCAAGCTGGGGCCCATCAATCACTCGGCGGCTCCTGCTTGGAGAAGCAGAGGCAGTGCAGGCTGCAGGGTGAGGCAGGACTCATAGCCCACAGCCCTGTGTCCTGGGGGGGCCCTGCAGGGCCCCGCTTCCCCCCGTCCGTCCGCAGGCCCACAGCGCTGAATCATGTCCCCTTCACCCTCTGGCCTTGACCTGGACCCCAAAGTCTGGCTCCCACTCTGCGCAGGCCTGTGGGATTTTTAAGATTGTGGATATTTACGGGGAAGGGCAGCGGGGGATGACTAAGATGACAGGAACTCATAGGCCTGGCTAACTTGATTTTATTTTTATCTTCCCTTCCTGTCTCTGACAAGTCCACTTTTCTCCTGAATCATCATATCAGAAACGTTGGAGAAGCCAGAATTCACAGATCAGAGGAAGCAACTCGTGGGGGGGCGGGGGGCGGGGCTTCTGGGTGTTCCCCTATACCTAGGAAATCAAAGGACAGGAGAGTCCAAGACAAAACCCCTTGTGTTTCGCATCCTTCCCGCACACCACCTCACCCTGCAGTCAAAGAGGAGGGTCCGCTGCTCTCGCCTCCTGGAAGTGGCCTCAGTTACCCTTCAGGGTGAGCTGTTTTCTCTTTAATGGCAGCCCCAACAAGTCATAACCTCCAAATAATCACTGTTATTACTACTGCCTTCCTCCTGGGAGTTCAAAATGGGATCTCATTTGCCCTCTCACTCACACGGTTAAGAAGCAAGCAGGCAGGGACAGAAAAGAGCTTTTTTCTCAAGTTCACCTAGAGGCAGTGGCCTTGGGGTCACCCTGCAAGCTGACGATGGACCCCAGCACTTCGGGGTGGGGAGGAGGCCCTCGCTCACAGACCACAGGCTCTTTCCCCCCTTGCTCCCCATGGGGGCGGGCTTCCTCCCTTGAATCCTGGAGCTTCCGCTTAATTTTTATTTGGCAAGGACAATATCAGACACTAACACTTTCTTTTCTATCTCTTGGCCTGCTCGATATGTGAATGTGGTGATAATCAGGATAATGCCCTTAGGTGTGAGCTTTTTCTATTTCCTGATAACAATGAGGCTGGATCAGAGCTAAAGGGGGTCTTTCACTACCAATGGGGAAGAGCCCAGAAACCCAGAGCAGCTGTCTTTTAGGTCAGGACGCACAGTGCCAATCTTTCTGCAATGAACTGGGGTTACCACTAGTTCTGCCCAATTCAGTATTTCTCCCTGTCAATTAGCTATTTATTAAGCAGCTTTCATGTCTAAGACACCCTGCTCAGCATTGTGTGAATTACAGAGAAGTACAAAACACGATCCTCATCTTAAAAGAGCATGCAGTCCATATGGGGTGTTGAAATGGTGATGCAAACAAGATTAACACAGAACAAAATAGATCCTGACCAGGAACAAAGTGAGTGCAAGTACAGGAAGAAAGCATGGTGAGTGAAGGGGGCGTGAAACCCAGCCCTGCCACCAACTGTGGGGTCTCAGAAAGAACGTTCTCCCTAGAAACTGAGATGGTTGGCCAGATGATCAGAAGGCCCCTGCATTTCCTGTGGATTTTTTAGAAGAAGAGGAGCTGGGAGATTGTGAACCTAAAAACCCTTTATAAACTGTAAACAGTTCTGAGATTGCTAGTGCTGGTATTGTTGCTGTGGGCTGGGCTGATTAGGCCTGTCTTCACTGGGGGATCAGGTTATGATCCAGCACCGAACATAGCAGATGAAGGAGCAAATGAACACACAGATAAAGAAGCAAGCTGGGCCTTCAAAGAGGGATACAATTCAGTTGCACTTTGCTCACATTCTGCCTTTGGCACCCACAGCTTCAGCTCCATCTCCCAACCTCTCACCACCCCATGGTAAGCTCCAGGGCCTGCCTCATGCCAGCAGACAGCAGGCTGGGAAGGTGAGAATGCCTGGAGGCAACTCAAAGGAAAACACCGATATTGCTTTTCCAGGCCAGGGTGAAACAAAACCACAAATAAGGACAGCACATCTTGGGAGTGAGAGACCCTAGATCAGCCGGATAGAAACCCTGTGGTGGGACCAAAAGTCACCGAGCCATGGAACCTGCAAATAGCCAGGTTCACCAAGCTTACAACCCACAGGATTCGGAAAGGCATACAGGTCTGTTGACCTGTACAGATCGGTCCCAGGGGAGGAAATAGCTCTACTGAAATTTGTTAGGGAGACCATGTATTGGACACACCAAGGACACCCCATGTTCCTGCAACATAAGGATGCATCCATTATCTAACATGAATTATCAGGAGAGCCCCCAACTTATTTGATTCCTGTATTTGGATCAAGTCAGAGAAAACCCTTAAAGATGGTTATTAAGAAACCAAAGCAGGCCCATGCCTATAATTCCAGCACTTTGGGAGGCTGAGACAGGAGGATTACTTGAGGCCAGGAGTTTGATACCAGCCTGAGCAACATGGTGAAACCCCGTCTTTATGCAAAAATTTAAAAATTAGCTGGGTATGGTGGCATGTGCCTGAAATCACAGCTACTCAGGAGGCTGAGGCAGGAGGATGGCTTAAGCCCAGGACTGGAGGCTACAGTGAGCTAAGACTGCACCACTGCACTCTATCCTGGGTGACAGAGTGAGGCACTGTCTCTGGGGGGAAAAAAATGAACTTAAAGTAAAAGAAACTGGCCGGGTGCAGAGGCAGCCTGTAATCCCAACACTTTGGGAGGCCAAGGTGGGCGGATCACGAGGTCAGGAGATTGAGACCATCCTGACTAACACAGTGAAACCCCGTCTCTAATAAAAATACAAAATATAAGCCAGGTGTGGTGGCACACGCCTGTAGTTCCAGCTACTTGGGAGGCTGAGGCAGGAGAATCGTTTGAACCTGGGAGGCAGAGGTTGTAGCAAGCTGAAATCACACCACTGTACTCCAGCCTGGGCGACAGAGCGAGACTGTCTCAAAAAAAAGAAAGAAGAAGAAAAGAAAAAGAAACCAAAGCAGAGTGAGGTTTGGTGCCTTATGTACAATCACACAGCCAGCCAGCAGATTTAGAAACTGCTGGGTCGAGTTTTCCTCTGAGACAGTTGCTTTTTTTTTTCCTTCCCCTCAACAAGATGGTCCCTCCAGGGAAAGGTTCAGTTATACCAAATGTGACTAATAAAAAAAAATTGTTTAAAGGTTTTTCTGTAAAATCAACATTTCACTTTATATTTTATTGGATTAGTGTTTGCTAACCTCCAAAGTTTCTTGGCCAGCAAATTGGAGACCATTTCCCTTATATAATGAGCTTCTCCTGATTGGATGAGGTGACTCAAGTCTTAGGGAAGGCAGGAGCTCGCTGCATGACCTAGGTAGGGCCCCAGGGCAGGCCCAAAGGACTGAGGCCCAGCCTAGGAGCTGCAGGCTCATAGCACTGCCTTCTGCAACAAATGGAGGCAGGACGCTTTGCTCCCGGACACAGTCACTCCCTGGTGCAATGCTATAGCCCATTGCCTCCTATCTGGGGTCCATTACCCACCCGGCAGGAGGAACTTCAGTTTGAAAGGAGAATGGAGGCCCATCTCTTTCTACTGCCTCCAGGCAGCATTTTGGGTTTTGCAACCAAAGAGAAAAGAAAAAAATCTTGAACTGTTTTTCAAATGTTCTGGGTCTTGGCAAACCCCAAAATGCCTTTTGCCAAATGCTTTTTTCCCTCGATTTTTAAACCTCGGGTGTATTTCCAGAACAATCCAATCCATCTGCTTCTGATTCATTTACACTTAACTCATTAGGAGGCTGTTGCGTAAGGAGCAGTTTGACGTCCCCAAGATCCCGGGTGAGGGATTCTTCTTCCCCTTTTGAATCAGAGAGAGGAGACTTGCCAGTTGGGCATGAATCACAAACCCCCCAAAAAATGGAAGCCTGGCTTGAAACGCCGAGCCCCAGGGATGAGAACCAGCTTCTCTGCATCCCTACCCATCATCCATCCTTCTCTGCACTACCCATCAGATCATTCTCACTATTACAGCTGTTACTGTCATTAAGGACATAATCAACAGTCATAGATTATTGTGAGTGGTTTAGCATTGTAGTTCACTGTGTGCCATTCTTTATTCATCCACTCCAGAGTCATCTATTGAGGCATTAGACAAATGCTCCCAGACAACTGTGAACTACCAGCAGGGCCTAGGGTGGAGTATCAAATATGGGACTTACATCTAAACACCCATCTCATCTTGTTTTACTTTCTGCAAAGATTGTGAATGCTACCAGGAAAGTCCAAGGGAGGCGTGTGGGGAGAGAGAAGTTTATCAGGGTAGAAAGCAAAGCTCGAGAGAGTGAGGAAGGCCCAAACAGAAGCACAAAGAGAGAAAGCCTGCTGATTTCGGGGGCCATGAGTGACTGTTCAACCTAAGCTATAGGCTTGTGTTGCACCCGCGGGAACCTATGTATTGCATAGGCTTGCATTGTCACCCCCTTCTTTAGTGGAAAAGGGGTTCTTTTCTCCATCTTCCAGTTCTTCATTAGCATCATTCTCCAAACCACCTTTATTAAAAAAGAATGCAAAATGTGTTGAGTAACCAGCCATAAAAAGGAATGAATTAATGGCATTTGCAGCAACCTGGATAGGATTGGAGACTATTATTCTAAGTGAAGTAACTCAGGAATGGGAAACCAAACATCGTATGTTCTCTTTCATAAGTGGGAGCTAAGCTGTGAGGATGCAAAGGAATAAGAATGACACAATGGACTTTGGGGACTCAGGGGGAAAAAGGTGAGAGCGGATAAGGGATAAAAGACTGAAAACAGGGTGCAGTGGGTACTGCTTGGGTGATGGGTGCACCAAAATCTCACAAATCCCCACTAAAGAACTTACTCATGTAACCAAATACCACCTGTTCCCCAATAACCTATGGAAATAAAATTTTTTAATAGAAATATTGAGTAACAACTATATGTTCAGCCCTGCCCTATGCTGGGAACCATAGGGGACAGAAAAGGCAGATGAGGCGGTCTTCCCTTGAGGCCTTTGCACCCCATCTGGGGAAATGTGTCGTTTTCCATGACTGTATGTTTTTAGTAGGGCAGCCCTTGGCCAAATGGGTGAAGCACAGAGAAGGTATCAGAGATGTCCAGCAGGGAGAGAGGTCTCATGAGCTGAACTGGTCAGGAACAACCTCACGGAGGAAGTTGGTTTCAGAGAAGCCAGGCTGGAAGATGAGCCCTTGGCTATGCGGAGAGGAAGAGGAAGGCATATCCCTGGAAGAGGAGACAGGATGAAGGCTCTGCAGCAGGAAAGAGCATCGCAAGTTTGTGGGGTGATAAGACTCCAACTATGTGGAGGAACGAAGGCAAATCCATGGGGAAGTGGGTTGTAAGTGATTCTCCGAAGTCTGCATTTAATCGCAAAGAGCCAGCGTGAGTCACTGGAGGGTTTTGAGCAGGGAAGCATGATGGAGAAGGCATCATTTTAGGAGAGATAATCGAGTGCAAATGCACAGCGTGGACTGAGGTGAAGACAGACCGAAGGCGGGGAACCAGCTGGGAGTCTGTGGCAATCGCTTAAGCACATCACGTCAGGGATCTCAAACAAGGCGGTGACAGCAAGGAAGAAAATGAGGGAACAAATCAACTGAACTGGATGACTCAGTGGCTGAAGACCCTGAAGAAGGCAGAAGAGTTAAGGTGACACAAAAACCCAGGAGCCTCTGGAGAGAGGGCATTTTCAGCTCCAAAGGACATTGATGTAGCAGTGGCATACGTGCCAGGCAGAACTGAGTGTCTGGCATGAGTTACCTCACAATCCTTGCCACAGAAAGGCAAAGCAGGGGCTGGGTGCGGTGGCTCATGCCTGTAATCCCAGCACTTTGGGAGGCCAAGGCAGTCTAATCACCTGAGGTCAGGAGTTTGAGACAAGCCTGGCCAACATGGCGAAACCCCGTTTCTACTAAAAATACAAAAATTAGCTGGACGTGGTGGTAGGCGCCTATAATCCCAGCTACTCAGGAGACTGAGGCAGGAGAATCACTTGAACCTGGGAGGCAGAGGTTGCAGTCAGCTGAGATTGTGCCACTGCACTCCAGCCTGGGCAACAAGAGCAAGACTCTGTCTCAGAAAAAAAAACAAAAAAGGCAAAGCAGCCATTGTTATTACCCTTGCTTTACTGTTGAGGAACTGGGACATTGATGCGTTTATTAACTTGCCCCCAAATTCACCCACAGAACGTGTGGGACTCCAGCATTTAACCTCACCAATTGCTGCCCTGGCTCCCACCACTTCCCTGAGCCAAGCCTCCATTCCTCTCTCCCTCATCTCCTCACCTCTAATGTCTTAATCATCCTGAAATGCCTCTGCCGGCCGCATTACGTGCCTAAATCCAAATCATGCCTCGACTCTTTCCAGAACCCTCTGTCGCCATGCTAGCGTCCACAGACCTGCTCCCTTGAACACCTCCTCTGAGATTCACTGTCCACGCACTGTGCTTTTCCTGGCTTGGTCGGTTCCTGTGTTCACGTACTTCCTGGCTTTGCAGCTTGGCACTGGAGCTGAGTCTGAACCCCAGCCTTACCCTGAAGTAGTTACGTAGCCTTGGGCAAGTTACTCAACCTCTTCAAGTCTGTTTCCTCAACTGTCAGCTGGAGATAAAAGGGTTATTGTCAAAAGTAGATGAGAAAATGCCTGGAACATCGAAGACACTCCGTGAATGGTATCAATCAATATGATTACAGTTGTTTTATTAATAGTCTTGTGATGGACAATGTCATGTTCAAAGCTTTGGCTGTGGTAGTGTGGTAGAAATATTCTTCTGCTTGTTTTTTTATTGTTTCAACAGCTGTCTATAGCATTTTGGTATTCAGGGCTTAGAATCTGAGAATTATTACATTTATGTCACTGCATGGAGAACAAATGTGTCAGCTGAGGGAGTCTTGTCATGGTATGCTTTAGACAGTGATGTCCAGAGCAGGGCAGGGAGCTGTAGAAGCTGTACAGACACCCACAGCAGAGAGCCAGGCATGCTCAACCTCCCTAGGGAGAGGTGCCACCCACTCATCCCAATCTGGGTATATAGGACACAGCCCATGCAGACAGCTAGGCTAGTCCTGGCAACATCGCGTCCTCCCCAAACACTGCCCCTCACCTCACTAGCCCCTGAGAGGAAGATATGGAGAGGGAAAAAGAAACAGGTAGAGTTCATGATTGAAAATCAGGTCACCTTTTCCATCAGTGCCCTGTCTCCTCTCTGGGTCCCACTAAGCTCTCCCTCCCTGCCTTCCTTTTAGTCACCTGTGAGGCCAGTGTCTTGGGCACCCCTGAACAGCTCAGAGCACCTCCCCAGCAAGACAGCCCAGGCCATCTCTCTGCTGCTCCTGCAACCCCTTCAAACCCAGCTCCCACCAGCTGTGCATAGAAGATGACAACCCACAGTGAGATATGAATGCATGTTAGGCACTTAGAGCAAGAAAGACACATCCTTAACCCCCTCCCATACCCAAAAACCAATTACCAATGCAGAAAAGAAGTGAAGAAGACAAATTTTGCAGAGGAGAGGGGGCTGGTGTTTCAGCGAAAGGTATCTAAAGAAAACACCCTACTTTTGATTCTCTTTTATGGTTTTCAGATGCACATATTTCAACAAAATGCAACAAGGGGGCTCTGCAGGAGACAAATATGGAGACAGAAACAAAAAACTAGGGGGAAGGGCAAAGGGGGAGCCTCTGGGAGTGAAGAGCCCAAGCAGGCCATGAGGAGCTGCAAGGAACGTGTTCAGGGACAGGAGCCGAGGATGGGGAGAAGGTACCCACCTCCACATGACATCGAAACGCTTCCTGCAGCTCATCTGGGACGGAGTGGCCATTCACTGTCCCGGCACAGCCAGAACCCTGGCAGGACTGGCTACTGGAAGAGAGGAGACGAAAACTTGAGAATAGAGAAGGGATGCAGGACACACTTCCTGCAGCTCTATAGGGAGATGTGACCAGTGGAAGACAGAAACCCTTGAAGAGGTGACCTGGGGCCTTGTCCTTCCCCAAGCAGGACAATGAGTGAGTGAAACCTTCCTTTCCCCTGCAGCACCCCCGCCAGGGTGTTGGGGCTGCTCTCAGAGGAGAGAATCACTTGCGGATGGCTCTGCCTGCATTCAAGGGCAGCTAGCAGTGGGGACAGGTGGGCAGTTTTTCAGGCTCCATGAACTGCTCATTAATCCTTGGCCCTGGCAATTGACTTTCTTTTTCTTTTTAATGGGGATTCAAGGCCAAAAATCGGTACTCTCGCACACACACACACACATTTGAAGGGAGGGTGGCATGGGGAGTCAAACCCCAAAGCGCATCTCAGGCTTTAAACGGCACAGGCTGTGCTTGGGAAAATGTCACTGCTTGGCGGAGGCACGGGCAGCCTGGCAGGCTGGGAGAGGCAGAGAGCGGGAACCGAATTTAGGAGTGACTGGAAGGTCGACAAGAAAGAAAAGCCAACGTGCAGCGAATATACATAGAAACAAGGATGGCTTCCCAGCCGGGGCCCTTTCAGGGCACCCATGGGTGCCCCTGAGCTTGAAAAAGTGTCCCACATGTGTCCCCCCTGGATGCCATCCACACCAGGCTCATTCCTACTCCTGAGCCTATTTCTACTGATTCCGGTACTTGGAAAGTTGCTCTGCCACCCTCACTGAAACCACCATTACACACACAAATGCACACGTGCACGCACGCATGCACACACACACACACACACACGACCTATCCAATCTTCAAGGATAGGTACAGCCTCCATCTGCATTCAGACACTTTCCTGTCAAACAATATTGATCTTCCATCCTCTAGCCCTTTATGAATCTTGCCCACACCCCAGAATTTTTGAAAATTTGAGCCAAGTGTGACTTAGCGTTTGATCCTAATCTGCCCTTGTATTGTTTCCTAGAGGTTCACGTACATCTTGTGTCTCCCAGTAAAAACAGCGTGTCACCTGAGCTCAGGCACGTTGCCACCTGCTCCTCCTGCGTGGGTCGCTATGTCCAGCACATGTCAGGGCAAACACGGAAGGGCATGGGTGGTGGGCCGGCTCGATTCAGGACCTTGCGTTCCCGACTGGGCACCAAGGATTTGCATGACTGAGGACATCCCTGGCCCTGCCAAATACCCACATATCCCTCCTCCTCTCCTCTCTGGAGCAAAGCTTCTTTTCCATGTATTTTTTTTTCTACCCAAAGCTATTCTGCAGAGAGGCCCCTCTTTTCCAGGCTAGTCACTCTTCGCCTGATGCCTAATCAGATCCAGTGGCCCAGAGTTGACATTTTATATCAAAAGATGTCAAAAGCTTTATACTCAAAAAACCACAGCACATGGGGGATTAGACCAGGAGAATTTAACTCACTTAAGTGCGAGAAAGCCTGGTCAGGGAGATTACAGCTATTTACCCAAGAAGCAAATATCTCTGAACTCTGACTAGGCCATGAGGAACGGAGGGCTGGCCTGGTAATTTTATTATCTTGCAGGAAGAAAAAGGAGAGGAGAAAAGGGAGAATAAAAGATGAGAGGTGATAATCTCTGAAGCTGGGATCACTCTTGTGTTGCAGCACATGCCAGAAATAAAAGATAACCACTCTTGCAATCTTGCTGAGAGATGGCCCACTCAAACAGGAGGGCCGCCTGCCTGCTGCTCCGCAGACATGAGAGTCAAGGGGTGGCCTAGAGGGGAACACAGAGAGATAAATGTTCCAGGCAAAGAAAAATAGTGGGGGCAGGGGGAGGTTCCAGGAAAAGAGATGGGCAACTCAGAAAGGCTGCTTGTCTCCTCTCTTCCAGAATATATACATATATATATATATATATATATATATTCTAAGTCTCCAACAATCCTAAATGCAGAGAAAATTCTCAACTATCAAGTAAAGGGACCTCAAGAGTGGGCAATATGTCAGGTCAGAGGAAAGATCACCACATCACCCAGAAAGGCAGGTGGAGGAAGAGAGGAATGTGCAGTTTGAAAAAGCACATTTTGGCCGGGGAAAGTGGCTCATACCTGTAATCCCAGTAGGTTGGGTGGCAGGCAGATCACCTGAGGTCAAGAGTTCCAGAGCAGCCTAGCCAACGTGGCAAAATCTTTTCTCTACTAAAAAAAAAACAAAAATTAGTGGGGCATGGTGGTTCATGCCTGTAATCCCAGCTACTCAGGAGGCTAATGCAGGAGAATCTCTTGAATCCAGGAGGCAGAGGTTGCAGTGAGCCGAGATCGTGCCACTGCACTCCAGCCTGGGAGCCAGAGGGAGACTCCATCTCAAAAAAAAAGAAAAGGAGAGGAAAGGAAAGGAAAGGAGAGGAAAGGAGAGGAGAGGAGAGGAAAGAGAAAAAGCATATTTATGATTTACTTTGAAAATAAGAAAATTACTTGCTTTTTGAATATAAATTGCAGCAAGTAACACTCAACAAAATCTCCTTAGCTGATGGGGTATGATTTTTTTTAAAACAAGAATGAGTAGAAAACACTGATTCTAGTTTGTCTTCCCCATTTTCACAGACCGGAAAACTGAAGCCCAGGGAAGGCAAGTGACTTAGGCAAGATCACACAACTGCCTCCCAGGCAAACCAGGAAAAGAAACAAAATCACAGATACTTGTGCTACCAAAGAATTATTCTTGTTACCCCAAGTTTTGATATCCCGGAATGCCAAAGAGTTTTCCCCAAGAGCATCATTCCTGGGCTCAGCTTGCAGTTTGACCACCTGGATCCTGTCATCAGCATGACCCGGGGCCGTGGTCCTTCTTGGGAGGTGTCATGACATCACAGGGAAAAGCATAGGCTTCTGACGTCATGATATAATTCCTGGTTCCTCAGTTTACTAGCTGGATGACTTGAAAAACTGCTCAACCTCTCTCTGGCCTCTATGTTCTCATCTATAAAATGGAACCCACCTGACATGACAACCTCACAGAACTGTTGTGAGGAACTAATGAGATTATGTAACTAACATGCTTGCTATTTAGAAAGTGTTCCATTGTTTTGGCCAGGCACGGTGGCTCATGCCTGTAACAACACTTTGGGAGGCTGAGGTGGGTGGATCACTTGAGGTCAGGAGTTTGAGACCAGCCTGGCCAACATGGTGAAACCCCGTCTCTATTAAAAATACAAAAATTAGCCAGGCATGGTGCTGCACACTTGTAGTCCCCGCTATTCAACATACTGAGGCAGGAGAATCACTTGAACTCAGGAGGTGGAGACTACAGTCAGCCAAGATTGCATCACTGCACTCCAGCCTGAGCAACAGAGTGAAAAAAAAGAAAATGTTCCATTATTTTTCATTTCTCTTCTCCAGCATCATTTCTGAATACTTCAAATGATAAAACATCAAAGAGACCTCCTGAGGTCACTGGATGTTCATCTCATGGGTAAGAAAACTGAGGATGAGTGTGGGGAGTCCCAGCCTAACCTTCTGTCCCCAGAACATGCTGTATGGTGTGGCAGTGACTGCTAAGGGCTGACACCCGGCTCTGAACCTGCATCCCTGGGACCCTCCCCCACCTAACTACACACTTCAAGTTTAGAGGGTAATGCATAACCTGTGCCATTGCCTTTTAAAGATTGAATATTGATGGTGCTTTTATAGCCATCCTTACGGGAAACTGTTCTGGGGTCTTAGCAATCTTAGCGATTCTGTTCCTGGTGTCCTGAGGGAAGGGGCTTGAGCAACTGAACAAGAACTGTAGGCTAAAGGTAAGAAACGTTTTCTTCATGAGTCATGAGTGGAAAAGAGAAATCTGAATTAGTTTCCTACAGTTGCTGTAACAAAATACCACAAATGTGGTGGCTTAAAACCACAAGAATGTATTATCTTACTCTTGTGGAGGTCACAAATCTAAAATGGTTCCTAAATTCAGGGCTAAAATCAGGGGGTGGGCAGGGCTGTGTTTCTTTCTGGGGACTCAGGAGAAATCTGTTTCCTTGCCTTTTCCAAATTCTAGGGGCTGCCCACATTCCTTGACTCATGGCCCCTTCTGCCATCTTCAAAGCTCACAATGACCAGTCAAGTCTTTCTCACATGACATCACTGACTCTGGGTCTCTGGTCTCCCTTTCTTACTTATAAGGATCCCTATGATGACTTTGGACTCACACAGAAAATCAGGGTAATCTTCCCCTGTCAAGAGCAGCAAATTGGCAACCTTAATTCCATCTGCATCCTTAATCCCCACCCCCACCATGTAACATTCCATATTCTCAGGTTCCAGAGATGAAGACATGGATATCTTTGGAGAACTATTATTCTGCCTACCTGGTATTCAAACCTCCTCCCCATCCTTTTCCCCTTCGGGCTGACAGAGACATTGCTGCTTGATCAGAACACTCATTTCCTCCTCACATCCAGTCTCAGATTCCTTTCAAACACCATGCTTCCTCAGGCACCATGAATGCACTGGCCTTGGCATAGAAGCAGCATCCACTTGCTAGCCCTGAATTCAACATACAAAGCAAACCCTTGAACGCGGGTAGGGTGGTCTAGGAAATGCTGATCTTTGCAGGCCATCTCAGGGTTTTGGTGTAGCCCCAGCCAAAGACAGAGATGTGTAGAATCTTACGTCTCATCTCTGACATCAAAGGGACTCCACTGGCTACAAGGACCCATCCCAGCTCTCCATCTGGAACCACAGTTGATAGCAGGACATTTTCCTGGTCAGTTTTTCTTGGGAGATTTTTTGTCTGAGCACTAAGTTATTCCATGTGGGCAATTTTCCCACTTGTTTTGGGGTCACTGGACCATACTTCCTTCTGTCACTTTCTGCTTCTGCACAGAGCACCTGCAGTGACCTTATTCCTTGCAAGTAAAGAGATGCTTTTTCCACTGAGGGGCTCCTCCTGCTGGTCTCTGCAGAGAGAATGCAGAGTCCCTGAGGGTCAGTGAAAAGCTGTGTCTGTTTCCCTCGCCCTTAGAGGGTTAAAACCAAATGCACCTGACAACTGCTGGATAGTCCAAAACTCTACCATGCCTGACCATGAGAACATAATGGCTGCATTTGCCCAGACGTTGCAAGCCCCTGGCTCAGAAACAAACCCAACAACAGAAAAATAAAGGGTAAATAAATCTGGATGGGAATAAAAGAAAAAAACAGGGCCGTGTGTATTGAGTGAAGTCCTTGCTCTTCTCCTAACTGGACATAGAGTTGGGACAAGTCTCTTCAAGCCTTTGTGGGCCTTTCTTTCATGTAGCCTAAAAAAGAATGTTAGGCCAGATTAATTCTGAGATTTCTGAAAACCCTCATAGCAAACAGCTTTGGCTCTCACAGCCTGGAATGGTTTCAAAAGAGAGTAACAAGAATGGTGGAGGGCTCAGAATGGTCAGTTCAGAAAAGAGATTGAAAACACTGGGAATGTTCATCCAGGAAAAGAGAGGACGGGGGATGGTGATGGTCCTCTGGGTTTCAATCAGCCCATTTGCATGTGATCCCATTAGTGTAACTTTCTTTTTTTTTTTTTTTTTTTTTTTTTGAGACAGGGCCTTGCTCTGTTGCCCAGGCTGGAGTGCAGTGGCACAATCTCGGCTCTCTGCAACCTCTGCCTCCTGGACTCAAGTGATCTTCCTACCTCAGTCTCCCGAGTAGTTGGGACCACAGGCACATACCTTCATGCCCGGTTAATTTTTGGTATTTTTGGTAGAGACAGGGTTTCACCATGTTGCCCAGGCTGGTCTCGAACTCCTGACCTCAGGCAATCCACCCGCCTCAGCCTCCCAAAGTGCTGGGATTACAGGTGTGAGCCACCGCACCCAGCCAACAATGACTTAACTTTCACCAGCTCACTCAGAGCGGCAGCCTGTTTGCAAGTGTCCCCCAGTATTTCTAGAGTGACTTGGGGGTGCCTCATGTGTGCTCAACACACACAGCAGTTTTCTGGTCCCCATAGTTCTACTCTCATTGGCCTGATCCAGGCCTCTGCCAGGACACAGGGCGCTGCTACCTCTTGCTGGGGATCGCTGTCCTTGCCACCACAGAGATGCTCAAGACCAGAGAACCGCAGGCTCTGCAGTGCAGTGGAGGAGTGAGCCTCTCTCCCCGTTTCGTGTTAGTCTCAAGATGAGTCCCAGAGCTGGTTCCCCAGTGACTACCACATGTTAGTGTCAACCATTCTTTCCATTTTTGTGCATAGCTTTTTTGCTCTCCATAGATCTCTTAACGAAGTCCAATGGGGGCTGAGTAGTGAGACAGATTCTGCTGTGAGCTGTACACTGGGCCATGCTCAGAACCTCTCCTTTCCTGTCACAATTAAAGCTCAGTGACCAAGTTAGGTGTTAATGCCTGGTTCCTTCTTCCTTCAAGACGAGCTCCTTCCCAGGAGGCTCCATGATCTCTGGTGCACATAGGCTTCTAACAGGCCCATGCAGCAGTTCACCAGGCCTGCCCAGACCTGCCTGAACCAGGTCTGGGCCCCATTTGGGACTCCCTGCATATTTAATGTGTGGCAGCCTGCCATGTCAGAGAGGCACTGCGCTTAAGTTGCCCAGCGAAAAGAAGACCAGTAAGCAGAAGCTACACAATGACAGGGATTGTTTTCCTCAAATGTTGAGTAAAATCTAATAGATCTGTCTATTAGAGATTTCTCAGATGGTTGTGAGTGCCCTGTAATGTGACCCATTTAGACAGATGCCTGCAAAAGCCCTAACAGGGATGTCGTAGAGAAGATGTCCTGAGTGTCAGACATCCAGCCCTAGAAATCTGAACATCCTTCATGTTTCACTGCTGAGATGCTTGTTGGGAAAGTACCTCCTGAATTGTCCTAGAAATAGGCCCCAGGCTTCACCACCAGTTTCATTGCCCATGGAGAATAACCACCCCAAATTCCTCTTCTGAATCTTGTACCCAAGGCTGAGGCCCTCCCGGTTTGCAAATGGAAGAGTGTTGTATAATAGCCAGGACCTTCTGCAACATGGAAGGGTACTTCCACATGACTGGGTCCAAAGAAGACCCACTGGGCATCATCATACTTTTGGGAATCAAGTTTATGCAGGAGAAAAGATGATTTGGGGAGTACAGTAGCTACGCTCAAATATACTAGGGGCTGCATGAAGCAGAAATTTCATATTTTCAGCTTAGGGAAGTAAAAAATGCACAATAGGCTGGAGTCAAAACATTTAAGATTGAGCTATAGTCTCCCTGCATGCAAACTGTGGAATCCCAGACAAGTCACATGAACTCTCCAAGACTTTATTTCCTCACCTGTAAAACGAGCCTAATAACACACACATTGCAAAGTTGTTGTGATAATTATGTGAGAACATTGTGACCTGCAATTGGTATTCCCTAAGCTGAGCTTTTCAAGTGTGTCTTACCCAGCGCTCCACACCCAGTGCCTGGCATGTCACCTGCTATATATAATGCCAGCGTTCAGTAAATGGCCCTTGAATGAAATTGATGTTTCCTCAAAAGACAGAAGGCAGTCAATAGTTAAAGGTTCTAAGGAAGCTAAATCTCTCTTTAACTCAAGGAAGCTCTATCGAACAGCCAGAGCTGTCCACCAGGCTGATTCAGAGGCAGAGAGCTCTATTTCATGGAGGTATTCAATCCCAGAGCCTTGACCAGCTGCCAGAGATGCTCTAGAATGCACTCTCCCTGTAGAAAGATCCCCATAGGATGTGAGAAGCAGAGAGTAGCAAAGCCACATTAAGGTGTAGCTACAGCACTGAAAATCTGTCTCACTCACCAGGCAGGAATCTGCCTCACACACTGGCATCTCAGCACATGCGGTGCAAGCTCAGACCTCACCACAATCGCAAATTATGCCGTGAGCCTTAGGGACACTCACAAATTACAGCAAATATTAAAGCTACTCACACCAAGGTCTATTGAAAACCATGTTATCTGCCTAGACATCCCAATCCAACATGCTGCAGTGTTATGGCTCCTCACTTGTATGTTTGCAGCAGGTAAGAATCGGCATCACTCATTCATTCAACAAGCATCGATTGAGTATCTAATCTATGGCAGGCACTGCACTGGGGTGGGGAAGTGAGGGCAGTGGCTGAGTCAGGGACCAGGGATGAAAGCAGGAATAGGGTACAACCTTTCACACAACAGATTTGCTCTGCCTTAGAGACAAACATATCTATCAGGGACAGAGACATTCCATAGCAACCAAACAAATCAGGGTATAATTACAAACTGTAATAAGCAGCATGAAGGAAAAGTAAGAGGGATATTGAGGGACTATATAGAGGGCCAGTGTCAAGAAAAGGTTTCTCTGGGGAAGCAACATTTGACCTGAGAGCTGGACGCTGAGTCCACTTTAGCCAACTAAAGACTTGGGTGAAGCAGTTTGGAACAGCAGGAACAGCATTTGCAAAGGCCTGAGGCAGGAAAGTGAAGTTAGTCAAAGGACTGAGAGAAGGCGCATGTGGTTGGAAACTCTCAGCAAGTGAGGCAGAGGAGGAACTTGTTAGATATCTTTTCTATCTTATCCTAAATTCAAGAGATAACCAGCAAAGGATTTCCAGCAAAGAATGATGAGAACAGATTTGTGGCTTGAAAAGATCACCCAGAAGAAGAGAGTGGAAAGAGTGCAAGAGTGGAAGCATTTTAAAAACAATCATGGTCTCAGAATTTAGAAATAACTTAGGGTCACCATCAGAATATTGGGAGCTAGTAAAATTGAGTGTTTATATTACATTCTTCAAATTTCAGTAATAAAATGGATCCCAAAGTTGAAAAAAAAAAAACAATCATGGTCTGCCAGGTGCGGTGGCTCATGCCTGTAATCCCAGCACTTTGGGAGGCCAAGGCAGGTGGTCAGGAATCCAAGACCAGCCTGGCCAAAATGGTGAAACCCCGTCTCTACTAAAAATATAAAAATTAGCCGATTAGCCGGGCGTGATGGCTGGTGCCTGTAATCTCAGCTACCTGGGAGGCTGAGTCAGGAGAATTGCTTGAGCCCAGGAGGCGGAGGCTGCAGTGAGCCGAGATCGTGCCACTGCACTCCAGCCTGGATGACAGAGTGAGGACTCTGTCTCAGAAAATAAACAAACCAAATAATAATAATAATAACAATCCTGGTTGTCTGGAGGGGAGAGTGGTGACTTGCATGAAAGTAAGGTGGCAGCAGAGAGGTACTAACAAATACCGATTTCATTTGAGCTACCACTTACAGGAAAAGGTAAGAGAGCCAGGGGAAAAAACAATTCTGTGTGCTCAGGGAAAATTATGAGAATAAATTTCAAGGAATCCTAAAGTCTTACAGGGTCTGAAGACATATAATTAAAGCAAAAAGATAGATCTTAAGCACAGAACATTCACATAGCCTCAGGCTACTACTTAAAGAAGAAATAGAAGGAAATATACCAATATGTTAACGGCGGTTATCTCACATTAAGGGTGCTTTTTATTTCTATATTTGTGTGTTGCTGTTTTCCAAGTTTTCTACAATCATTTGTGTGTTTCTTATGTAATTAGGAAAAAGCAACCATGTTACTAATTTAAAAAATAATAATGTCATCTTTTCACTTTCTGGGCATGTCTACAGGAAAGACTTAAAACTATCCCCTGGAATTACACCTTCCTAGTGCGATCATGACCCTTCCTGGGGAAGAGGTAGAGGGGCATTCGGAAACAGTGATGGCCAATTCTCAGTCTCAGCCCCCACTGATCCTCAGGACAAAAACACATCCCTGTCATTGCTTTCTTCAATTTCCCTGATACAGTTCCTTTCTGTAGCTGACCTGCCTAGCGCTGCTCCAGAGCTGATTACATCAGAGACACATAACTGACTCACATTAAGACAACTGAATTTTCTCTTAGGAATTTGGGGTGGAGGCGATGAGACTAAGGTGGAGAATCATGAGCAGAGTTAAACAAGAATGGGATGGCGCAGCACTGGGACACAGGTGATGTGCAGCCAGCCAAAGCCACGAAGAAGCAAAAGCTAAGAATCTCCCTGAGGAAAGCCCTAGGCAGAGAACAGAACAGAAACCCAGCAGCAGTAAGAGGCCACACAGCTCCAGAAAAGCAGAGAATGCAGCTCTGGTGCGGGCTGCCCACTCCCCTTCCCCAGATGGTCTTTCTTTTCTTAGATGTCTGTGAAATGGACTGTTATGTCCTTTCAATAAATCTTGTTTACTTGAATTTGGGGAGTTTCTCTTCCTTAGAACCAAAGGAGCTTTGACTAGGAAATTTCCCTTCTATTCAACTAACAGCCCAACTTCTCATTATCTGCAAGCACACATGCATACAGAAGCCCACAGGCTAAAAACTTCCCTTTCCACAGTGCTCCCTCGATCCAAAGCCCCCCACCTTAAACCAGCCAGGTCAAGCCATGCTTCAGCTCCAAGATGGGTGCAGCTTCTCTGTACTCTCTACCTACAAGCCAAGTAAAGCAAGATCGGGCTATGGCCCCTGCCTTAAAGCCCATCCTGCATCTCCACCAAGAAACATGCAGCACCCGGTGACCTCATGCACTCTCCAAAGGCAGAAGTCTGCCCCTTGGGGAGAAGTCCCTGCAGGAGAGCCAAGGGCCTTGCAGCCACTGCTTCAAACCAGAGGAGAAAGGGAGTTTGACAGCTCCAAGGTAAAGCCTCTTTTTATTAAGACAACACAGCAAACTTTTTTAACCACAGCTGACATCACTCTAATAAATCACCATCATGTCTTGTGGGATAGAAAAAGCCAAAACACTGTCACATTTGATTTTGCTGGCCACTCACGGCTCAAGAACAAACCATGTGTTTTTAATCAACAACACTTTGTTTTGCATTTTTCAGCCTCAATACTCTTTAAATAGTTGCTTTTACCAGAGGGCTATTTTAAACCCAGGGCCAGCTTCTTTGCAGAGGACATTAAGAAACAGAACACCATGTTACCATCTCCCTAGGCTCAACCCAGGCACTTTCTCTTCTGTGATTATTATATACTATGAGGTCGTATCTGTCTGTTTCAGAGGGGGCTTTCCTCTTCCCTCCTTGGGAATTTAATTAGCTGTCTTCCCAGAAAGTTGGAGTTTTTTGGTTTCTCTAACAGGCAACCTGACTGGGTTATGGGAAAACGGCAAATTCCCAGCCAAAGGAAACAGAGAGAGTCACATCTGGGACTAGAATTCCTAAGGAGGGAAAGAGGCGGTGGCAGAGGAGGGGGACTGTCGGAGGAAAAGGAGCAATAAAACAAGATTTCTGAAATGGCACATGTCGATTTCTGCATGCAAACAGGCCCCAGACTTCTTGGAGGTGGATGTGCTCGGACAAGCCAACGGAAGCCTGTGTGGTGCTCTCCTCTGGTTTTCTGGAAATGGGTAGTATCTCAAGGCAAGAATAAGCTGTGTGCAGGAAGCTTGCAGGAAAAGGGGTTCCTTGCCTGACCACCCGATATACCAGGACCTCGACAGTGATGGGCAGCTGGGTTCATGGTGCCCAGATATTTGTTTCTAACAACGTGACTTTACAAAGACAATAAAAAGGAACTGAGACAGCCAGGCACGATGGCTCACACCTGTAATCCCAGCACTTTGGGAGGCTGAGGTGAGCGGATCACCTGAGGTCAGGAGTTCGAGACCAGCCTGGCCAACACGGAGAAACCCCATCTCTACTAAAAATACAAAAATTAGCTAGGCATGGTAGCACACGCCTGTAATCCCAGCTACTCAGGAGGCTGAGGCAGGAGAATCACTTGAACCCAGGAGGCAGAGATTGCAGTGAGCCAAGATTGTGCCACTGCACTGCAGCCTGGATGACAGAGCAAGACTCTGTCTTAAAAAAAAAAAAAAAAATACTGAGACAGATGATCCCAACCTAAAGAAAAACTCTATACTGTTTGCTGAACAGTTAACTTAGGCCCAGTTGTACGGTCCAACCAAAGAGACAGGCGTGGCTACCATGTGGTTCTCATGTCAACTACCAGCCCTCAACCCTACAACAAAATTCTTTTCCTTGAGCGAAATCCTCCAAGGTGGGTCAGATCAGGGCTTTCTTCTTCCATGGTGGTCCTAATTGTTCATCCTGTGCTGATCAGATCATGTCACATGCTGCATGTCACATGGGGTGGCCCCTAGCTGGTATAACTATCCACACTGCATGTCAGATTCATCCTTTTCAGGGTCTTAGCAGAGAGTCTAGCTGCAGAGGACCCTCAGTTGCTCAAAGCTCATTTTTTAATGAGGAGTCTTCATCAGCTAGATACTCTGGTGATTCCATTCTCTATGTACCATGCCATTAATTCATGAAATGTGCTGTAAGCTTGATCTTACTCCCTGGAAAACCAACTCTGCCAGTGTCTACTGCAAAAGTGCCTGCTCCCAAACATCTTCTGCACCTGCGGTGAGAGAGGGGCAGTAGTTTATACACATCCCTGTCATTGGCTCTAGGGAGAATCTTCCAGGCTGAGTGCTGTCTGAAAGACTGTCTCCCATTGCCCAGAAACCCTTTGTTCCATGGTCAGTTCTGTCTCCCTCGAACAAATGCATCCTCCTTTCCGTGTGCCTGTATTACCTGTCACTTTGCAGCCTCACTGGGTTTTGCTGCATTATCCTAGTCACCTGTGGGAGTTTCATCTGGTAATCCCTAAGCCCAGGTTAGGGATTACTTTTCCACTTGAGTATTATGAGTAGGTATTTAAACTCATGGCATGGGTCCTCAATGTTCCATGGCAAATGTTTTCATTCATTTGATTATCTTCAAGAATGAACTAGAAAGCTTGGAAACATAGAAATATTTCCAATATTTTCAAACTAGATAACTTGGAAATATTGGAAAACATCTTCTGGTTGCTATTTATATGGGTATTCCAGACTGGATTCAGAAGGAGATGTGTGTGTGTGTGTGTGTGTGTGTGTGTGCGCGCGCGCGCACGTGTGTGTGTGTGTGTGTGTGTGTGTGTGTGTCTAGAGGATTGCAGATTCCAGGACTGGTACCTGGCAGGAACATTCTTAAGGAAGCCTCAGTAGTTTCCACCCAAGTTTCTTCATGTGTTCATCTCCACTTGCTTCCCAGGGCCTCCTATCCATAGTCTTGGCCAGGCACACTGGGGCATAAGGATCGGGGAATGATAGAGACTTGCTCCTCAAAGTGTGGTCCATGATCGTGGCATTGGCGTGCTTGGCTTGGTAGTAATGCAGAAGTCCCACTGCCCCACACTTCTGACTCAGAATCTACAATTTTTTTTGAGGCAGGGTTTCACTCCTGTCACCCAGGCTGGAGTGCCATGGTGTGCTCTCGGCTCACTACAACTTCCACCTCCCAGGCTCAAGCGATCCTCCTGCCTCAGCCTCCGAAGTAACTGGGACTACCAGTGCATGCCACCATGCCCAGCTAATTTTTTTTTTTTAGACAGTCTCGCTGTTGTCCACCTGGGCTGGAGTGCAATGTTGCAATCTCAGCTCCTTGCAACCTCCACCTCCCAGGTTCCAGCAATTCTCCTGCCTCAGCCTCCTCAGTAGCTGGGATTACAGGCACCCACTGCCACACCCAACTAATTTTTGTATTTTTAGTAGAGACGAGGTTTCATCATGTTGGCCAGGCTGGTCTCAAACTCCCGACCTCAGGTGATCCACCCGCCTCAGCCCTCCCAAAGGGCTGGGATTACAGGCATGAGCCACTGTGCCTGGCCTGAATCTACATTTTAATAAGATCCCCAGCTGATATGTATGAACATTAAGTTTGAGACACTCTGGTATGTCTTAACCTTGGCTACATGTTAGAATCACCTGAGAACTTTGATAACACTATTGTTGTTAAGGTTTAACTTCAGATCAGAACAACCAGAATTTCTAGAGGTGGGGCCTGGGCCTTGGAATTTTACCTAGTAATTTCAATGTACACCCAGGGTCAACACTACTGATCTTAGAAAAATAATCATTTCTTAAGCATCTACTCTGTGCCCAACACTGATCAGAAGTTTTACAGAGGCCTGGAAGGGTTTCCTCCATGTCAGGGATGGCATGTCCCAGGTCCCACAGGCCCCATGCCAGAGCAGGCTTTGGAACCCAGAGCCTGAGCTCCAGACACCACCCATTCAGCTTTCAACCGTAGCAATATCCTCACATCTGAGGACTTACTGACAAGCAGAGAAGCTCCAGGGAGCCCAGGCTGGAGGTATGCAATGTTCCTCTTATGAACAGCAAAACAGGCTGAAGTGGGAATGAAACTGTGCACAAGAGCACAAATTTGGGAGTTGCTGCCACTTGCTCAGCTGGGGACCCACCCTCCCTGGAAAGGCCGGGTGTAGCAGCCCAGAGGCCAAGAGACACACCACTGGACGGAGCGCCCAGCGCCCCTGCATTGTCCCATCCGGAAAAGCCAGGCCAGCCAGGTGAAGGACTGCAGCCGGGTTTAATGGAACATTGATGAACAAGACATACTTATTAGTAAACAATAATTACAGGAGAGCAGGTGCCCCAAGGGGAGCAGGTAACACGGCGGCCCCTTTTGCTAATGCCCTCTGTGCACCAACCCTGTTTGAAATTAAAACATCCCTGCTGTCAACACAAGCGTTTAAAGAGACCTGGATTTCTGTAATAGAAGAAGTAATTCTAATGCCTGCTGTTAATTGAAGGCTTCATCATTTACAGGGTGCTTTCACAGAAACTAATGCATTTAATCCTCAGAACAAGCCTGCGAGGCAAGGATTTTTCCTTATCTCATTTTCTAGACGAGGAAACTGATGAAGGGGCAGGCCCAAGGTCACGCAGCTAGTCACTGAGTCATGGAGCCGGAATTTGAACTCAGGCCTTTGGAGGCAAGGCTGATGCCCTCTGCATTGCCCCACAGCTGCCCCCTAAACCATGCTAATAGCATTTGGTCAAAACCCCAATCCCCCCAGAAAATGTGCCCTGCACTGTGGAATTCTCTTTGCTGCTAGTCATCGGAGCCTGTATCCCTCCCAGCCCACATCCTGTGTTCTGGCTGAACTCTTGGGAGACATTCTTATTGTTCCCAGTGCTTCCCTTTTCGGAGTCGTAAGGCAGCTATGAGCAACAGTTTGGCAGCCCAGAAGAAGACCAAGGCAGGCAAAATCTGAAAAGTTTACACATAAGCATACACTCACAGAGACAGACACACACACACGCACACGCACTGCATTTCAATAGCAGCACATGTTCAGGGTAATGTTTTAAGTCTCCTCAAATTCTAGGTGGAAGTCATGAGCGAAAGAGATCATGAACGCTTCAAATATGGCTACGGAGTTATAAGCGTCATCACCAACTCACTGAAGATTAAGGAATCTGGGAACAAATTAGCCTGTTGTAGACAGTGACTTAAGGAGAAGTCTCAGGGAGGAGCCAGAGAAGCCAACAACTTTAAATCCTGTAAAGTTTTTTAATCAAGTTACACTATTATTTGAAATTGGCAGAACACCAATGGATTTAGTCCAAAGACATAATTTATGATTTTTTTTTTTTTGGTTTTCTTTTTTAAGGGCATTAGGGTTTTAGTTCCTTTTTTCCTTCTTCTTGAGGCTTTTTTTTTTTTTTGGCAATATGTCGCTTTCTTTTCTCAAATCTGTTTTCATCTAACATGTATAAAATGAAGCCAGTTCGAGGGAGCCCTCTATCCCCCTTCTCCTCATACCCCTAGAAGAGCTCACTTCTGGCCGGGCACAGTGGCTCATGCCTATAATTCCAGAACTTTGGGAGGCTGAGCAGGGAGGATCACCTGAGCCCAGGAGTTCCATATCAGCCTGGACAACATGGCAAAATCTCATCTCTCCAAAACATTTAAAAATTAGCCAGAAGTGGTGGCGTGTGCCGATAGTCACAGCTACTCAGGAGGCTGAAGTGGGAAGATGGCTAGAGTCCGGGAGTTTGAGGCTACAGTGAGCTATGACTGCACCACTGCACTCCAGCCTGGGCAACAGAGGGAGACCCTGTCTCAAAAAAGAAAGGAAGGGGAAGGGTGGGGAGGAAGGAAGGAAGGAAGGAAGGAAGGAAGGAAGGAAGGAAGGAAGGAAGGAAGGAAGGAAGGAAGGAATGGGGCTCAGCCCTGTAGCCACAAGCAACATAATTTTGTGCAAATGGCTATCAACTCCCACTGGTTCTCCCTAACCATTCAGTTATTCCCTTGCAGAGAACGAGAGTGGGGTGAATGCCAAATCACCCTGAGATTATGAACTTTTCTCTCCAAGTGGCCCCTCTCCATTCCAAGTTCCCCTGAAAGTCTCCCTCTCAGGAGTTTTGTCCTCACAGGCCTCTCAGTTCCAGGAGGCTCCAGGCCCCTCCTGGCCCATCCCCACGCCCCAGAGGCCTCTCCGAAGGCTGCTCTCCCTACACTCCCTCGCTTCCTTCCCAGGGAGCCCCCGCGAGGCTTCGGTGCCCTGGGAGCACACACATACATGCAACTCCCCTCCCACAGGCCCTGAGAAACCCTGCAGATCAAAGAGCCCAGCAGCAGGGCCAGGTGTCCGTCCTCCTCCACAGGCCACGATTAATCAGACCGCCTGACTCACAAGGAGATCAAACTCGGCACCCCGCCAGCTGTTGGTGAACGCTGGCCTTCAAGTTGCCCTCATTAAATTTCCTTTCCCTCTTGCTCTCCCTGCTGACTCCCGTCCCGTGACCATCTCACTCTTGGATCTTCTTCTCGCGCTCTTCTCTCTCTCCCCACAGGCTTGCAACTTCTGTTTTCCCCCATTTCCTTTCTTCACCCTGTCCTTCTCTTGTTCTACTCACACCCTCTCCCCCACCTACCACCTCTGTCTCTCTTCAATTCATTTAAAATTCCAAAACCCCCAAGCCCCATGCCTGGAGAGTCCCTCCTGGACATCCCACTCGGCCTATAAAAGTTCCAACAAGGAAGCAGCATGGGATGTCAGTGCCAGGCTGCAGGGGTGGCCAGCCACTGAGGTATTGAGGAGGGGACTTCAAGGCCAAGGAGGAGTCCACCAATGCCGAGCTGAATTCTCACCTGACCTTCTTGGCAGCGGGCTCAGGCCTCCGCAGCAGCACTTCCCACCACACACACACACCATTTCCAGGCTGCTAGTCACTTTTTGTTTTCAAAAGACCTCTAAGCCCTCTTACAGGGAGCTTCTCAATGTAGCCTCTCATTATTGGATCAGCTATCCAGTCCTCACCCCACCTGTCCAGTTTGCAAACCTCACCGGAAGAACCAGTTTCAACTAGAACAAGAAATGCAGTCACCTAGAAGCTGGAAAAACGGGCAAAGATCCTTTCTATTCCTCCTATCAATGCCCAGAAAAAGGAAGAATGAGAGCATTGGATCCTGACTTCCACTCGGCTGATGTGTTGCGAATATTTACTCCAGTTGTCTAAGGATTATTTTTATACACTTTTTCTTGCAACAAACACTGGCAAAAAAAAAAAAAATTTAAATAAAAAAGCAAATACAGGCTGTACAGGCTGCAGGGTACTGTCCTCTCTTTCTCAGCCTCACTATATATACATCTACGGATTTTTTAACTTGTTTTTCATTTCAGCGGTTCTTAAAGCGCACAGGCGTGAGAAAACACAGATGGGTTGGAGCAGACTACGTTGTAACTGTGCACAGAAGACATCGCACCATGTTCAAGATTTTCAGAAGTCTTGGAAGACCTCGGGATGCAGAGAGGTTTTTTGGTTTCGGTTTGGGGTGCTTTTTTTTCCCCTTTCCTCCTTATATAGTTGGAATTCGCTGCTTGTTTCCTCTCTGTTCTATTTCTATTTCCCTCGTAGCACCTGCTGCAGCTGGGAACACAGGGTCCCTTGGTCTCAGCGACAGGGTCACTGTGGCTGCCCCGGGCTTGACCCCACCTCTACCTGTGCCTGTTTCCCCAGCTGCGGGGAGGCAAGCCCGGCGGGAGGAGAAGCCATCCATCAACCTGCAGCAGCCGAGGCCCAAGTGAGGGCAGGAAGGGTCAGGGCTGGTGCGCACTTGAGCAGGTTAGAGAGGAGGAGGAGGAGGTTACAGATTGTTGAGATATCAGCGCTGGGCTTGATGGATGGTGCGGAAGGAGGAACAAGACGCTGTCCTCCCAGCCTCCTCTGGCACCAGGACAGAGCCCACGCTCCAGGTCTCCACCGACTTCTTCCCGCCCCCCACCCCATACACACACACCAGCCCCCTCCTCCTTGGCTTGCTTTTTCTTGCCTGCTTACAGCCCATCCGTCAAGCCCTGCCCTGAAGCTGACCTTTTGCAGACAGCAGACAGCCTAAGAGAACCATCTCTTGCTGAAAGCTCTCAGCAAGGGGTTTTATGAACATGGGCGGGCCTGACATGGGCACCACAGCCACTCCCCTGCCCCTCTGCCTGCCTCCTAGCTTGTGAGTGCTGTCAGCCCTGAGCAAGAAGAAAAAGGCGAGGGTGTGCCCAGATTTCTTTAGCAGTGCTCCTATTTCTCTCTCCGGGCCCCAAACACACTTCCAGCCCAGGTAGGCTCTGCCAGGTCTAACAGTCCCCTGGGAGCTGTGGGCTCTTGTCTCACTCTGAAACTCACCCATCTATACAGCCTCACCTTCACCTCTGCGTCATCTGCCCTCTTAAAGGCAGTGATGGGGATTTCAGGAAAGGCACTGTGTTCTCCTCTGGAGAAAAGCTAAAGTTGAAAAAGTGCAAAGAATGCTCATTGGCAGCATAAGCTGAGGCAAGGAGAAGTGCTCTGAGCTTGGGCAGTGGGTAGACACATGGCTGGGCAGTTGCTGGCTGGCTGGGGAATCTGTTCATCTCGCTGGGGCTCCAATTTTGGAGACCACACAGGTTGTCAGTCACGCCACGGCAACAGCACAATAGAACAGAGAGTGGGGACATGTTGGGGCAAACAGTGATGGAAGATGTTTAATAGAATTACCATTAGGCCTCGAGTTAATGAATCACAACTGCAAGAAATCATGATAATCCAGCAGGCATTAGTGACAGATTAGCTTCAAAGCTGCCATAAAAGTGCCATAATGCTTACCTAACGGCATGATTAATTCTCCCAGTGCATAATGGCTTTATGGGGGAACGAGGCACCAACAGAGGCTTGATGGAAAGCCATGCCGAGATCCCAGAGCACAGAGGGTGTTCCCACCCTGCCCAGCCCATGTGGCTTCCGCTCCGCCCGGAGGAGACTTCAGCCACTGCATTGTGGTAGACAAAGTCGAGGCTCAGGCTCACCCCAGAGCCATCTCCCCAGGAGCCCCTGCCATCTCTCCAATGCTGTGCCCCTTACCAACTGACAGTTATCCTAAGAGGACACCCCAGTCCCCAAGATGGGCCCCTCCTATGACTAGCACTGGTGCCTGGAGAGCCCCACCCCAAGTCCCCTGATCAAAGGATCCAGCATGGAAAGATCTGGAAAGACTGCTGCACTAGGAACTCACCACAACTCCGCCCCTCACTAGCTGCGTGACCTGGCAAGTCACTTGAACTCTCTGGGCTCAGGCAGCCAGGCTCTGAGTGTGCACGCTTCACCACCAGACTGCCTCCCTATCTCAGCACCTATTTATTAGTCCCTAACTTCTGTTCCAAGCATGATCTGAATCTCCTTGTATATTTCATTTCATCCACTGCCCATAACATTCCCATGAAATAGTTAACCCTGTTATCCTCACTTTACAGATAGGGAAACCGAGGCTCGGCAAGGCGAGGTAGCTAGCCCACAGTCCAACTAGGGATAGATATGGAACCAGGCAGTATTCCCTAGTTCCTTGCTTCTCTATCAGCCTCCTTCAGCCCTAATACCACCAGTTTAACCTCAGGGGAAAAGCAGCTGCTTGTGAGACACCGAACATCATCTTTTATGAAAAAGACAGGATCAGCACTACTCAATTCCCTGCCCCTTCCCCTTGGCAGTGGAGGAACCATGAGCTGGAAGGCAGGAGATACAGACTCTCCTGCTCCTGTTTACCTTGACTCTGTGGTTCCCATAGTATTACCTGGGCACTTCACCCTTCTGGATTTCTGTTTCAGCTTCTCTTTTAGAAAAAGAGAATAATAATAATAATAACAATAATAATAGCACCGTGCCTGCCTGGCAACAGGGAGCTGAGCCTCTGGGCCCCTGGAGGCTCAGATCTACCGGTGCCCAACAATCACCAGAGCCAGGGCCGCTTTGCTGAATCATCCCCAGACTCTACTTCAGAGGCTGCCACTGTGGTCCTCCCATCATCCCATAAATATGGAGGCAATTAGCATGGAGCTCAGGTCCAAAGGGAATTCTCAGAGCCCTGTTCATCTTCATAATGTTGAAGAAAACCCTCTAGGAGGCCCGCGTCACTGCTGCGGCAGGCTAGCTGCTTCTGCTCTGATTAGGGATCCAAGAGACTCACACAGCTCCCCTCCTATAGCCCTCTCCTAGCCCATAGTGCTCAGGGGCACCCACTAGACTGCCACTGAGAAGTCTATAAAAAAGACACTCCGTCCTCTCCTACCAAAGCATTAACAGGCTCCAAACTTTCCCAAGCTCTAGACTTCTTTTACCTTATTTTATTTTATTCTACTTTATTGTAGTTCACTTAGTGATAGGGTCTCTCTGTCGCCCAGGCTGGAGTGCGTTGGCACAATCATAGCTCGCTGCAGTCTCCAGCTCCTGGGCTCAAGCGATCCTCCTGTCTCAGCCTTCCAAGTAGCTGGGACTACAAGCACATGCCACCATGCCTGTTAATTTTTTTCATTTTTGTAGAGCTGTGGTCTTGCTATGTTGCCCAGGCTGGTCTCAAAATCCTGGCCTCAAGTGATCCTCCTGCCTGAGTCTCCCAAAGCTCTGGGATTACAGGTGCGAGCCATCACACCCAGCCCTATGTTCCTTTTAAATTCCAGAATCAAAGGGCAAACCATCACTCAATCAGCAAGTACTTACTTCCACAGGGCACTATAAGGAAAACCAAGAAGATCCACTTTATCCCTTTGCAGCCCTGGGTCCCAGAGTGGACATCTGCTAGCACTGCTGATGGCAGTCTCACTGCCAGTTCTGGGTGGGTTTTCTAAAGGCGACTATCTTTGTGATGGCCCATGTACCTCTCAAAGCCCCATTCTCTTGTTCGAGCTGATTGCCTGATGTATGTCGAGCTGACTGCCTGATATGTGTCAAACTGACCCTATCACCTTGGTTACAAAGCCATAAAATCCCAGGGTTGCAAGAGACCTCAAAGAGGTTTTTTCTGCCCCCTCCCAAAATCTAACCCCATCCACTATGAACTCCTCTTGAGTCAAATACATAGTTCTTACTTCAACATGCCGTGCCCAGTGAAAGCTCAATAAATATTTATTGATGGTGGTGCCCATGATGAATTAACAGCCAAAGCTATAAAATTAAAGTTTCACACAAGGAGAAACCCCAGTGAGAAAGAAACTGCTAAATAAAGTTTACAATTTTTCAAAATGACAAGTGTTCACACACACACACACACACACACACACGGCGTGGGAGACAGAAGACCACCATTCTCTAACTTGCCTATTCAAGGAATCGGAAAACAGGAAAGTCCTTCTCATAGAATATTCCTGCCTCAGTGGAGGGTGTGCTCAGCTTCTCAGAGGTCAATCAGCCTAGCCTGTCAGGATGTGCCTGGCCCTGGACCAAGCGTCTCACATTGTCTCCTTGCTGGAACCAAGAGCCAATGGAACAAAAACACAAAAACACAAAAACAAAATGGCGCTGTTTAGGGCTTTATCCAGTGTCTCAAATGGGCGAAAGTAAACACAAGGATATATCCAATTCTAAGGATGCTAAAACCTCAAGAAGGACAGACAGCTTAAAGGAGAATCCTTAACAAGATAATACGCACCTAGGAAAAAAGGCTAGGGTGTGTAGCTATAAAGAAGACAAGAACTTTGAGACCTATTGAGTAGAGACCAGTCATCACCAATCACAGCCAACCCTTGCAGCCCTTCCCCTGCCCCAATGTGTTTAGAGACATGAACACGCTGATTGCAGGTCTAAGAGCCTCCATCGTTCTTTTTAGAACCAACTGACAGAGCTAGCTTTTTTCTTCCCCCAGCTCCCTGGACTTCCTTGAACTGCAGCATGGAAGCACCAAAGCTCGCTTGCCGCCTTTCATTCTCCATCCTATGTGACTTAGCAGGAGCTCATGGGAACTGCTCAGTCAGGATCTTGTCATACCGAGCCACAGAGCTGTCTGGACATCAGGCAGAAGAGGGCCCTGCAACTCCTGATACCAAACCAGAGAGGACTGTTTACAAGCTGATCAGGTTCGTGGGCTAAAGAAAACCTCAGGCAATCTGGAACGGGGAAAACAGGGAAGGCCTTGAAGAAATGGATTAGACCAGCCCTGACAACATAGCAAGACCCTATCTCTACAAAAAAATTTAAAAATTAGCCAGGCATGGTGACACGTGCCTGCAGTCCCAGCTACTCAGGAAGTTGACGCAAGAGGATCATTTGAGCCCAGGAGTTTGAGGCTGCAATAAGCTGTGATTGCACCACTGCACTTTAGCCTGGGTTAAAAAAAAAAAAAAGAAAAAAGAAAGAAGGAAAGATAAGGAAATAGATTCGAGTTTGTGCTAATCTTACAAAGTTAAGTGAGATCATACCCCCAGATTCTCTCCCACCAGAGGGAGCTGGTTGGAGCCTGGTTTTGCATTAGCCCAAAATGTTCTGATGCAGCACACCGTGGGGCTGGTGAGGGTTGGGTGGAGCTGGAGCAGACATAGAAAGGGAAGCCCTTGAAAACCAAAGACAGTGTCTTAGGGGGACAATCACACCATGCCCTTTCCCAGGTCCAGCCCTTTGGGCAATGTTGCAAAAGATCCCCCAAAAGAGCTTCTGCCTGGAGCAGGTCAGGAGCTGCAGTGTGGGGGCCCTGGGGCTGCGCTGCCTCTTCCAGTCTTCTCCTGGACACTAGGCCATTCTCCCTTTTCCAGCTCTTGCTCCTTGTCCAATCCTCAAGAACCTCTTATTTGAAAACTATGCTAGTGGTTGACCAGGTAACCAGAAATTTAGAAGACAGAGAGAGAGGCTGGGCACAATGGCTCACGCCTATAATCCCAGCACTTTGAGAGGCCCAGGTGGGAGGATCACTTGAGCCCAGGAGTTCAAGACCAGCCTGGGCAACAGAGTGAGACCTCATCTCTATTAAAACTAAAGAGAATAAATAAATAAATTAACTGGGCGTGGTGGCACGTGCCTGTAGCCCCAGCTACTCAGGAGGCTGAAGCAGGAGGACTGTTTGAGCCCAGCAGTCTGAGGCTACAGTGAGCTACGTTGCTGGGCGACAGAGTGAGACCTCTAGAAAAAAAAAAAAAAGAAAAAAAAAAGACAGAGAGGTTGGGGGAGGGGGTAATCTATGAAGCTATGGACAACGAACATCTCATGGCATCACCCTACCCTCGGCTTGGTAGAGTTCTTCTTGCGGGAAGACCACAGCATGTCCATGGACCGAAAGAGAACACCCACAGTTCACTTGGCAACACTCAGTGGGCCCTTCCCAGCCCAGGCCTGTCTTCCCTGGCTGCTGAAGGTGGCCTCATGATTCCGCTCTAATTTTTGGTGTGTGTTCCTGCCCAAATGGGGTGTCTGATCTTGTCATGGCCAGCGTTTGCTGCAGAAGAGGACCTGGTACACTTTTATAGGAACCCAGTTCTTCCCTGGGGCTAGACTCTAATGCTGTCCAGATGCAGAAAAACAGAAGGGCCATTCAAAAACAACCGAAATATCAACACACTTTGAAAGCGGTCTGTTAGCACTTGCCATAAGCACAATAAACAAAACAATGAAACCATCAGAAAGCACCGTGAGACAGTCCGGCTTTAGGAACTTGGCTTTGATGGCTTAGAAAAGCAAAGAAAGGGGGCAGAACCAGTTCCCACTTGGGCTGAGGCTTGTTTATTCTGCTTATCTGAAGTCAGAGCTAACAATCCTCATCTCGATGAAAGGACCTAGAAGTTTCTCCCTCACAACTGGCCCCTCTGCAGAGTAAGGTGGCCTTCTGCAAGTGGTCAGTTTCTGCATGTGGCCCATAAAACACCCATTTTATAACATGACTCCGGTCTGTTGAAAGACCCTTGTTTCCTCTGTGTTCCATCAACAGATGAGTGAGCTCAACAAACAAGAGCATCTGCTGGAGCCCTTACCTGGGTGGGCTGGTGGGAGGGAACCCTGAGGCAGGGTTCCAGTTGCCCCCTCCTCAGCAGTTAGCTACCCTAACCCCAGGTGAGTCTAAGCAGCAACCGAGGGGGCTGTTGGTTCTGCCCAAGGCCCCACTGCTGAGACCTTTGTCCTGCTTTGGAGGGAGAGACCACTGGGAGAGAAATGTCACCCGTCATCCCAGCAGACACTGCACACTGTCTTCCAATCTGAGTTGCGGAGCTGGGGCTGGGGCTGTCCCCCCGGGTGAAATGAGGCCGCCTTTTCACCACAGTCACTCAAGGTTATTTCCCACTGTCTCCATGGCGCAGGCTTTGCTTAATTCCCGAAGTGGGTGCTGGCCAACTCATCTATCAAATTACCCTGCCAGTGATTTAAGTGAGCTTAGTTCATTTGGGTGCCGTCCTCTTGCCTTTTGACTCTTAGTCAAGCAAAATAGGGGATTAACCAAAGGGGCGTAGGGGGACTTGACGTGGCTGTCTGTTGCGGGAGGCTGGAGGGCACCAGAAGTCAATGTGCCCCAATGACAGGGTGACAGCCTGGGAGGCCCAGGACATGGGCTCCGGTGCTCTGCTGTGCCTTACAACCATAGGTCCCTGTCACGCATTCCCCCGCCTCCCGCAACACACACACGGTGGCCCTCAGTCTCCTAAGCCCCATGGGTAGATGAGTCAGAAGACTCTACTTTGTTCTTCCTTCCTAATTGAAAAAGGCGGGGAAAAAAACAGATGCCAGAACAAAGGCACTAAACATACCTAGAGCAGGAACTCTCCCTTCTCTGCTCCAGGCCTGAAGACTGCAGTCTGCTTTACCATCATCCTCTTTCTTCTCTGTAGAACACGTGCAGTGTCTGCCAGTTCAGTCTGAATCCAGCTGTTTCCCTGGAACAGACTGTTACCGATTCAGCAACAATCAGTAAAAATTTAATGTGCCCAATCGCCGCCCTTTAACTCCTTCCCACATCTGAACGGGTGGGGATAATCTTGAGACCCAACCCCCAACTTCCCCAGATGGCTTTCACTCTATTGTAAATGCCACTCCCAGCATGAAGGGCCTACCCCCTCCACTCCTGTCTGGCCGGATGGGGACCAAAACAGCAAAGCCCAAGAGACTTAGGGTCGGATGCCTTCCAGAGTGGCCACCTTTCCATTGATTGGCTTCCTGTGGCACAGAAACATCCATAGGATATGGATTTTTGGAGTGAGAAACCTGTGATTCAAACCCCATCTTTAGCCCACACTACCAGCCAGCCTCTCGACGGCTAATTCATCTATTGTAAGGACTAAAAGAGGTCATGTCTAGCCAGGACCAAAGCACAGCCCAGCACAGAGTACGTGCAATAAATATTAGCTGCTTTATTCTCATCTTTGCCGAAATTCAGCTGTCCATCAATCCACAGACAAGTATTTGTCAGACGCCAGTTAAGCGCCCAACACAATGGGAGTTCAAAGGATACAGATAAATAAATCAAGATCACTGCCTTGGAGGCACTCCCAGGATAATGGAGAAGATAAGCAGATCTTTAGAGACAGAAAATGCTTTGGCAACACAGAGTGACATTCTTATGGGGGCCATAGGGGCCTGTACCAGCTTAGAGTCATCCCCATGGTGCTGCTCCTTCTTGACTAGGTGACCGGGGATCAGTTACCTAACCCCTCTCAGTCTTGGGTTCCTCATCTGTAAAATGAGGAAAATAACATCTATCTCATCAGGCTGTTGTCAGGATTACATTAAATTAAATTAAATAATTCCATTGACTAATTTAATTTGATTTAAGTTAATTTAACATGACCCTTATCAGCTGTGTAACCTCCTATGGGAAATGTGGATAATAACTGACCTGTTAGCTGTATGTGGTGGGGCACAGCTGTAGTCCCAGCTACCTGGGAGGCTGAGGTGGGAGGATCCCTTGAGCCCAGGAGGTCGAGGCTGCAGTGAGCCATGACTGTACCTCTGCACTCCAGCCTGGGTGACAGAGTGAGACCTTGTCTCAAAAAATAATTATAAAATAATTGGCCTCCTTTGTAGGGATGTTCTACAGATTGTTTGTTAATACATATAAAGCTGTTATTACACTCTAGGATGTAAGTGCCCTGAGGGAAGGATTTTGGTGTGTTTTATGCACGGATACATTCCAAATAGAACAGGGCCAGGTACATAGTAAATAATACTAGTTTACTGAATGAACTGTTGAATGCCACAGGAGAACAGAGCCATTCCAAGAAGGCTTCCTGGAGGAGGCAATGCAGAAAGGTGAGCAGGAGTTATCTAAGCTGAGAAGATGGGCGGGGCTACTGCAGAGGAAATAGGCAGGAACCAGGACAGAGCACAGGGGAACAGGAAGCCTCAAGCAATCTAGTATTTGGAGAGTAAAAAGTACAAGTCAGGCAGGGGCAGGAGGTAGAGATTCTCTCCCAAATGGTCCAGTGGTTGATCTTAATGGGGCCAAACACAAACACACCCAAGATACATACCCAGGAGAAATGTGAGCATTTGGGAAAAAACAACTTCCATCGGCCCCTCCTGAGGCCTCCAAGTCACTGGGCCTGATTCAGGAGAGCAGAAATAGCATTTCCTGTGAGCCCTTCACCTCTGGGGAAGGTCCGGTCACAGGAGACCCTAACCCATCTGTCTGCGAGATTTCCAGCCCACTTGGAGAATGAGGCAACCATGCCTGTGAACTCTGACCCCATCAATCCCAGCAGGAGCTGGGGAAGAATTTACATCTTCAAAGGTCCTGCTAAATGTTAGCCAACAGCCTTCTCCCAGCCCCCAGCCCTCACCTTCTCACCCTCTGGGCCACCAGGGGTCAGGGACTAGGGTCACACCTGGCCAGGCCAGGTCAGGGCCCAGATTCCATCCAGCATCTCATCAGCAGAGCCATCCTGCTCCCTCCCTGCCACACCCCTTCCCCTCCACACCCACACTTGGACCCGGAGCTGGGAAGACAATGGCCACCGTGTAAGTGGCCTTCAGACAGACAGGGGCTCGGGCCGCCCACCCTGGAAAGAGTCCTGGGTCTTGGATCAAACCAGGGAGTGAGACAGGCCCCTGGACCAGGGTCAGCTCCAGAGACTGCCCCATCAAACAAGTTTCGGTGACCTCTCCCTGACCCCCAGTAAGCTCCAGTTGTTCCTCTGATCTCCTGGAGACGGGCAGACCTGTTAACTTTTACCAGACGCCTTTGACACGGGCACTAGGAAGAACCTGGGGGGGTGGTTTGCTCACGTGTCAGAGCTCGGGCCAGCAGTCACCCTGACCAGCTCCAGCCAGCCCTGGAGCTCAGGACACAATACCTGCCCCTTCTCATGGGCCACAGGAGTTGTGAGGACAGGGCTCTGGGCCCAGCAAGCCAAAAGGGGAGCCCAGGCCCCCAGGATCACCCCACACTGGCCACTGACTTGGGTCCCACCTCAGACTTCGATTTCCCCTGCAGATGACTCTCAGGACGTAATGGCCTCAGCTCACAGCCCTAAGCGGGGGCTGCCCTGGTGATTTTGCAGATGAGCATTTAAGAGCATCCCCCTAGAGGCAGGGGCTTGCTGTGGCAGACTGCAGCCCCGAGATCAGTGGCTCTGAGCTGCCACTGTGGACCTGGGTCCACGTGGAGACGATTTCCCAGCTGGTGCTGGTGAAGGGCCAGGGACAAAGCCATGGCACCTCCAGGCGTGCCTCACTGCCCTGCCTCTTCCATCCCACCTCCATCAAAGGTCCCCACAGCTTCTCCCTGCAGGGGAGCAAGCACTGGCAGGAATAGTAGACCTAAAGGCTCAGGAGCTCTGCCAATCATGAGCTGTGTGGCTTGGGAAAATCACTCAGCCTTTCTGTGCTTCAGTTTCCCCACTTGCAAAACAGAGTGAACAGAAGGTCTCCAAAATCCCTACGGTTCTACCTTCTCTGACCTCAAGATTCTTTCACCCCCCCCAATCCCTTTAAAACTCTTCTGTTCCTACCAAAGAACTTTATAGCCATGGGAGATTACCCAGCTTAAGCCCTTTATTTTAAAAATGAGATAGCTGGAATCATGAGCTGGGTGGCCAGGAGTGAGACGCCTCAGGGCAGAGCCAGGCCTGGAATCCAGGCCTCCTAGGACTTTGTTCTTTATGCCTGGCCTGCTCTAGGCTCACAATCCCCCCGGAAGCCACCTCCTCAGAAGGTGCACATCAAATTATTTGCCTGGCATCCAAGACTACCCACCCACTGGCCTGCCACTGGCCTGCTCTCTAACTGCCCCCGGGACCACCTCCCTCTCTAATCTGACTCACTTGCTGTCCCCAGCAAGTCCCAGGCTCAGTCTGGTCCGGGGCCTCTGCTCGGGAAGGCCCTGCACAGATCACCCCATGCCCTCCCCTTGCCTCAAAGCTTCCTCCCTAGCTGCCTCCCCGCCCTTCTCCCTGATCTCCCGCAGGCCCTGTCTCTGAGTCCTGCTTGCTCACTTCAGCTCTTCAGCCCAATCTTAAATGCACCCCACTTCCCGCCTTCTCTACACAGCCCACGGGCAGTGGGTTGCGTTGGTTAGGAGCTGCACACAGCGCCTGGCAGCCTGGGGTTGAATCCTGGCCCCACCACTCACTAGCCACACAGCCTTGGGCGAGCTACTGATTCCCTGGTGCCTCCGTTTCTTCTTATGAAAAGGGCGTAACGGGAGTTCTTAGTTCAGCCTGTCACTGTTAGGATGATCTCTGTAAATACATGCAATCACCTAAAACAGTGCCTGGCATGTAATGTGCGTGTGTGTGCGTGTGTGCATGTGTTACGTTTCATGCATATCTATTTCCCAACTGGACTATAAGTTTCTCTGAGTTCCAGTATAAAAATGTATTTCAGGCCAGGCTTAGTGGCTCACACCTGTAACCGCAGCACTTTGGGAGGTCAAGGCAGGAAGATTGCTTGAGCCCAGGAGTTCAAGACCAGACCAGCCTGAGCAACATAGTGAAACCTCATCTCACAAAAAAAAAAAAAAAAAAAAAAGATGTTTTAATTAGCCAGGCATGCTAGCATGCACCTGTAGTTCCAGCTACTTGGGAGACTAAGGTGGGAGGATCACCTGAGCTCAGGAATCTGAAGCAAAATGAGCTCTGATTGCAGCACTGCACTCCAGCCTGGGGGGACAGAACAGGCCCCTGTCTCTAAAATATATACATAGATATAAAAATAATAATGTACTTCTTGCTACCTTCTAGGACTGTGGTGATGCAAGTGAAGGAGGCATTCAAAACTGGATGGACAGTTCTATAAGAACCCTAGTGCTAGGGGTGGCTCAACACTGGGATGAACTAGCTTGGGATTGGAATGCCACCCATCAGCACAGCTGTAGGACTTCAGGACAGCACAGTCTCCCATCAGGGGATTTCCCAAGCCATGAAGATTCCCCTTAAAATTCTGAATGTCCCTTGCCATCTCCTACCCCCAAAAGAGCCCCTTACATAAATTCTGTTGCTCCACCTGCTCTGCTTGGTGCCCAGCCCCGCCCCTTTCCGCTCCCCACACCCCACAGACAAAAGGCTGTGGTTGATTGATGATGACAGTGACCCACCACTGACCCCTCCAACCCAGTCCCACTGCTGCCCATGAGGTGCTCAGTCCACAGCCTCCAGGGTTGTTTGAAATGCAGACCCCCACCCTATGGGGCTGTTGGTTTTCTTCCACGTGTGAAGTGGGATCTTTGATGTGTGCCCTACTGGGGTGTCTCCAAAGGTCTGGGTCCTGGGATCACTGCCTACAGCAGTCTACTCACCAGCCTGCCTTTATGTGGTTCAGGGCATGAGGCTAGACAGATCTGGGTTCCAATCCCGACTTTTGGGCACACTTACCAACTCTGTGCTTCTCCCATCTCTGAACCTCGGATTCCTTATTGTGAAGAAGAGACATAAGGTATAGCCCAGAGAATTACTGAAAGGTTTAAATTAGATAATACATAAAGCTTTGGCCACAAGGAGGACACATTGTAATCAATAAATGATTTTAGCCATAGTGAACAGGAGGAGGCTGAGGTGGAGGAGGAGGAGGAAGAGAAGAGGGAGGAGGAGGAAAGGGAGGAGGAAGAGGAGGAGGAGATTGAGGAAAAAGAAGAGGAGATGGAGGAGGAAGAGGAGGGGGAGAGGGAGGAAGAAGAATAAGAGATAGAGGAGGAAGAGGAGGAGGAGATGGAGGAAAGAGAAGAGGAGATGGAGGAAGAAGAAGAGGAGATGGAGGAAGAAGAAGAGGAGATGGAGGAGGAAGAGGAGGAGGAGATGGAAGAAAAAGAAGAGATGGAGGAGGAAGAGAAGGGGAAGGAGAAGGAGTAAGAGAAGGAGGAGGAGGAAAAGAAGGAGGGGGAGGGGGAAAAGAAGGAGGAGATGGAGGAGGAAGAGGAGGAGGAGGAAAAAGAGGAGAGGGAGGAGATGCAAGAGGAAAAGAAGGAGGAGGAGGAAAAGGAGGAGGGGGAGGAGATGGAGGAGAAGGAAAAGGAGGAGGGGGAGAAGATGGAGGAGGAAGCGAATGCAGAGGGATGGAGATGGAGGAGAGGAGGAGGTTGTTGTAATCATGGAAAGGCAGGGAGTTGTCTGTGAGGACTCACTTTGACTCCATTCTGTCCTTCTTCTTCTTCTTATACTAACCCCCTTGATCTTCCTTTCCCTAGAAGAGGGGCATGCCAAGCGTCTTCCTTTTGCATGCACACACACACACACACACACACACACACACACACAGAGCATGTTACCAACAGCTTTTTATTTAACTTTCTCCCTGCCCAGAGCTTCTCTTCACTGACTGTCTGGGACAAGCCAGCGCCGTGGAGCTGTCTCTTTTTCATTTCTCAGCCTCACTGGCCATTCCAGGTATCTGCTGATGGGGCTCTTGGCCCTTATAGCCAAGCTGCCCAAGACTTGACTTGCTCTTTTTACCAAAAAAAAAAAAAAAAACTATTTCCACTAAACCACTGAGCATTTCATATGTCGTAATTTTAAAGCCACTTCTTTACTCATTTCTTCCGTTTATTTGCCTAGTCCTCAAGAAATATTTGCTTGATGTGACTTCTTGGAACCAAATGTTGGTACCCAACTGAAAGGGATGGAGCCCTCCGAACTTGGAAGTTCCGCTGAGGATGAGGGCGGCCGCCATTTTGAAACGAACAGACTCCAAAAGCACGCTCCACTGGGCCTGCCCCTGCGATCTTAAAACAGATGTCCGTGAAATGTGACCCATGAATAGCAGTTATCTGGAGAGAGAGCTCTGAAGCTGATGAAACCATTAGAGCCACTGAAGGCACCTGGTAAATGCGATGCGGGGAGTACAGAAGAGAGAATCAGAAACACACCGGCACTCTCATTCCCATGAGGCCACTTACAGTGGGTAAAACGTCGCTTGAGAAGAGCGGGTAGGTGGCTGGGGCAAGCAGGAATGTAGAATCGTGTTTGCATTTGAGAGGAAAGAAGGGTTGGCCTACCGCAGAGTTCCAGCCCCATGGCCATGCATTCTCTCTCCACCACTCTCTCGCTAATCTCTCTCTCCCTCCAGATATACCTCTCTTTCTTCCTCTGTCTCCTCCCAGCCTCTTTGTCTCTTTCTACTCTCCTCTTCTCCCCGTTGACCTACCTCTGAGTTCCAGCCCAGCCCCACAAGCCCCACATTCTCTTTTTCTCTTCCCTCCTCCTCCTTCTCCTCTCTCTCTCTCTCTCTTAGGCCTCGCTCATGGGGACTTTAATGACAAGAGAAACCAGACTTTGTATACTCTTCATGGTAAGAGAATGAGGAGGGACAGATGAAAGCCGAGGATAAAAGAACGTTGCAAGGCTAGAATGAGATAACCCCATTAAAGAATGTCCATAAACATCTCTGAAAAACACCTTCCCCTGGAAAGGCAATGGTGGGGGAAGAGATTTTTTCAGGCCTCGATTCCAGGAAGCTCATAGGACAAAGAGATTTTTTTCCCTGAAAGAACTCCAGAGATGCAACTGCCTCTCTACTCTCCCGTCTCCACATCCCAGGATGTTCAGAGCAGGGACAATGGGGCCTTGATGGGGAGAGGGTCTGGGGGTGAGGAACTTAAAGAACTGAAATATAGAGACCCTAAGCAGAAGCACTCATCTACTCCCCCTGGAGCAAAATGAACCCGGGGAGGGGGAGGAGAAAGAGGGTGGGGGGAGCTTTCCAAGCCGAAGGAGTCGCTGAGTTAAATTACAGGGGCCTGGGAGGGATGATTAACAGCTCTCATGGTTTTCTGCTTCACAGCCATTACTCACGCTAAACCTGAGGCTTCTCGGTTACATAGCCCAGCGCGGGCCGACCATTTTTTCCATTGACTGAAAACACATTCCGACTGAAAACAAACTTTGGATCCCCAAGGCTTGGCAAGCCCTGGGTCCTCCTCCATATTTAATCAACGGGAAGCTAAACACTTTCAATCTGTGATGGCTCATTTGGACGGGGTCTCGGGGCTTTTGCTTGGTGCCAGATATAATAACTCTCCTTTCTCTTTTCTAAGGCCTATTTTATAATTTTGCTGTTTTTCAATGTCAAGCCCATCTTTTGAAGAATTTTTATTGGATTTCCTGCTAGACTTCAACGAGGATTTTTCTTACTTTGGCAGAAATATCAAGCAGAACAGGGGAAAAACTCAATCGTCATCTTGGAAAGTCGCGATGGCGTGTGTGTGTGGAGGGGAGAGTCCTTTGTTTGCACACAAACAGGTTTCTGGAAGGCTAGAGCCCCAGTTGCCAGCTTCGAGGGGCCCTCTAACTTCTGAGTCATGGGGTGAAAGTTGACATGGCAAGGCAGATGGATGTGGGAAGAGAGAGGAAGTTGGAACAGGATAAGGAGAGAGGCGTGAGTGTGTGAGACGGCTCAGGGCAGTTAAGATTCTACTCTCGGCCCAGGGCACAAACTCTGACACTGCCAGGCACAAAAACTGCTGGGACATTGAAGGCCAGGGAGACAGTGCCCACTCAGGGGGCAGCGGACAGACTCTTACCCAACAGCATGGCCCCCTCAGAGCTGGCAAAACCCCAAGAAGGGGCAGGAAGGCCCCGTCCCAGAGGCTGCCATTCTACTAGCATAGCCGTGGCCTGTGTGCCTGCTCAGGGCAATGCTGAGATCTTTAATTTTTCTTCACAGAGATTAATCCCCAGAGGAAGCAGCTTGCCAGTGAATGACAGCTTTTGTTTGCTCATGTTTTCCTCTCCTCCCAGAGTCAACTTTCAGAATATACCAGGATGTTCCCTCTCACTTGACTTTCTTTTCTTTTCTTTTCTTTTCTTTTTTTTTACTGGAGGAGAGGGGAGGCTCCACAGCATATTATCCAAAGGCGAGGCAGATGGTTCTTTGTCCAATAGTGAGAGAGGGGAGAGAGGGGCCATTGGTCTTCTCTTTTTGTGTTTTACGTTTTTACTTCTCATGTTGAGATGTTGTAACGGCACTTCATACCTCCTCGGCCGCTGTTGTCTTCACAATGCACAGAACATGTTCCATGTCATGTCATCTTGCTCTTCCCACACAACTCTTCTGTGGGGCAATACTGGTTTTGGAATTGCCATTTTAGAAGTGAGCAAACAAGACTCAGATCAAGTGACCCAGCTCAAGTCTCATGGGCAGGAAGTGGACAAACCAAGGTCTGAACCAAAGTGAGTGCTTTTTCTACCAGGCTACAAAATGGAATGTTGCAGGGAGCTGCCTGCCCAGTGAGTGAGTCCTCTCCTCTCCCTGTGCTGGGTAGAGTTCTCAGTGTAGATTCCCTGGGGCAGAACACACTGAGAGTTGCATGGTGATTTTTACCCCATCCACCAACTGCATATCAAAGTCTCTGCAGGCTAGATTACGAGACCAGGCGTCCAAAGCATCTAAGCCACTGCTCCCCACTCCTTCCACTTCCAGTGGCAAAAAGGACTCAAATAGACTCAATCCACAAACGTTCTGTGGAATACCCACTCAGGGCTAGAATATTGAGGGATTTGGTGCAAGGAAAAGATACCCTCCCTGCTCTTAAGGAGTTTACAGTCCAGATGAGGAGACAAAGCAGAGAACCCTATATCATTACAACTGCTAAGAACCTTGGAGATCAGCCATCTAAACCCCGTGTTTAGCAGTAAGGATATGGGACAGTTCAGGGAACCGAGGAGTGGATCAAGAGGGGCAATAGGAAACAGTGTTGCGTTTCATGCTGAAGAGTACAGTGGGGCAACTGGCGCGGTGGCTCACACCTGTAATCCCAGCACCTATGGAGGCCAAGGCAGGAGGATCACTTGAGCCCAGAAGATTGAGACCAGCCTGGGAAACATAAGGAGACTGTGTCTCTATAAAAAAATATTTTTTAAAAAATTAGCCAGGTGTGATAGCGTGTACCTGTAGTCCCAGCTACTTGGGAGGCTGAGGGTTGGAGGATGGCCTGAGCCCAGGAAGTCGAGGCTACAGTGAGCCATGATCATGCCACTGCACTCCATCGTGGGCTACAGAGGGAAACCCTGTCTCAAAAGAAAAAAAAAAGAGTGTGGTGGGGTCTGCAAGCTGGTCAGAGAATGCTAATTGGTCCAGACACACTCTAGGAGAACATAAAATTTGGTCTCCATCTTGAAGCATATATAGCACTGAATAGATGGACAGAAAGACAGGTGCCACAAAAGCAGAAGGAAGAAGGCAGACTGAAGTCTAGTGTGCCTGCGGGACAGTGAGGGGCTGGAGTCGAGAGAGAGGGAGGAGAGGAAAAAACCAAGGCTGAAAATTTGGATGAAGCCAGACCCTGGAGGATCTTCAGCAGTCAGGAGGAACATGCATGCAAAGCCAGAAAGAAGATAGTTGATGGTCAGGGTTTCAGGGCTTGCTGACCAATGAAACCCTGGTCCTGTAATTCTGTAAGCTCCAGACCATTTCCTCCACAGCCACACCTACCAACCCATCTAAATTGACAGCCCCGGAGGCTGGGGGCACACGGAGGTCCCACTGCGCACTATTCTGTGAGTCTGGATTGAGTAGCACTGCCACGGGGTTCACCTAGCCCAACACATTCAGGTCATCCGGCCGCACACCCACAGTCCACCCTTTTCTCATTCCTGCAGCCACCACCTCCATGTTTCTGTGAGCTCCCCAACCCCAGGCCCTCCTCCCTGGCTCTCCAGGACGCCCCAGGCAAGGACTGGTTTGTCCAAGCTGGAAGAGCAAAGAGTGAAAGGGCCAGGGAGGAGGAGGCTGCTTTGGGGTCAGTAGGAGCTCACATTGGCAGACTAGGACATCAGAGAGGAACCCCTTTCTGCAGGACAGCAGAGACACAGTGAATGGACATCTGGGGCCAAATTCCTCCAGCGCACGGGGACCCTGAGGGCACGAAAGCCAGAAAGAGGACCCCGCTGTGTCCCTGGCCTCCTACTGCACACTCCTGTGGCTTGAACATCTCCATCAGCTGTTGCTTTTTTTTACCTTGTACCTCACTTTACCCATTTTAGCCTAAAAACAAGAACGTCTGCCCTCTTCCTTCTTAACCAAGACTGAGATGAGGACAAGTCAGACCCTTCAGACCCATCGTTTCAGGGACCAGGTGTGGCAGCTGTTGCAGCTAAAACTCACAATGACCATAGTAATGTCATCGTTCCTCTGCTTCCAAAAACAAAGCCTGTCTGCGTTCATTAACAGCCCTTTGTTCTTCTAGCAGCTCCAGCCTGAATGAGAAGCACGTCCTCCTGGGAGTTACGTCAGCAGCCTGACCTTCCATCTTCCTCCTCTAAAGAAGCGTCCCTGCCACCCTGAGCACGAAGCCCTCGGGTTCCTAAAGGCCGAGGCGCTTCTTCTCATTTACTTCCCTTGAGGAAGAAAGACCAGCCCATCCACCCTCATTTCCCACCGAAGGGCATCGCAAATAAAGTTTGCCCACGCAACCAGGCCACCACCATTAATTTCTCTCTGCCCTGCTCTTACATTCTCCTCAAGGTTTTCAGTCCCCTAGAGAGGCTCCCTTCCCTCTTTTCTTTCCTTCCTCCAGCCCCCCTTTTCACCTCCCTCCACCATTGTTTGAGGTTAAGAAGCATGCTACGGTGTTCTATAAATCACTTGGCAAGAGTAGACGACAAAAGCAAAATATAATTCAGATTAAAGTCATCCTCCCGCTGAAATGATAGTTTCTTAAATAAATGGCGATGCTGCCTATCAATCTTGCTGGCAACTGGTCCTCTCATATTCATCTTTCTGGGGGTGATTTAGGATCCACCTGGGTCCTCCGAGAAGATTCTCCCATCATTTCCTTCCCGTCTCTCTGGATCTTGCTGCTGGGCTTGGCGCAGTTGACAAATTCTCCAAGTAATCCCTCAAAAGATTGGAGAAATGCTCCGAACGCTCCATTAAACTTATTTTCCATGCTTTAAGAGACCCAAAACTATGTCCAATAAATAAGTGTTCCCTGTGATTTACTGAAATGCTCCTCTGATTTAAAGTTATAGAGGGAAAAATATGGCGCCCCTGGGAGGGAAGGACCAGCCTCACAAGTGAGACCAGATGTGAGATTTCTGCCCGGGGAGGGGAGAAGAGGGGGAAAAAACAACCCAAGTGGTGGAGGTTTGAAAGTGACAATGTCTGAACCCAGGCTCTCGGCTTTAACATAAAAGGTCCCCAGTTGAACATTCTTTCTCACAAAATTTATTGTGGTTGTAGTTAGAGGGGGAACCATCAAAAGAGTAATTCTGGCCCTTGTTTTGCAGAGCTCTTTTGATAAATATGATACTTAGAAATATGCCTCCCACTAGACAGAAAAGCCATATAGTTAAAATGAAGTAATCTGTCAGTAAACTCGCTAGAATCAAAGCCAAAATGAAACCTGTAAAAGGAGAAGGGGGAAAAAATCTCCACTTAGAAACGTTTGAGTCAAGCAGGGGAGAAGGTAGAGATTAAGAATTGTCCTTTATTCAGATATTTTTATCTACGGAGTTAAAAGCGGAGATTTATTTTTAAAAGGGGCTATTTATGTTCCAATCTCCAACAGATGGGTCTGTGTTCCTGCCTCGCTCATGCAGCTCAGGCTCAGCAAAAAAACAGCTTCTCTTCTGAGCTGAAACTTACCCAAAAGAAGGAGGAATAAAAACTTTGGGAAACAAATGTAACCTTTGGAGCTGCTTGGTAAATATTGGAACTGTTTACTATGGAGGCCCAGATGTGTCAAAACCAAGAAACAAACAGGAACCAGCAAAAACAGATGTGAAGACTAGACATGTATACATATTAACCATGTATTACATATGCATATGTGTGCACACGTGTCACTCATGTACTGATTCCCAGAGGGCTGGATAACTTCGGCCAAGAAAATTCCCACTGGGGAAGAGACATCATCCATAGGTTATCCCAAATAGTTCTATCTTAGGAGTCCACTTCTCTGAGTCTCTCTTCACGTGATCAATCACTTGTTTAGAAAATATTTCTCATGGTCAATAACAGAAAATTTTTACATTAGCTCCACTAGTGAAATTACCCTCAAAGCATTTCTTGCACCAAAAGAAACCAGACTCCATGGCTGCATCAGCGACTGGGCTAGCCACTCTGGAAACAGGTTCCCAAGCCTTCAAGAGCTGCCAAGCCATCCCAGAATAAAGCGCCCCTCCTCACCGAGCAGCAGGCTCTGGTCTGTGCAGCTTCCACAAGGCCTGATCCCAGGAAAAGCCTTCCTGCTTCCCAGGGACTTCCCCATTCCTGTCCCCAAAACAACGCCTGAGGCTGTCAGCCTAGAGAAGGGGAAGTCCCCACCACCCCGTCCCAGGATGCGAGGCAGGAAGACATTTACCCCACCTGCGGGACAAAAAGATTAAGGCCCACGGTGTGTATACAGCCTCGGGCCAATTACAGTTTTCAAATTCTCCCACTCCCTCCACTGGCATTTGTCCTAGAGTGAAATGTGCCTAAAATGAAGAGGAGAAAGACAGAGGATAACAGAAGGGTGTCAGGGAAGGAGTCTTAAATATCAGATGACCCCAAATCTGACCCTGGTTCTGCAATAAAGTGTCTATGTGACCTGAGACCAGTGGCTTCACCAACCGGAACCCCAGTTTCTTCCATCTGTGGTGAAGCGTTGAACCAAATGACCTCCTGCTTCTCAGACTCCCAGAGATGGTCCCTTTCTCAGGCCCCAGGGCCTCCCTCCCTCCAAGGCACCCCTGCAGGTCTGGACAGAGTTGGAGGGTGTGGGGTTGGAACGGCACCTGTGTTTACAATGGTACAATCTGCAGTTTACTGTAATAAAATCATTTAATACATTCATAATTTTTTTGGCAAGGGGTTGTGTTTATGGTGAGCAAGACAGAGAGGGAATGATTGACTAGGACTGATTAAAACGATAAATCAAAAACGAAGGCGGGAGGACATGAAGAGCGCAAAGCCACAGGCAAATCCAATTTAAGTCTCAGGCTCGGTGTCTTTGTGGGAACAGCTTGGCCTGAGGATGAGCCAGCCCTGGGGGTGGGGGCCCCGGGCCAGGGTGGGAGTGATGGGGCACAGAATCTGGCAGCTCAACCCAACAGGGTTTATCTTCACCGGGCTGAGAAATAAGGAAATGGTTTTACAAGAACTCATTTCCTTGGGCCTCTGTCTTCAAAAGGATTTAGGAGGGCTGGAGAATAAAGGAGAGTGTGTGTGTGTGTCACATACGTGTGCATCCAGGTAGAATAATTTGAGCAAGACCTAGAGGGACTTTCCAGAATCAAAATTATCTTTAAAGAAAAAAACGATCCTTCAAGTAAAGTATCTGAAACTCCACTGCTAGCAAGGATTAGCAAACACTTCTGACCTTGCAAATGCTGTCCTTCAATAACTGAGTGCCTACTGCATGCCAGGCACTGTGCTGGGGCAGAAACAGATTGTTCACTTAACGAATAATGAGCAAGTCCAAGCACTGTCCTAGGCCCCAGGGATAGAAGAGTGAAAAAAGAATCCCCGACCCCATGGAACTGCTCTTGTGGGCATTTACCTCCTTGTGAATTAAGCACTATGTTTGCCCCTGGAAAAACAGGCTTCCAGTCAACAGTTGTTTATACAACAGTGTGATAAATGCTATAACTCAAAGGTGTACAAAGGGTCATTAATACTGAGGGGTTGAATTCTGATCCAGTCTTTATTATTATTATTATTCCACCCTTCTCACTCCCCGACCTCACTGTTCCATCACTCCCCACCCTGCTTCCATATGGACCCATTGTTTAACTCCCACATATAAGTGAAAACATGAGGTATTTGTCTTTCTGTGTCTGAGTTGTTTTATGTAGTGTTCTCCAATCCCACCCATTTTGCTGCAAAAGACCTGAATTCATTCTTTTTTATAGCTGAATACTATTCCATTGTGTATATATGCCACATTTCCTTTATCTAGTCATCCATCGATGGACACTCAGGTTGATTCCACAGGCTGATTTGCTATCATGATTTGCTATCATGAATATTGCTGCGATAAACATACGCATGCAGGTATCTTTTTGATATACTGATTTCTTTTCCTTTAGATAGAAACCCAGTAGTAGGATTGCTGAGTTGAACGGTGGTTCTATCTTTAGTTCTTTAAGAAATCTCCGTAATGTTTTTCATCCAGGTTGTACTAATTTACATTCCCACCAACAGTGTATAAAGTTTCCCTTTTCTCCACATCCTCTCCAACACCTGTTTAGGGTTTTTTTTATTTTGTTTTGTTTTGTTTTGTTTTTAACTTTTTAATAATCTGAGCTGGGGCTGGGCATGGTAATCCCAGTAATCCCAGCACTTTGGGAGGCCAAGGCAGGAGGATACTTTGAGGTCAGGAGTTTGAGACCAGCCTGAGCAACATAGTGAGACCCCATCTCTACAAAAACTAAAACATTAGCTGGGTGTGGTGGCATGCACCTGTGTGGTCCCAGCTACTTGGGAGGTTGAGGCGGGAAGATCGCTTGAGTCCAGGAATTTGAGGCTACAGTGAGCTATGATCACACTACTGCACCCCAGCCTGGGCAACAGAGCAAGACTCTGTCTCAAAATAATAATCGTAATAATAATAATGTGAGCTGGATCTTAAAGGGTAAGAAGAATCGCCCTTTCACAGCCAGAAAAGAACAGTGCTCCAGACAGAGGTCACTGCATTAGTGAAGGCATGGAGCTTTGGAAGGGCTTCTATTGGGAAGGGAGAGAAACCAAATGCCTAGGAAGGGCTAGGTATTACGTTGCTTGTCTGGTTACCAGCTAATTCCTTGGTTAGTTATTTAACAGCTCTCTGAGAGCACGTCTTCAAAAAAAAAAAGAGGTCAGGAGCCTGGGAATTGGAAGGCTGCGGGGAGATGGGTTGGATAGAGAAGTCAAGACAAACTTCAGTTACTTCACAGCTTTGCATAGGATGGTGTGGTAGAAAAAACTACTGACCACCAAAGATTCATGCTCCCCCAACACCATGTTGAGTTGCTTCTGGGGAGCAGATGCCCAGTCTACAATTTTCACCACCCACACCCACAACCCAGCCCATGCAGCTAGTGCGATCCACACGACTGGGTCTCACCAATGGAACATGGGCGTAAGGGTCATGCATCATGTCCAGGCCAACATGGTGTTAGTCTCCAGTGTGCTGTCTCCCCGTCCACAGAGACCGCGAAAGTATCCAATGTACTCCCTGGATAGAGACCTCTCCATGAGACTTCAGAAGCCAGGTGTTAAAGATGGTGTCATCACAAAATGGCAGCAAGGAGCTGTTCAGGGAGCCACCTTGTGATCCCTGAGGTAGGAGTATAACCTCATGGTGAGGCAGCACCTTCAGCAGAGGGCAAGTTCTGGAAAAGGAAACACAGCTATGAATCATCTACAGAGAATAAACCTGCAGCTGCAGGCAAAGGAGTTTATGGAAGGAGCTGAAGGGAGCTGCATGGAAGATAGACCACAGCAGCCACCGCAGTCCACAGTCCACAGTCCACAGTGCTGCTGGGATTCATTCACTTAGTCTAAGTCACGCCACCTGGGAACAGTTCCTGCAGGATTTCATTGGATCTCCTTTCCTAGAGAAATCAAACTCCAGTCCCAACTGTTACAACCAATACTCACCATCCCCCTCCTCTACTACCTATTCTAAATGCCCCTCAGCCCCCGCTACTGATCTAGTGGCTTACTTGGTGGGGTGACCCAAACCCACATCTTTGAGGGGACTGAGCCCAGGGTCACCGCGCCCTTCTCAGGATATGGCTGCTGTACTTGTCCATTTCCTATCAAAATTGGACGGGGGAATGCCATGAGACATCCCGGGGACAATCATATTCTTCCCTGGCCCCTGTCATGTGTCAGCAGCCCTAGTCGCCTGATCATTGGGGCCAATTGCACCTGACAGATTGGTGACATCTGTCCCAGCTTTCTCATCTCTTGGCATAAGGAGCCTGAAGTGGCCAGGCATTGGTCATAGCTAGAGCTGACTGGGATTCTTGAGTTACTCCCCATCTAGGAAGCAATACCTTTAGCCCCACATGACATTGAGAAGAAGAAATTCCTCACATGTGTCCAAGGGGATGGTGGTAAGCAGGGTCACTTTTACTTTCAGCTTTTAGCTTTTGGTCCAATATATCCTACCTGTTAGAGACACTGCAGAGCAGTCATTAACATAGGGTGCATAATGCATCCAGGAGAAAATAGTTTATCTTCACAGGGCAGTATTTCCACTAGCTCCTCAGCTACGCCTTCAAAAAGGGTGATTCCGGCCAGGTGACTCATGCCTGTAATCCCAGCACTTTGGGAGGCCAAGGTGGAAGGATCACCTGAGGTTAGGAGTTCGAGACCAGCCTGGGCAACATAGTGAAACCCCATCTCTACTAAAAATACAAAAAATTAGCCGGATGTAGTGGCAGGTGCCTGTAATCCCAGCTACTTGGGAGGCTGAGACAGGAGAATCGCTTGAACCCAGAAGTCATAGGTTGCAGTGAGCTGAGATTGCACCACTGCACTCCAGACTGGCGACAGAGCGAGACTCTGTCTCTAAAAACTAATAATTTAAAAAAAAAAAGAAAGAAAGAAACAGCTTTTTCTTCAAGTTTCCTACAACTTCCACACATACTTCTCTACATTTTTAAATAGAGGTGAAAAATTATGGAGCATTAATTAATGTTTGCTTTACAATCATGACTCCCAAGATTACTGAGCTAAATGTTTCCAGAGTTCCTGTGTCAGCTTTTTATAGTTTCTCTGTCTCCATGCTTAAGGTTGGTCACCTCTGATTGTGTCAGTGTGATCTGCTTAGATCAGCCTTTAATTTGTTGTTTCTAAATGCAGTGGGCTTGGAAACTAAATAGCCAACCATGCTGGGATTGTGTGTTAAATAATCTTAACTAGATTCAAGCAAGGGTCCCCACCTTGAGAGATCTATGAACCTTTAGTGCATGTATTCATTCCACAGTAATTTATCAAGTATGCAGTATGTGCTACTAGGTGCTGGGGATATAGCAGGAAACAAAATAAACATAAAATCCCTTCCTTCATTGGGTTTACATTCTGCTGGGACCAAGGAAAATCGGAGGCATTTATTTTACATACGCAAATGCTGATTTTGGTCACTTACTTGTTCCCTACTGTGTTCCACAGGGGTGGGATTGGTAGATAGTTGAGTGCCCCACGGGTGATATGTTACTGCTCTACTGGCAGTAAATACATGGTTTCTGCAGTACTATTAATAACACAAAGCTCACTGGACGCGCTGGCTCACACCTGTAATCCCAGCACTTTGGGAGGCCAAGGCAGGTGGACCACCTGAGGTCAGGAGTTCGAGACCAACCTGACCAACATGGTGGAACCCCGTCTCTACTAAAAATATGAAAATTAGCTGGGCGTGGTGGCGCATGCCAGTAGTCCCAGCTACTAGGGAGGCTGAGGCAGGAGAATCGCTTGAACCCAGGAGGCAAAGGTTGCAGTGAGCTGAGACTGCACCACTGCACTCCAGCCTGGGCAACAAAAGCAAAACTCCATCTCAAAAAAAAAAAGAAAAAAGAATAACACAAAGCTGATAGAGAGTTATTAGTTCTATAATTCCGACATATTGTGAATCAAATAGGCATTACTGGGCTGGGCTGGGAACTTCACTACCATCTATACCCCGATTTCCACAGGCAAATGTATTCCAAGTTCCAGGCAACTGACTTTCAAATGAACTTTTGGAACAGAACTCATTTGTAAGTTCCAGACTGCCTGTACTTCGCTATAAATGCACCGAACAGCCGGAGCATATTCGACCTAAGGGTTAGAAATGCGAATGTTGGGATAGGAGTTATTTCCCCATTCACTAACGTGGATGCCTCAGGTGACCCACCGACTCCCTCTGAATTTCAGTTCAGACCCTCATCTACTGGGTTTCACTAAGATTTTATTAAATAGACAGGAGTTCTGGTATTTTAAAAGTTCGAAGAACATTATTTAAAAGAATCACTAAGTATTTCTCAAAGCCATGAATAAATAAGGGAATGAAATGAATGAATGGGGAAACTTTCCTGACATTCCCAACACACCTCAAGTGATGTCCCGAAATGAAGAACATTTCCTGGAGGATTGCTTTCTCTTTTTCACTGTGGCTTCTGATCCAAACATTTGTGACAGAAATAGAATGAGTGCCATCACTTCTGGCGATCCCAATGGAGAATCTGGGCTTTGGCAAGACCCAAAAGAAAGAGGCATTTTAGGGGCCGGGCTCGGTGGCTCATGCCTGAATCCCAGCACTTTGGGAGGCTGAAGCGGGCGAATCACCTGGGGTCAGGAGTTCGAGACCAGCCTGGCCAACATGGTGAAACCCCATCTCTACTAAAAATACAAAAATTAGTTGGACGTGGTGGTGGGCGCCTGTAATCCCAGCTACTTGGTAGGCCAAAGAGCGAGAATCGCTTGAATCCAGGAGGCGGAGGTTGCATTGAGCCAAGATAGCGCCACTGCACGCCAGCCTGGCGACAGAGATCCTGTCTCAAAAAAAAGAGGAAAGAAGTGTTTTACAGGAGCCAGTCTGACAGATTATCAAGGCTGGGAATGGACGGAAATGGCTGAGCAGCATGCACTTGTTTGGTTTTTTAAAAAGGAAGCAAACGTGATGCTCAAGAAGAAAATCAAACCAAGAAACAAGCTTCACAAATAATCACTCACCTCCTCCCCAGGGCCAGAACAAGTTTCACTCATAGCTGTAGAAAAGACTCCCTTCTCCTGACTTCCAGGGGGTGGTGCAGGTGTGCAGCCAGCCCTGCTGGGAAGCAGTGCTAGTGCCTCCCAGCTTCTATGACAGGCAGCTGCCAAAGACCCCAGCCCCGAATCTCAAAGTCACATTGTGCTAGGGATGGCCTTTCTCCCACTGCCCTCTCTTCTTCAGCCCCACCCCTGTCCCTCACCCCTGCCTGCCTTTCTGGGAAGGAGGATGGTTTCAGGGAAATGCAGGCACCCCAAGGCCTTTCTTTGTGTAGGCTACATTAATGAGAAACTCAGAGAAGAAACTCTAGGAGACCTACGGAGCTGTCACCAAGTGCATGGGGAGGGAAGATTTATGTTGAGGACCAGGATGTGAACATACCCATGAATTATCCTTCGTGCCAAGGTAAATTGGATGGAGAAAAATATGTGTCAAGGAGGCAGAGACTGGGCTTGCCCGCAATCCTCATAGCACCTGGAGAAAGAGGGTCTCACTTAAATTCACGTAACTACAAAACTATCTGAAGCCAATGACTCTTCCAGGCTTTCTTGAATAAGAATAACTAGCATGGGTTGAGTACTTCTTGTGCTAAGTATCTTACTTGCATTAACCTTCCAAAACTCTATAAAGGTCAGTATTATAACTCTCCCCAAGTCAGAGATGAGTAAACTGAGGCACAAAGAGGTTAAGTAACTTGTCCAAGGTCACACAGCCAGGAGTGTGTGACCTGGCTCTGGTCTAAAGTGAGTATTTAACATAGAGGCACTCATTTCATCTCAATTACAACACAATAAATCATCTACCATTATTACATTTTACAGATGTTAATAGCTAACACTTTTGCACTAACTATGAGCCAGGTATTGTTCTAAGGACTAAGCAAAAATGTGCACACACTCTTTCCCACCATACTACATCATATTGTACCCATGGGAAGTACATAGAAAACTTTGAAGTAAGGAGGAGGGGGCCGATGCGTCCCCTCTCCCCTTAGAGAAGGACACATCCCTTCTCCCCCAGTGGCAGTTACCAGCATTCAAGAGCAAGACTACGGCGACCTTTAGAAACAAGAAACTTGCTCTTCATGATCATGCAAAAAAGACTCAATACTTTCTGTGGAGTCTCAGCAGCCTCTAAGAGGAACAGAAACCGGTGAACGCAAGTGCTGTGGCTACTTTTTGTTTTTAAACTTTTCAGGGGTAACCACTGTGAAACTTGGAGTGTATTTCCTTCCGTCTTTTTCTATGCATCTATAAATAGACCATAGATTTGTAGAGATACATTTTTATATTCTATCTTATTCACTTAGCATTATCTCACAACCATTTTCCTCTTTCTGGGAGGGAATGGGATGTAGTGGTTAAGACCACAGGCTAAACCATCAGAAAGCTTAGGTTCAAATCTTGGCTCTGACACTCTGTGACCTATCAATTCACTGGGACTTAGCGATTTTTTTTTCTACTTTTTTCAGTCTTATTAAGGTATGATTGACAAATTTGATTGGCATAACAGCATAAAATTGTTGAAAAATGATAAATAAAAAGAACCAAACATACTGCCTTTCCTACATGAGCTATATATCAAGCTAACCAAAGAGTTGGTGAGGAAAGCACTTCTTTTTTTTTGTAAACTTTTAAGTCCAGAGATACATGCACAGGTTTGTTATATAGGTAAACTGAACGTCACGAGGGTTTCATGTAAGATTATTTTGTCCCACTGGTAATAAGCATAGCATACGATAGGTAGTTTTTTCTGACCCTCTTGTCAGAGGCTTCTGAACCAGAGCACCTCCATCTTGAATAGATGCTGGGTAAAATGAGGCTGAGACCTACTGGGCTGCATTCCCAGGAGGCTAAGGCATTCCAAGTCACAGAATTAGATAGGCGGTCAGCACAAGATACAGGTCATAAAGACCCTGCTGATAAAAACAGGTTGCAGTAAAGAAGCCGGGCAAAACCCACCAAAAGCAAGATGGCGACAAGAGTGTGGTCAGCCTCACTGCTCATTATGTGTTAATCATAATGCATTTGCATGCTAAGAGACACTCCCACCAGGGTCATAGCAATGTACAGATGCCATGGCAACATCAGAGAGTTACCCTATGTGGTCTAAAAAGGGAAGGAACCCTCAGTTCTGGGAATTGCCCACCCCTTTCCCAGAAAACTCATGAATAATCCACCCCTCGTTTAGCATATAATCAAGAAACAACTATAAAACTGGGCAACCAGCAGCCCTCGGGGCTGCTCTGCCTACAGAGTAGCCATTCTTTTCCTTTCTTTTCTTCCTTAATAAACTTGCTTTCACTTTATGGATTCACCTCAAATTCTTTCTTGTGCGAGATCCAAGAACCCTCTTGGGGTCTGGATTGAAACCTCTTTCCAGTAACATCTTTCGCCCTCCTCTCACCCCACTTCTTTTTTTATTTATTTTTAAAGATTTAGGGGTACAAGTGCAGATTTCTTACATGCATATATTGCATAGTGATGGTGCCTGGGCTTGCAGTGTACTCATCACCCAAACAGGGAACATCATACCCAATAGGTAATTTTCAACCCTCACCCACCTCTCACCTTTTGGAGTTTCCAGTTTCTATTATTATTCTCTATATGTTCATGTATACACATTGTTCAGCTCCCACTTATAAGTGAGAATAGGTAGTATTTGACTTTCTGTTTCTGAGTTATTTCACTGAGGATAATGGCCTCCACTTCTGTCCATGTTGCTGCAAAAGACATGATTTCATGCTTTTTCATGGCTGAGTAGTATTCCATTTTATATATACCACATTATGTGATCCAATCATCCACTGATGGACATATAAGTGGATTCCATGACTTTGCTATTGTGAATAGTGCTGCAACAGACATACAAGTGCAGGTATCTTTATGATATAATAATTGCTTTCCCTTTGGGTAGATACCCAGTAGTGGGATTACTGGATCAAATGGTAGTTCTATTTTTAGTTTGGAAAGCACTTCTGTATAGAATTCCAACTCTAAGTGCAGAAGAAATGATAAAATTAGAAAATCACCATTTGGCAACCTCTGTTCCAATACTTTTAATAACATCTTCCTCGTCACCAGATTTTGGCTAACAGTCTGTTCCCAGTGATTTAGGCTTTTTCCAAGGTGACTTAGGATTTCTCTCAAATGCTCCTCACTTCCTTCTGAGCCAATGAACGTCATGTTTCTAACAGCCTAGCCAAAGTAATGTATGCTTTTTCTATCATCTTCTCAAAATTCTTTCACTGCCCAATTCCAAAGCTGCACCCACATTTTGGGGTTTGTTGTAGCAGCACCCCCCACTTCCAGGTAACAAAATCTGCATTGGTTTTCTATGCAGAGCAAATCACTATGCACTTAGCAACTTAAAACAGTACCCATTTATTATCTCAAAGTTCTGTAGGTCAGAAGTCTAGAATGGTGTAGCTGGGTTCCCTGCTCTGGGCTTTCCAAGCCTGAAACCAAGGTATCAACTGGCTGCATTCTCACTGGAGCTTGAGATCCTCTTCCAAGCTCAGTCCCATTATTGGCAGAATTTTGTTCCTTGTAGGACTGAAGTCCCTGTTTCCTTCCTGGCTGTTGGGCAGGGACTGCTCTCCGCTCTTAAAAGCCTTGAGCTTTCAGGTCCTGGCCCCATGGCTCCCTCCACCTCAGCAACAGAGAACCCCACCTCACACGAAACCCTTCTCGAACTTCAGACATCTCTGATGTCCTTTTTTGGCACCATCTGGAGAAAGCATTCTGCTTTGCAGGGGCTGACAAGTTTCGGTGGGGCCCACCAAGATAATCTCCCAGTTTTAAGGTAATCTTAAGGGTAACCCTAATTACTTCTGCAAACTCTCTTGCCGTGCACCAAAGCATGATCACAAGAGTAATGCCAGGAGATGAATGTCACTGGGGCTGCTTAAGACCTCTGCCAACCATGCTTTCCCACCAGAAGTGCAACCTGCTTTTCATAGCCCACCTGCCACCCATGCCCCGACTCCCATCCTGGGACTGCATGTTGTTCTAGCTTCTTGCCCATTGCCTTTTACCCTCTATTCTGGACAAGGAGGTTACAACCTTGGGTTTGGGAGGGCTGTTTGCTTCTTTGTTTTGAAGAAAGAAAGAAACTTAACAGTAAGGGAGAATTATTTCATTTTCCTCTAAATTTTGCATTTTTCTTTTGGCTCCCTTCTTTAATGGGGCTGAGAGAGATGGAAGCAGGTGGCCCCTGTGACAGGCAGCATTGTAGCCCCAGCCATTGGTGCAGGGGTTTGGAGTGGCTCTGGAGTCAAATCTGCTGGGTGTGAATCCCAGCTCTGCGAATGGCCAGTGTGACTTTGGGTGAGCTTTTTATCTTCCTTGTGCCTCAGTCTCCTAGTTTATAACAGGAAGATAATAATAGTGCCTGCTCTACAGGGTTTTTATGAGGCATAAGTTAGTTGATATCCGTAAAGTCCTTAACACAATACCTGGCACATAGTTAGTGAAAAACTGTTAGCTATTAACATCTGTAAAATGTGAGTAATAATGGTAGATGCTTTATAGGGTTGTAATGGAGATTAAATGAGCTCCTCTATGTTAAATACTCACTTTAGACCAGAGCCAGACACTCAGTAAATGCTCAATAAAAACAGCTGTTACAAAGCTGACCCAAGGGCTTCCTGGCCAGTGGACCAGAGGAGAGTTCCCTTAGCATCTAGATGTTAGAAAAACATGCAGAAAACCCATCAAAGTCTCTCCATTAAGTTCAAGATCAAGTCCAAACACCTTACAGAGGTGTAGAAGGTCATGCAGTATCTAAAACAGACCTCTTCCCTTTCAGTGCTCCACATTTTCTGCTCATTCCCCAAATGGAGTCTTCCTCAGCCAAGCAAAACATCTTCTGAGTGCTGCGAATCTCCCAACTTACCCCTCCCCTGGACCCTCTGCCAAGGAGGGGCACTCTCTCCCTGCCACCCCTGGCCTCAAGCTTTTTACCTGATTTGGTAGTCCACAGTCAGATCACAGATGAAAAGTCCTTTCCTCTGGGGAGCCTTCCTTGCCCCCCCACCCCCAAAAACCACACACACACAACCAACCTCCCTGGCATGCTGTGCACCCCCACCCCAACCCCAAGGTCTGCCCAAGGTCTGTCTACCCCCTCTCCACTCTCCCTTTCAAAACTCCTCAAACTGTGATGTGATGACCAGCCACCCCTCATTGGCCCCCACCATGTTGCACACTCCATAAGGACTGGCTATTAACTTATAAGTCCCCAGCACGTATCTTAGTCCTCCTTGTAGAAGGAAAGGAAGGACATGAGCATCAGAAGATGGGTTTCTGGACCCAGATGTGACTCCAACTAGCTGTGACTGTGGACCAGTCATTCCCCTTTCTGGGCCTCAGTTTGCATCTGAGAAATGAGGGTTTGGACCTTGCAATTGCTAATATACCTCTCAGCAGCAACGTCCCACAGACATCTCAGCACAGAGCCAACTTAACTTTAGGCCCCTCCACTTGTTAGGTGCTGGGTTTGGTTCAGAGATGGAGATCCTTTACAAGCCTCTTTGGTGCCTTCTAGATTCTGTAGGCGACCCCATTCCAGGGACGGAGGCTGGTGGAGATTGAGCACTCACACCCTTCCAAGTTCAAGTCCAAGGCCAGGCCCTGGTGCAGATGTATCCTTTTTTCTTTGCCAGCTTTATTGAGATATAAGTCATATACCACACCAATTCACCCATTTAAAGTATATATTTACAGATATGTGCGACCATTAGAACAGGCAATTTTAGGCCGGGCATGGTGGCTCATGCCTCTAATCCCAGCACTTTGGGAGGCTGAGGCAGGCAGATCACCTGAGGTCAGGAGTTCAAGACCAGTCTGGCCAACATGGCTGAAACCCCCGTCTCTACTAAAAATACAAAAATTAGCCAGATGTGGTGGCATGCGCCTGTAATCCCAGCTACTCGGGAGGTTGAGGCAGAAGAGTCACTTGAACCTGGGAGGTAGAAGTTGCAGTCAGCCAAGATCATGCCATTGCACTCCAGCCTGGGCAACAAGAGCAAAACTCCATCTCAAAAAAAAAAAAACAAACAAACACACAGGCGATTTCAGAAAATTTTCATCACCAAGAAGAAAACTCTTAGCCAGGTGCAGTGGCTCACACCTGTAATCCCAACACTTTGGGAGGCTGAGGTGGGAGGATCCCTTGGGACCAAGAATTTGAGACCAGCCTGGGGAACATAGCAAGACACTGTTTCTACAAAAAATAAAGTAGATAGCTGGGCATCGTAGCTCACACCTGTAGTCCCAGCTAGTTGGGAGGCTGAGATGGGAGAATTGCTTGGGCCCAGGAGTTTGAGACTGCAGTGAGCTATGATCATACCACTGCACTCCAACCTGAGTGACAGAGTAGTAAGACCCTGTCTCTCTCTCTCTCTTAAAAAAAAAGGAAGAATAAGAAGAAGTCGAAGTCTCTCATGCTTTAGCTATTACCCCAATGAGTATTCCTGCAAATCTCTCTCTCTCACCCCTTTCTCCCTTCCTACCCTTTTCTCTCTCTCTCCATCCATCCCTCTCTCCATGATTTATTTTGACCTGCGTGTGGCAGGTGGAGGAGAATAATGATCAGGAAAAAATATATATAACTGTTCTTGTAAATCTCACCCATCTTTTTCCACCCAAAGAGAGAAAGTGGTTGAAAAGCTGTCCTTTATAATAGATCAGGAAGCTGCCAGAGGAGACAAAGCAGCAGTCGCCACATCACTGCTCAGACCTCCTCCAGCCAGCGAGACAGATCCCGCACCCAGAGATGGGACAGGGAGAAGCTGGGGGCTGAGGACCACCTCCCCCAACACCTCCCTATTTACTTTCTCTTCAAAATTGCAAGTCTCTGCTCAAAGCAAGGGCATCCATAGTTCTTCCACACAACTCAGGCGAGATTTTTTTTCAGAAGCTATTTCCTTTAACAATCTGCATTCCTTGCACATAACAAAATGTTTGGAAAGGGAAAAAGCTTGAATCATTAAAACAAGGTTCTAAACCAGTTTTAAGATGGGGCAGAGAGTGTCTGGCAGGAAGAAGACGTGGTCATCACACAGGAAGCCCTGGAAAAGTAATGCAGGGCAGATGGTAAGACGGAGACCAGCCTGGAAACAGAGATAAGAGGTTAGGTTCTGTGTCCCCAAGGGAGGCCCTTCCATGCCACTGCCCAGAAAACCCTCCATCCTCCATGTGCAAGGCCCAGGCACTACAGAGATGAAGCAAGGCAGGAATCTCGCCTAACAAGAGTCTGAACCCCCTCCCACCTCTGTGTGATATGGTTTGGCTATGTCCCCACCCAAATCTCATTTTGAGTTGTAGCTCACATAATTCCCATGTGTCGTGGGAGGGACCCGGTGCAAGGTAATTGAATCATGGGGTCACGTCTTTCCGGTGCTGTTCTCGTGATAGTGAACAAGTCGCACGAGATCTGATGGTTTTATAAAGAGGAGCTCATTTGCACACGCTCTCTTGCCTGCTGCCATGTAAGACCTCCCTTTGCTCCTAATTCACCTTCTGCCATGATTGTGAGGCCTCCCAGCCATGTGGAGCTGTGAGTCCATTAAACTTCTTTCCATTTATAAGTTAATCAGTCTCAGGTATGTCTTAATTAGCAGCATGAGAACAGACTAATACACTGTGGGACCTTGGCAGTTTGCAAAGTATTCAGATTTCTGTCTCCATTTGCTCAAATGTGACTATAAGGACATGGCTCACCTTGGATGGTTCTATCTCCATAAATGCTAACCCTGTGCCTAATTTTATAAGCATAATTTTATTCCATTGTGTGGAAAAAAAATTTTCTTTACATGAGAGATCACCAACACAATCAGGACCCAGGGGCACCCAGGGGCTCCCAGGAATGCAACCAACATCCCGGGAGCCTCTGCTGTGTCTTGGCCACGATGTGACGTGTGTTCACATGTTGTCACGATTCCTCGGTATAAGAAGCATGGGTACGACTGGGCCTTCCCGGGCTCACACTCTTTTCCATGTTGAACCCACAAGATGGGCAGCTCCTAGGAGCACCATGTTCCTTCTGTGCCCCCAGCACCCACACAGACCCCATGTGTCCTGTGCTCCCCTGGGTGAGGAGGACTCCACGGTGACTTCCTCCCAGAAGCCTGACTCCAGTGTCGACGTTTCATATGCAAAATACCAAAGGGTTCTCAGTAACAAATGCACTTCCTGCCAGGGCTCAGATCTGCCTTCTTTGACAGACAGAGGGCTTTGAAACTCAAATGGGGCAAGGAAAGAGACAGAGAGTGGGTGTTTGTGAAAAGCCAGGTAAAGTTTACTTGTGGCGGGGATGGGGGAGGTGACAGGGCCACTGTCTCTGCGGGGATGCTGTGCCGTGACCAGCATCCCCACAGAGAAGGCTCCAGTCCTCTCACCCCCTCCCGCCTCCCCAGGAACCACGGGCACACTGGCCCCACGCTGGCGGGATTGCTTCTACAGGATCTGCAAAAGGTTAGTCCCTAGTAGGGTGGGATCCCACCCCCCTTATTTTTCTTTTCCCACTCCTTTTCAGAAACAGCGCCTGTGCCTCCACGTCTCCGTTACACATATCGATTCTGACAGCTCAAATTAATATGTCAGATGCTGTGATCCTCGCTGGCGACAGGCCTTTTGACCCTATCAGTGCAATCTGCTTCCCTGATTGAAAATCTCTGCACCTCAAATTGATTCAGAGTTTTATAAACATCCTGCAGCCACAATTCAAGGAAGCCATCAATGAAAAACTTAGGAGAGATTCATTTGCCTGCTTCTGCCCCCGGCCCCTCCAACCAGCAGGGCAACTAGCAAAGGGACAAAAGGAAGGCTGAGAGTTCCAGGGACCCCCAGCTGAGGTGCTCCCCCTACATACACACACACACACACACACACACACACACACCCTGCCTGCATCCAAAAATGCAGTTGAAATGAGCCAGTGATGCCGGGAGCAGTGGCTCATGCCTGTAATCCCAAAATTTGAGAAGCCAAGGCGGGTGGATCACCTGAGGTCAGGAGTTCGAGACCAGCCTGGCCAACATGATGAAACCCCGTCTCTACTAAAAATACAAAATCTAGCTGGGTGTGGTGATGGGCGCCTGTAATCCCAGCTGCTCAGGAGGCTGAGGAAGGAGAATTGCTTGAATCAGGGAGGTGGAGGTTGCAGTGAGCCGAGAACGCACCACTGCACTCCAGCCTGGGTGACAGAGCGAGACTCCATCTCAAAAAAAAAAAAAAAAAAGAGAGATAGAGAAAGAAATGAGCCAATGACAGGGTCAGATTAGGCATCAGAGACTCTAGGTGCTGTGTGACCCTGAAAGAGTTCCTGAACCTCAGAGACTTGGTCTTCTCTTCAAAAAATGACGATAATAATAACTACTCTGCTTGACCCACCAGTATTGCTGTAAGGATGGAGAGAGAGAGGCATTCTTAAAGCACTGATGAAACGCAGAGAATTGTGGCTGGTTGTTAGAATATACTGCGGAGACGGATGAAACAAAATCGGCAAAATGCTGATCACTGTAGACGCTGGGAGATGGGTACGGCACAAGGAGAGTCACTAAGCTCTTCCCTCTAGTTTTGTGTATGTTTAAAATTTTCCCAACTAATATTTTTCTTTTTTAAAAGTTTTATTTGTAATTGACAAATAATAATTTTACTGTATATATTTATGGGGTAGAGTGTGTTGTTTCAATACATGTATTCATTGTGGAATGATCAAATTAGGGTACTTAGCATATCCATCACCTCAAATATTTATAATTTCTCTGTGGTTAGCACATGTAAAATTCTTTTAGCTATTTTGAAATGTACAATACATTATTATTAGCTACAGTCACTTTACTCTGCAACAGATCACCAGGACATATTCTTCCTACGTCACTGAAACTCTGCCCCCATTTGCCAACATCCCCTTTCCCCAACCATCTCTCCCCCCGACCCACACTCCCAGGCCTCTGGTAAACACCATTCTACTCCCAACTGTATGAGTTCAACTTTTTTAGATTCCATATATTACTCACTAATTTTTAAAAAGAGATATACGTCAAACCACAAAGTATGTGAGTTTTGTGTGTGTGTATGTGTGTGAGTGTGTGTGTATGTGTACACCCACACCCAAGAAAAAGGACCATCTGTGGGGAAGAGACAGAGTTGTCTGCATAGTAATTGCCTGTCAGTAAGGATCCCTCTGTGCGGAGCCCATTCAACTTCCTCCAGTGCCTCCAGCGCCCTCCCAGGACCTCTGGCTGGGTACTTGGCTGATGGGATGACCATTTGTCCATTCACCTGCTGTATGGCACCTTGAGCCAGTGGGGTGTGGGGACTGGAGTGTGATGTGGTGACGTCAGTCCTCGGCACCCAGCACATTTTTGATTAAATCAGCAATGCACCCTGCCAACCCCTCGACCCCTCTGCTACCTTTGCCACACTCAGGTCTCCCTCCAGCCAGCCCATCAGGAAGCTTCCAGAACCTCCTGTTTTGTGGCTGCTTTCCCAGTTATCCACAGCCAGCCAGCCCCAAGCCGGGCAGAGTGGACTGGAGGAGACTAGCATCTGATTTAGGTTTCTCCATGGGTTCTCAGGGTCCAGGGATAGTCTCAGGACCCTGACCGTAACAGCAGGAGCAGGTCGTCTACTTGTCAGCAGGTTTTGACAGCAGCAGGCAGGGCAGGCCCCATGATACTGGTTCTCCTATTTCTTCCCCACACGGACAAAAGGAACACAAAATTTTCCCCCAAACTTCTCTAGGACCTAAGGGTAACCCACGGGGGTCCCTCATCACCCACTCCCAGAAAGTAGCATCAGACTCTCTCCTTCCTTTGCCCACTCCCTCTATCACCGCCTCCACCAGGCCACACTGGGGAGAAAGAGTGGATGGGAGGGAAGAGGGAAGACTGAAGAGGAAGGAGGGGAAGGGGAAGCTGTGTGTGATTCTTGTGTGAACCGAGAGACACCGACCACAGCCCACACCCACCATAGGGCCCCACTTTGGGTCCCAGGATCCATCTCAAGCCATGGGGGCAGTTCTCACCAGTCTCAGTTCCTCTTGGTGAGGGGATGGTCAAGAATGGCACAGGTCATCGGCCTCAAGGGAAGCAGACAGCTCCCTCCCTCAGGCCACCACCCTGGAGCTCTGGAAAAAGAATGGCCAGGACACCATCATCTCTTCCCAACTCCTCACCCCTGCACTTCCCAAGTTGTCACAAATCCAAATGCCTTCTGAAGGCTCTCGCTGAGTGCCAGGGAAGCAAAGAAAGAAACTACTCCCCACCCATTGTCTCCAAATAGGCAACAACAAATAGATGCAACATTCACATCTTCAAATTCAATCTGTCTAGGGGGTTCTCACTCTCCGGCCCTGCCTCCCTGGTCCAGGTGTGTGTGGTATGTGTACAGTCCAGGGGAACGCACGGCCCTGGGCTCAGACCCTGGCTGCTCCACTTAACAAATTCCTTCATCTTTCTGTGCCTCGGTGTTCTCATCTAAAAAAAAAAAAGGGATAGACTGGGCACAGTGACTCACACTCATACTATCCCAATACTTTAGGAGGCCAGGGTGGCAGGATCAATTGAGATCAGGAGTTCAAGACCAGCCTGGGCAACATAACAAGACCTGGTCTCTACAAAAAATAAAATATTATCCAGGTGTGGTGGCACAACCCTGTGGTCCCAGCTACTTAGGAGACTGGGGCAGGAGGATCGCCTGAGCTCAGGACTTGGAGGCTGGAGTGAGCTATGATCATACCACTACACTCCAGCCCAGGGAGTGATGCAAGGCCCTATCCCTAGAAAAAGTAATTAATTTTAAAAAATAAAAAAATGGAAATAATTGGAATAAATTGGAAATAATTGGAAACAATTGGAATAAATGGAATAAAAAAAATTGTATTTGCTTTGTAGGATTGTTTTGTGGACCAGCAAGTTCATATTTTTGAAGTGCTTAGAACAGTGTCCGATACATGGTAAATAAACCCTGTGAGTGAGCTCTCATCCTCCTCATCACTATTACTGTTTGTTACTGGCTTCCTTAAAATCAACCTTTTTCTTCCCTTCCTCCAAACTGAGCTTACTCACTCCTTCATCTACCAAGGAATCTGTTCTCAGAATCCAAATTCTTTCTCCAAACTCAAATATGATGTTTCTTTCTTTCAAATTCTCCTCCTCCCTACAGGCCCAACTCTCATTCATTCATGGTGCCTCGTGACCCTCCAGAAATAGGATTTTTTTCCCTTGCAAAACCAACAAAATGTCCTTTGTTCATCCATGAGCTTGTATTAATTGTAGCTGCCAGTTTACGAAGCTCTTTTTATTATTTATTTATTTATTTATTTTTAGAAACAGGGTCTCTCTTTGTCACCCAGGCTGAATTGCAGTGGCACAATCATAGCTCACTGCAGCCTCAAACTCCTGGGCTCAAACGATCCTCCCACCTAAGCCTCCCAAGTAGGTGGGACTTAGAGGCGTGCACCACCACACCCAGCTAATGTTTTTTTTAATAGAGATAGGTTCTTACTACATTACCCAGGCTAGTCTCAAAGCCCTGGTTACAAGGAATCCTCCCGCCTTAGCCTCCCAAAGCATTGTCATTACGGGCGCGAGCCACTGTGCCAGGGCTAGAAAATTCTTTTACTTACAATAAGCCATTAATCCTTGGTGGGGGCTGGGAAAGAGAAGCAGTTTGCCCCAGCCCTTTCCCTTCCCACTTACAGCTTGTCAATGGCAGAGCTGAAGTTGGACTCCTAGCCTATCTGACCGTAAATTCAGGATTCTCCCAGAACTTTACCTGCCCCCGGTGAGACACACACCTGAGAAGTAACGCTGGGCAGAGAGGAGAAGCCGTGTTCAGGACCCTTCTATTCCTCACATTTAGTGGTCTCTAGAACTGTTCATCTGAAATTTTTGGTTATTCCTAACTAAAAAGTGGTGGTGGGGATGAAGGTCAACATGGGAAAATGTTTGTGATACATCATTGACTTAAAAATAGGTTATAGGGGCCAGGCGCAGTGGCTCATGCTTGTAATCCAAGCACCTTGGGAGGCTGAGGCACGCGGATCACTTGAGGTCAGGAGTTCAAGACAAGCCTGGCCAACATGGTGAAACCTCATCTCTACTAAAAATACAAAATTAGCCGGGTGTGGTGGCACACGCCTGTAGTCCCAGCTACTCGGGAGGCTGAGACAGGAGAATCACTTGAACCTGGGAAGGGGAGGCTGCAGTGAGCCGAGATCATGCCACTGCACTCCAGCCTGGGCGAGACAGAGTGAGACTCTGTCTCAAAAAATAAAAAAATGAAAAAAAAGAAGCTATAGGCTGGGTGCAGTGGCTCATACCTGGAATCCCAGCAATTTGGGAGGCTGAGGTGGGATCACTTGAGGCCAGGAGTTTGAAGCTGCCGTGAGCTATGATCATAACACTGTATTCTAGCCTGGACAACAGAATGAGACCTTGTCAAAAAAAAAAAACTTATAAAGTATTATGTGCAACAGGGTTTCATTTTTCTGAAAATACACACATTTAAAGAAGAGGCTAGAAGGATAGACCTTCAGCTTTGACAGTGGTAAAATTCATGTTTTTTATTCTCTTGTTTATCTGTACTTTCTAAATTTTCCACAAAATGCATTATTGGATTTTTAATGTAGGAAAATTATGAGACCTGGAGACAATGGACTCAGATGTCCAAATGTTCTGACGTTTACCGGAGGCTTCAGGGCTTAGAGCTTTCTGCTTACTGAGGAGAAATGACAAACAATGGGCTCTCCCTGTTTGGGACCCTAAGCCCACAGGCCGATGGCAGCCCCTGCATTTCCAGGAAAGCCTTGGTTCCTCCTCAGACTCAGAGTGGGGCAGCCAGGAATGGGCACCACCAGCCCCACTGGGGAGAGAAAGTGCTGTCACCTGCGTTGCCATCACCAATGTGGGGCTCCTTCGGGGCCTCGCCAGCACTTGCACACTTTATTTAATTTTTTTTAATTTCCATAGATTTGGGGGGAACAGGTGGTATTTGGTTACATGAGTAAGTTCTTTAGTGGGGATTTGTGAGATTTTGGTGCACCCATCACCCAAGCAGTGTACGCTGAACCCAATTTGTAGCTTTTTATCCCTCACCCTTTTCCCACCCTTTCCCCCTGAGTCCCCAAAGTCCATTGTATCATTCTTATGCCTTTACATCCTCACAGCTTAGCTCCACTTATGAGTGAGAACATATGATGTTTGCTTTTCCATTCCTGAGTTACTTCACTTAGAATAATAGTCTCCAATCTTAAATCACTTGAACCTGGGAGGCGGAGGTTGGAGTGAGCCAAGATCGTGCCACTGCACTCCAGCCTGGGTGACAGAGGAAGACTCCATCTCAAAAACAAAGCAAAAAAAGAGAATAGTAGTCTTCAATCTCATCGTGGTTGCTGCGAATGCCATTAATTCATTCCTTTTTATGACTGAGTAGTATTCCATTATATATATTATATACACAACAGTTTCTTTATACACTCATTGATTGATGGGCTGGTTCTATATTTTTGCAATTGCACTTATGCATTTTAATCATTTAATCCACACCACAGCCTCAAGGTAAGTGGGACAGTTAATCCTTTTCTCCATCCCACAAATCAGGAAACTGAGACCCAGAGAGGCGAGGGGATTTGCTCAAGATCCCACAACAGTCAGAACCAGGGATCGACAGAGCCTGGCTTCCTGGCATTCAGTTTACCGCACACACAGCAGGTCCCATCGGCCCTGGGATGGCGCAGGATTTATGGTGGGCATGTTGAGAAGCCACACCAGCCCTCTTGTTTCCCAAATATCTCCCTCGGGTCTTTCCAGGGAGTGTCCCGATCCTGCCTGGCCTCAGAACTTCCTGACCAGAACCACTCCTGAGCCAGGTGACTGCAGAAGGGCCCGGGTAGGTTCACTGGCTAATGCAACTGTGACAAGAGACCACATGCTGGGTGGATTAAATGACAGTGAAGGATTGTCCCACAGTTCTGGAGGCTTGAAGTCTGAGATCAAGGTGTCAGCAGGGTTGGCTCCTACTGAGGGCTCTGGGGAAGGATCTGTTCCAGGCCTCGCTCCTTGGATGGTAGGCGACCATGACTTGGTGGGTAGGTGACCATGGCTTGGCGGGTAGGTGGCCATGGCTTGGCAGGTAGGTGGCCATGGCTTGGATGGTAGGTGACGGTGGCTTGGATGGTAGATGACTGTGGCTTGGTGATAGGTGACCATGGCTTGGATGGTAGGTGACCATGGCTTGGTGGTAGGTGGCCATCTCTTCCCTGTGTCTTCACATGGTCATCGCTCTGTGCCTGTCTGTGTCCTAATTTCCTCTTCTTATAAGGACACCAGTCATATTGGATTAGGCCCCACCCTAGTGACCTCACTTTAATTTAATTACCCCATTAAAGACCCTATCTACAAAGATAATTACATTCTGAAGTACTGGCAGGTTTAGGACTTCACTATTTGAATTTGTGGGGGAGACACAAGTCAACCCTTAGCAGGTAAAACCCCCTTTACCTGGAAGAGTTCCCCAAATCTCTCCTGCTGGCACTCCAGCAGGAATTGGATGTCCACCTATCCTGGTGACCTGAGTCCTGAGAAGGGTGGGAAGACAAGGAACAACAGGGGAAAAAGCTGGCAGCGACAAGTCCTGGGATTTGGGGCAGGAGTTACAACAGGAGGGAGCTGGAATGATGGGTGCCAGCAAGGGCAGGTCCCCAACAAGCTAGTGTGAGACAAGGAGGCTGGCCCAGGGCCCAGATGGCCCACAGGTCTATGGAGACTGTCATTCCACTGGCAAGGGAGGCAGGTGCACCATAAAATATTTTTACCTGTAAAGAAGGATTATTATAGGATAATTGCTTTCCTAGCAAGAAGAAGCAAAAATCAGAAAGCTCTGGGACTTTGGACTAGTCACTTCCATATCAGTAAATGAAGATTAGCCAGATGGCTTCCACCTTCCCCTCCAGCACTGATGTTTTCAAATTCTAAGACAGTGAATCTTTCTCCAAATTTCGCTAGAACTGATAAGATTTCATCTGGGCCTGGCACGTAGTAGATGCTCAGATACATCCAGCTTCCTCCCTCCAGCTGCTGCCTTCCACTCTATGGCTATCATCAACTCCCAATTCCTCCTTTTGGGTTAAAACAAGAAAGAGGAAGAAGAGGTAGCATCATTAGATGCTGGGTGTACAACGCCCTTGGAAAGAATGCCCCAGAAACCAATGACAACAGCTGCCTCTGAGAAGGAGGAGCACAATAGTGAGGGGTCAGAACTGAGAGCAATTTTCATCTTCACTGCATATTTCTTTATACCTTTTGCTTTTTAAACCACTTGGATGTACTACCTATTAAATTAATTTTACAAGGTTGCAAAAGAATGGGATAACCAGTGCACACAGAGCCCTGAGTTTGTGATGGTTCCTGGCTCCCAGTCATCTCCAGCCCACCCTCGTCAGTGAGTCGGTCCTTCATCTTCATCCTCGTGTTGGTGATGCTACTGAGCTGCTGACCCCACATGGTACCAAGTAACCCCTACGCAAATCCTATGACCTTCACACCAACCTTAGAGCTAGGGAATAGTGTTGTCCCCCTGTTAGAGGGGAGAAAACTGAGGAGCTCAAAAGACAAGAAACTACCTAAAGATCCCACCAGGTGTGTCCAGCTCCTGAAGCTACACTCTGGGCCATTAGTTCTTGCCACTCCAACCCCTTCTGCTCCACATCCACTCCGAATGTGCATGTCCTGGCCCCTCAGTATAGACCAAGGATGTAGAGAAAAGAGTTTGTGTCATTTATTTTTATATTCTCCAACTCTCCCCTTTCTCCACCCCACCAAAAAAATAATAATAGTAGCTTTCCTAGCCCTGAACAAAAATGAGCATTTGTTCAATATTTGCTGGATTGAATTAAACTTATCAAAAACAGAGTCCCCTTCCAGACCACAGCCTTCATCGTCATCATCGTCATCATCATCATCAGCAAATGTTTCATGAGGCATCTACATTGTGCTAGCATCTGGAGAAGACTTATAGATGCTTAAGCCTGGCAGATCTAGAAAGAGCTTCTAGATAATACTTCAGGGTAGGGCAGATTATGGAGCACCTCTAGAAATGTTTGCAAAACTGCCTTTTCCCTCCTCCTATCCCACACACACCCATGCACACTCATAAAATATTCTCAGTTGAGATAAGATGTTTCAGCCATAAATCCATCATGGTGGGGCAGGAGGTTTCATTTAGCAAGTACAGAGCTGCATTGCAAAGCAGTTATCAATTCAAGGAGGAAAGGTGCTCAGCTCGCCTATCTCCTCATCTCCCAGCTCTGGCGGAGACACCTGTCAGAAGGAGAGGCAGCAGCTGCCTTTCAGGTCTGACATCTCTGAGGCCTGGCTGGGATGGGGCTGGCCCCTGGGGCTGGGCAGGGTGCTTCCAGACAAAACTAGGACTGGGTGACCTCCTCAGATGGGAGCAGGGCATGGCTTTCAGAAGTAACCCCCCACCAAAAGCAGGGAATTCTCCTTCATCCCCTTGATCCTTAAGAGAAGGGGCTCGTCCTGCCCTGTAAACCAGAAAATTGGTCCTAAAGTTTGAGATCAGAAGCATTTTGCCGCTGGAGCTTTCTCAGAGAAGGGAGGTCAGTATTCCAATGCCATAGATAATAGTCAGAGAGTCATTCTCATGGGAACTAAGCTTTGCCTATCACTGTTAAGTTTACAAAACACCTGCTATGCACCATCTCATTAGCTATTATTTCACAATGATCCAGTGAGGTCAGCAGGGCAAATGCTCTATACCCTTATGTTCACTTGAGTCACAATGAGATAAACTGACTTGTTCAAGATCACACAATTTGTTAATGACGTATATTAGGTTGGATCATCTGAGGCTGCCTATAAAGATGGACAACCCCGGTCTTCTCCCTTTGACTTCAGAGGGCAAAGAGAAGGCTTGATTTGTGCCTTGGCTGGCAAAGCCCCCCAGTGGGGTAGGAGTCACTCTGTCCACAGTGACCACACACAGCTTTCAAATCCATAGGTCCCTTCATGGCTTTGGAGGAGGGGGAAAAACTGCACCTTAGACCTTCTTTATTCTCCATTCCTTTCTGTCCTCCAGGACCAATGGGGTAGGTCAGCCCCAGTGAACTCTCAAATGACCACTGAAGGAGGAAGTGAGTGCAGAGTGTGATACCACTCACATCCCAGCCCAGACTGTTTGCTCAGCTGGGAGGAGTGTTGCAATTCTTCTTCCTGCAGAGATAACACCCCTTCTCATGGCTTCAGGCATCACCTATCTCCTCTAGGCTGCGCTCCTACTTGTCCATCTCTGCTTTGACCTTGTTTCCAGGCTCCAGGAAGGACATTTGCATGTAGCTGCCTTGCCCCATTGCAGTCTACAAGCCTGAAGTCGGGGCTGTTCATTCCATTCCCCTTAGGCCCCCACTTCCTCTCACTTTCTCTCTCCCCAAGCTGGAAACCTCAGATCATTTCTAAATTCTTTCTTCCCCTTTGCATTTCAATGAACAGAAGTTCCATCAATACATTTTATCACTGTTCAGTCTCATCACATTCCATGCTTAAGGCTCAAAGAGACCTATAGAAACAGCACTGTTGCTCACTCAATGGGCAAAGGCAGGGAGGCCCAGCCCATTTGCAGTGGGATTCTCTTCCTCTCCCGCCTCTGTGGCCCTGACTCTAGACTTGGGCTCCAAGATGTTGGAATGGTGTCTCTCCCCCTCACTACCCTGCACATAGCACAGTGCCCTGGTAAACATGAGGCCTCAGAAACACTCCCTGCTCCAGGCACTTAGAACTTAAGAGTTTTTTGTTTGTTTGTTTGTTTGTTTGTCTTGAGACAAGGTCTCGCTCTGTCACCCAGGCTAGAGTGCAGTGGCGCGATCATGGCTCACTGCAGCCTCGACCTCCTGGGCTTAAGCAATCCTCCCACCTCAACCTCCCAAGTAGCTGAGACTACAGGCATGCACCACATGCCTGACTAATTTTTGTATTTTTTGTAGAGATGGGGTTTCAACACGTTGCCCAGGTTGGTCTCAAATTCCTGGGCTCAAGTGATCCCCTCCTGCCTTGATCTCCCAAGTTGCTGGGATTACAGGTGTAAACCACCATGCCAGGCTAGGAATTTAGAGTTCTTAATACTAGTCTGGCTTCTAGCATTCTCGAGCAATGGGGAAAGAAACCAGAAAACACACAGAAGGGACAGGTGTTTGGTTTAGGGACCACCTTCACTCTAGCCGGCCGCATTCCATTTTTAAACCTATCTGCTGGTATTCCATTTTTAAATGAGTCTGACTCCATCCGTCTACTCAGCCTTACTCCCTGACAGCTTCTGACAAACTTGCTCTGACTTATGGACACATAGATCTGGGTCCAGTGCAGTTTAACTCTGGAAGCAGTGCCCGCCCTCATTGCCCGAGCGAGTAGGCAAGTGGCAGGGTCTTGGGGATGAGAATCACAAGCCCTGCCTTGCCTCTCTTCTCACCAGTGCTGGAAATGCCATTGACAGGGAACAATCTATACAATGGGATGAGACCTCAAAAGCAAATGCGGCTGGGCACAGTGGCTCACGCCTGTAATCCCAGCACTTTGGGAGGCCGAGGTGGGCAGATCACCTAAGGTCAGGAGTTTGACACCAGCCTGACCAACATGGCAAAACCCCGTCTCTACTAAAAATACAAAAATTAGCCAGGCGTGGTGGCAGGTGCCTGTAATCCCAGCTACTCAGGAGGCTGAGGCAGGAGAATCGCTTGAACCCGGGAGGTGGAGGTTGCAATGAGCTGAGATCACACCATTATACTCTAGCCTGGGCGACAAGAGCAAAACTCCATCTCAAAAAAAAAAAAAGCAAATGCACCTGGGAGAACTAAATGTTGGCTTAAATTCATGCTAAGGTGTAAATGACTGCTAGCAGTGCTTTCCTGAACGCTGACTGATGATAAAGGAGGAGAAGGTGCACCCAGAGTTGATGCAGTCAACATGCTTTGGTGGACAGAGCACTGGGCCAAGTCTGGCGATGGGAGATCTAGTCTCCACTCTGCCTGTCATTTATCTGATGATTTTTAGGAAAGTTATTCTACCTCTTCGAGCCTCGATTTACAAATCTACAGCAGGGGACAATTCAGCTAGGTAATCTCTAAGGTCTTTTCAGATCTGGCAAATTGTGATTTGGCTGTTGCCTCTAGCCTACCCCCATTTGTCTTCTTAACCTCGCACTGTGCAGGTAACATGATCACACCTGTGCCGAAAACTCCTGTTGTTCAGACCAGAGTCAAACAATGCCTCCCAGGCAGATTTAGAAACCAAGGTCATCAAAACCCTGAGGAATACAGAAAGAGACAGAAGACCAAATTTCAATATAGTCAACGATCCTTTGGAATCACGGGGGTAGAGCTCCGTTAGACATGACATAAGACCCTGTGGTCACACATATGAAATTACAATCATCCCTCAGATTTGTGGAGTGAGTTACCATGAGCCATCCCCTTTCCTATCCCTTTTCTAATTTGATCTTCCCTAAAACTGTGGGAAGCAGACAGGGCAAGATGTTTCACCCCCATTTCACAGATTTAGAAATTGAGTCTCAGATGGAAGAATCATAGCAAGTGAGTGGCAGCCAAGCCTCCAATTCAGATCAAGTGAGGAGTCCTCATGTCCCAGGCCCCCATCACCCACTGCCACTTCCTTTCTTATTTTCCACCTGTGTTTCGAGATACGAAAGTGAGGGAGAAAAAGGCAGAGGGAGGCATCTCTGCCGGAAAATCTGGGTGAGCGGCGAAGTCCACAGAGGCTCAGTCGCTCCTGTCAGCTCTCTCTCCTCTCTCCTTCTCGCTGCCTGCAGCCAGAAACCTCAGACCACAACCTTCTTACTGCAGCCTCCCGCCTGGGACAGCGCCTTGTCCCCATGCCCCGTGAGGCCAGCTTGCTGCAGCAAGCCTCACCATGGTTAGCTCTCCTTTGCCCCTTCCCCTTCAGCTCTGCCCCGCCAAGGCCAGGCCTACTCTGGGATCATTATGAAGCAGGTGACCTCCGCTCATGACTAATTGTGCAAGTAGGGCAGAGGTAACAACAATCCCAGGAAAGGGGGTGGAGGCAGGGAGAGAGAGAAAAATAAGAGAGAGACAGACAGACAGACAGAAAAAGTACTGCTTTAATAAGAGGGTAATTGCCCTGTTTAGGATTACAATCTGCCAGCATTTCACTAAACTTTATGACACATGATGACAAGTTAATAAGCCAGATGCCTCACTATGTGCCTTAAGCAGATGCTCCATGGGTTACCTCCCATGCCTCCTCGTGCAGGGAGGTAACCCCTGCAGCCAGAAAAACACACAGGGCCAGCCAAAATAAAAAAAAATCCCCAGGAAGGTGTGGGAGAAGAGAGCCGAAAAGGTGGGGAAACTGGTTATTTCTGTTGTCAAAATGGCCCCAGCAATAAATCACCATTAATAATACTGTCATCTATCAAAGAGGAGCTCTGGTTGCCAAGGCCTTTGAAGTGGCAGCACCTATAATTTCCCACCTATAAAAGGTACCTTTGTGCATATGTCATGCTGGAAGATGACAAGAGCAAGACACCAAGGAGTTCACACCGTCTCCACGCCCCTCCCAATGGCGAGCCCTTGGAGTGCCAAGCCATGCCCACTCCCTCCTTCACCCGGGATGGCCCAGGGCCTGCCTGACTTCATTCACTTGCTGGAAGGCAGAGGGGCTGGGTGGAAGGAGGGGTGGGGACTGCCAGGAGTGGCTGCATGTCCAGACAGATCCGGGAGCTCCCAGCCCCTCTCACCAGCTAGCTGCGCTGTGATGGGGAGGGACACTTTCCATCCTCCCCTCAGCTCCAACCCCCAAGAGCGAAGGCCTGAGGGAGCCTGAGGTCTAAGACAGTGTCTGTCAAAAAGGGAGCCCTGCCAGGCACGGTGGCTCACACCTGTAATCCCTGCATTTTGGGAAGTCGAGGCAGGTGGATCACCTGAGGTCAGGAGTTCAAGACCAGCCTGGCCAACATGGTGAAACCCCGTCTCAACTAAAAATACAAAAATTAGCCAGGCATGGTGGCAGGCACCTATAATCCCAGCTACTTGGGAGGCTGAGGCAGGAGAATTGCTTGAACCTGGGAGGTGGAGGTTGCAATGAGCTGAGATCACACCACTGCACTCCAGCCTGGGTGACAAGAGTGAAACTCTGTCTCAAAATAAAGAAGGGAGTCCTGACACAGCATCACCAGGGAGTCTCCCCAGGTGCCCCTGCTAGGGATCGGGAAATTACGGGGGGCATGGGATGTGAGGACGCCTCACTTGACCTGAGTTGGAGGCTTGACTGCCTCTCACTTGCTGTGATTCTTCCATCTGAGACTCAGTTTCTTAATCTGGAAAATGGGGATGAAAATTCTTGCCCTGTCTACTTCACACAGTTCCACAGAGGAGCAAATTAGATAAGGGATGAGAAAGGGGAAACTAGATGGTCATAGAATCTGCATCTTGATCCAGCTCCCCAGGAAGTGAGTTTCACACACACGAAGGTTTAAGAAGCGCTGGCCGTGGTCCCTTCCCCTCTGCCAAACCAGGAGTATGAACGCTTAGAAAGGCGGCTAGGGCTGCCTCACCAGAAATTGATGGCCTCTGGGTTTTGGAGGCTGGAAGGCCAAGACCAAGACCAAGGTATTGACAGGATTGGTTCCTTCACAGGCCCCGTCTGTGGCTTGCAGGTGACTGTCTTCTCCCCGCTTCTTCACAGGGGCTCCCCTCTGCACGTGTCTGTGTCCACGTTGCCCCTTATCCAACAAGGACACATTTCTATTGGACTAGGGCCCACCCTAGTGACCTCATTTTAACCTAATTACCTCTTTAGAGACCCTATCTCCAAATACAGTCACAGTCTAAGGTACTGGGGTTATGAGTTCAACATATAAACTTTGAGGGGGACAGAATTCAGCCCCTAACAGGCCTTAAAGCTCAGCCCAGGATGAGCCCTGGCCAGACAGAAAAAAGGCCCTAAAAGCCACTTAAGCTACTGGCAACATCTGAAACTCTCATTTCCTGATCCTGGGATAAATCTTCTTCTGAATTAACTGAGCCCAGCCCTCTATTCCCCCACTGCACTTCATGGGTGATTTGTCTGTAGATTTAAAATAGCCGGGTGCAGTGGCTTACGCCTGTAATCCCAGCACTTTGGGAGGCCGAGGCAGGCAGATCACGAGGTCAGGAGTTCAAGACCATCCTGGCTAACATGGTGAAACCCTGTCTCTACTAAAAATACAAAAAATTAGACAGGCGTGGTGGCGGGCGCCTGTAGTCCCAGCTACTTGGGAGGTTGAGGCAGAAGAATTGCTTGAACCCGAGAGGCAGAGGTTACAGGGAGCTGAGATCGCGCCACTGCACTCCAGCCTGGGTGACAGAGCAAGACTATATCTCAAAAGATAAAATAGATTTAAAATAGAGGTGCCGGGCTCAGTGGTTCATGCCTGTAATCCCAGCACTGTGGGAGGCTGAGGCAGGAGGATTGCTTGAGGCCAGGAGTTTAAGACCAGCCTGAGCAACATAGTGAGACCCCATCTCTACAAAAAAAAAAAAAAAAAATTAATTAGCAAGTGTGGTGGCATGCACCTACAAAAATAAAGAAGTAAAATAAAATAGGCCCACATCCCATCCAAGAGGAGGCTCCACCTTGGTCTTGCCTCCCAGTGAGGTACTTTTGAATGTCACTTAGACTGAGAATCCCAAGATATCTCTAAAAGTGAATATGTATTGAGCATAGAGTGTACTCTGTCCCCAGCACTGTTCTGAGAACTGATATCATTTCATCTGCACAACTACCTATGAGGCAGAAACAAATAAGGAACAGGTTGGGTAATTTGCTCAAGGTCAACAGTTAGCAAGGGCCAAGCCTGGCCTGGAACCCACGTCTTTGCAATTCTAGAGCCCACGACTTCATCCCCGATGGTTTTCTGCCTCCTGTCTACATGTGGAGATACCAAGCCATTAAAGTTTGAGCGGCTCCTGCCGCCTGTGATCACCCGCAGAACTGCTAGGAGTTTAGGACTAGACTTTATCATTTTATGGAGGATTTAAAGCTACTTTTATCTGTGGGGTATTGTTCCAAAACCAAGGCCATATATTTTTATGTGTTTTACGTAAGTGCATGTGTAATTTATTGATAGCAAGGTTTGCATGCATTTGTTCTGTGAATCAGCTCGGGCTGGACTTCCTGGGAATCCCAGGCGAAGATCTCAGGGTCTCTTTCTGCTGATGGCTCTCCCTTCCACGACCGGTCCCTTCCCTTCCCTGGGCTTCAATTTCCACGTTGGTAAATGAAAGGGTTAAGCTATTTCTACAATCCCTTCCTTCTTGGGCATTGTTGATTCCTGGGAAGCCCTGACGAAGAGAGAGGACGGTAAGAGTTTACCTAAACGTCTCTGCACCCCATGCTTGAAAACTCAAAGATCAGCCCCGAAGCGTCCATGAATCCTGGGACAAAGAAAAGGACTTCAAGGCCTCATACCTATCAACAAGAGAGATTCCTGCTCCTCCAGCCCCTCCACCCCTTCACTTTTGTGCTGAGGAACCCCCCATCACCAGGAGGAAGGAAGCCTGCCCAGTAAAGGGGCACTCCCAACAGCCCACCAGCTCCTGCGCCCAGCTGCCCCTGAAATCCTCGGACTCATTTTGTCCAGCAGCCTTGACTTTGTCAGGGGTACCAGTCATGTAATCCCTGAGGTGTCTACAAAACCCCGCAGTCATGGGCTCCATGCACACTCAAGAACAATGAGGAGCTTCAAAAGCTAAGGAGGCTTTTCCCAATGCTTCCATGGTGTCTCGATGGTTCCTGAGGTCTTGATACTCTGCCATGGCTTGGCAGTTTGGAAATGGTTTCCTGGTCTGGCTGTCCTAAGGATCCCTGGTTGTGTGACTGGGAACAAACCCTTCAACCTTCCAGGCACAGTTTTCTTCTGTAAAATGAGAGGGTTGGGTGCAAGTTTCCTGAGGCCCTGGGGCCTTGTGGCTGAGTTTATCTCCCCGACTCCCTGTCCATCCTCCTATGGAAGTACTCATAAAGCATTTCACAGCCACAAGGAAAAGGCACACAAGGTCCCCCAGCCCCCACACACAGAGGAGCCACACCTGCACCCCTCCCTCAAGGCCAGGCTTCCTCTCCCCCAGCACACGCAAGTTCTTCTCGGCCTCCCAGCTCTTTTCAGCAGCTCCCCAGAATGGAACGGCCCAGCCATGGCTTCTCAGAGGACAGCTTCTTGGCAGAGCTGGGAGTGGGTGGAGTAGAGCACATTTTTTCCTTTGAGGTCCAAAGGGCTGTCAACCCTCTTCAGCTGCCCTGGGGCCCAACAGCCACAGAGAGAGATTTATGACCTGGATAGCTTTGATCCCAGTCTCCGATAAACATCAGGAACAGCTCGACCCTAAACCCCGAGGAGAAGGTTTATGGATCAGAATGCAGCCTCCTGGAGAAAACGAGCCCAGGAGGGGGTGCCCAGGGACTGATTGGGCCCTTAAAGTTCTCTCATCAACAGACCCACTGCCATCTGCCCTTGCTTTCTGGGGAAAGGGACACAGCTGGGTGGCTGAGGCCTTTGAACAAGAAGCAATGCTGATCAGAGAGAGGTGAAGATCCTGTCAAAGGTTAAACTGGGGAAGGGGTGGAGGCGGTGGGCCCAGGCCTCTGAAATTCCCCACCCTCGCTCACCTGTTCTTCCAAACAGCGTTGTCCATGTTTCTCTAAACCACACACCAAGACAGAGCAGAGAGAGAACGCACCAGATAAGATCTGAGCTGAGAAAGGAATGTTTCATCCGTGGGTTTTGTTGTCCCTGTTCTTCTTGTTGATACTGTTGTTCTTGGTGATGATGGGGGTGGTTAATTGCTTGATTATATTTCATCCCTGTCTTCTTTCCAAAAGGACAGGGGGCCAGGAGAGTCTGTGTGGTCACAAACCCTTCATAGCTTTTTCCCGTCCCCTCCACTTGACCATGTGGGATGGCAGGGAATCCACACCCTCTTGGAACATCCCCTGTTTTGCTGATTGAAAAGAGATCCTAGAAACAGCACTACATCCAAGGTGAAGGAGGGGCCAGCCAGTCTCCTCTGGATGCCACCTCAGATGGGTTGCCTCAAGTTTAAGGTCTCAGCCACATCCATAAAACTGTTCCCCTCTGTGAAGCAACTTCTGCCATGGGGAGGTGGAGAAGGATCTTCTCAAAGCAAGTCCGACAGGCAGAGTCTTCACTCTCCGGGGTCCGGAGTGTTCTATAGACATCGGGAAACATACATCCATCTAAAAAGACACCCTAATAAACCTGCAGCTATTCATTGCACCCAAGAAACCAGCCTGTGGCCCACGCATGCAGGAATAAACACATATTTGCTGAGAACCAAATTGGGTCTAATGACCCTGGCCTGTCTCGCAGGGTCATCCTGAGAAATAGCTGATGTCAGACGACGAGCGTGAGCAGCTGTTCTCCATTTGCACTCAACAAGAGAAAAGGGCCTTAAATTTCAGCGGGAGGGATTAAGGTTAAACATTAAGAACAGCTTCCTGGCTAGGAGGGTTGTGAAACACTGTAATGTGTTACCAAGGATGCTGTAGACATTCCTCTCTCAATGAGACTTTAAAGAGGAAGGAGGTTGGTGATCTGCCCAGGAGGTTTTATTAGAAACTTTATTAGGTCATCTGGTCCATCCGCCTGAAGGCAAGGGCTTGGACTAAACACCCACCAAGCAAGGCCTTTCTGGGCACAGGAAGGCCTCTATAGTCCTTCACAATCAAAAATGCTGAGAAACTCCCTGGGCCCTAGACAGTGAAAAGAGAAACCAGAGTCATCAGCGAGGCCACCCTTTGGGGCCTGATTTCAAGCTTTAGCTAGTGTTAGTCGCCCATAGCAATAAGAGGGAGAAATGTGATTTTCAAACCCTCCGGAGACCAATACAGTTATTTACCAAACAGCACCAAGTGAAGCTTCCCCACCCACAGGGAAAGGACCATTTCCTGAAAATCAGGTCGGCCCCTGGCATTCCAAGGGCAAGCAGATCACCAGTTCTGACGTGTGGGAGCAAAAGGCAAACCATAAGATCACACATCTGGCTGGGCACGGTGGCTCACATCTGTAACTCCAGCACTCAGGGAGGCCAAGGCAGGATCGCTTGAGGCCAGGAGTTCAAAACTAGGTTGGGCAACATAGTGAGACCCCATATAAACTAAAAAAAAAAAACTTAGCTGGGCACGGTGGTGTGCACCTGTAGTCCCAGCTACTCAGGAGACTGCAGCAGGAGGATCGCTTGAGCCCAGGAGTTTGAGGCTGCAGTGAGCTGGAATCATGCCACTGGACTCCAGCCCAGGCAACAGAGAGAGAGACCCTGTCACAAAACAAAACAAAACAAAACAAAACAAAACACCACATCTTATTGCCAGTGGAACAATCCACCCATTTCACAGATTGGGAGACTGGGGCCTAGATATGGGCAATGTCTTCACACAGTTACTTTGTATCAGAGTTAGGACTGGAAAACCCTGGTTAGGAGGCTGACTTTATCACTCACTACCTGCGTGACCTCAAGCAAGTCATTTAACAACCTCCGGCCCTCAGTAGCCTCTGCTACAAAATAAACAGTTTTTAATCAGGAAACCTAATACACGGAGCACTGTCATCAACTCCAGAGCACTATAGATGGAAAGTGACTGCCCTTGTTACCATCACTCTCACTTCTAGTCCTTTCTGTTCATCTAAGCTGCTGTAAATGTAGTCCTCTAACTTGGAGGGGATCCTTCTAAGTTCTCAGATTAACAGAAAAGTAAAATCTTTGATCTTTAAGACCATGGAAGGTATCTCGTTGGTCTTAGTCAACATCCCATCCAAGCCACTTGTTTTGCAGATGAGATAGGAGAGTATCCGCATACACTCAGAGAATGACAGCAGAGAACATCCCAGGCAGAGGTCGGGGTGGGGAGGAAATGCCAAGGATAAGCTTGGTTGACCTCTCAGTGAGGCTCCCTGGCCCTGGGTATAATTTTCAACTCATTAACTTGAAATCCTAGGTATGCTAAGTCATTCTTTGGTCTCTATTTCCTTAGTAGCCTCTGTTTCCACAGCCCCCAAGTTGCCTGGTTCTGGGGTTAGCACCCGGGGGTGGGAGGGTCTCCCAAAGTCATTCTTGACTAACTTGATGAACCCCGGGAATCTTCCAGTCTCTCACCATCTTCAGCCCTCCCCACCCACTCACCTCCTGCCCCGTCCCACCACTGTCTCTAAAAGGTCAGTTCCCACCCAAGGCAAGAGCAACTCAACAAAATACAAGGACATTTGGTAAGCAACTATTATTTGCAAGGCTCTGGGTAAGCAGATATTATCTGATTTGACCCCCCTGCAACCATCATGCAAGATAGTTATCATCGCCCACCTTTTACAGATAAGCAAGCCATGAATCAGAGGTTACCCAACATGACCTAGTGACACACGTAGCAAAAGTGGCAGATCTGGGGGTTAAATTCTGGTCTCTGAGGCCCCAACGTTTGAGGGGGCAGCTGCTCCTAACCCCGATCTGGGAATCCATCACTCTTCCTAAATGTTTCTGACATTGTCTGCCAGTTCTGATGCTGCAGCCCTCACCTTGACCCCAGGCCTGAGTCCCCTTCTCGGTGAAATCCGATATCCCCTGGGATCGACCGAGGCCCGTCCCTATTCCCCAATTCCTGGAGTTCCATGGTGAATAACAGACATGCCGTGGGGTGGCTTGCTGACCAAGACTTTCAAGCATCCAGATTCTATCACTGTGAGAGCCCGCTGCCTATCCGGAGGGTATGTCCCCTCACTCCATTGCCTGGGTGACACCACACCTTTGGGCCATGATATACCTGCAGAAAGGGACTCCTTGCAAGGCCTGCCCATCCTAGGGCACATCACCTGCCTGTTGTTGCACTTGGCCAGATTCCCCTTAGTCAAGCCCAGACTAAGGCACAGCAACCAGGCCTGCTAGAGGCACCTCCAGATAATGCCATGGTAGCACAGCAGTCAAGAGAACAGGGCCAGGCACAGCGGCTGATGCCTATAATCCCAGCTCTTTGGGAGACGAAGGCGGGCGAATCACCTGAGGTCAGGAGTTCAAGACCAGTCTGGCCAACGTGGTGAAACCCTGTCTCTACTAAAAATACAAAAAATTAGCAGGGCGTGGTTGTGCACACCCATAATCCCAGCTACTCGGGAGACTGAGACAGGAGAATCGCTTGAACCCGAGAGGCGGAGATTGCAGTGAGCTGAGATCTTGCCACTGCACTCCAGCCTGGGTGACTGAGCAAGAGTCCATCTCAAAAAAAACAAAGAAAAGAAAACAGACTCAGGTCAGACTAACTAGCCGGGAGCTCTTGGACAAGTTCCCTATTTACACCTTAGTTTTCCCATCTATAAAATGGAAATATGAGTACCTACCTCACAGAGTTCTGATGAGAATTACATGAGCTAATGTTTGTGAGCACTTAGACCACAGCCTGGCACCTGGTTAGTACAACCTACATGTTATTAAACAAAAGTAAAGGCCTATACTCTGAAGTTTGAAAACCACAGGCCAGGAATCCAGTCATAGGCTCGGGGAATCGTGAGGTTGAAGGGAAACACCTTTCTCCCAGTGCGACTGTCCTTGCTCCCACAGCACCCACAGGTGAGCATGCAGCCTCTGGAATACCTGTAAAGATGAGGAGTTCACTACCTTACAGGCAGACTAGCTCGATGTTAAACAATTTTAATATTTTTGTTTACCTTGAACAAAAAGCAGCCTGCCTGAGCTCTGAGTCCCAGAGCCTGCTCCCTTTCCCGTGACAGCTCAACCCCGCATTCCCTCCTCATCCTGCTCTGGGCACCCTCAGCTGTGCACCGTGATTAGCAGGCGGTTTCCATGCTGGCGGGTCATGCAAACCAGCCCAGTGCATTTTTCCCTGCTCCCCACACCTTCTCTCTCCTGAACCCCCAGGCCAGCATACCAGCACGCACACCCGTGTTGACAGCTCCCAGGGCAGCTCAGCCAGGCAGGGCGTCGTCCAGAGCCAAGTGGATGGTGCCTGGGGACAAAGTAGAGCGTGTGGACTCTGAGAAAAGCCTCCAAACACAGGGCCTAAGACAGAGAAGGGGAGGCTTGTTCCAGAATCTGCCTTAACACCACAAAATGGACAGGTGAGGGGGATCTGGGAGGCACCAAGGAGTCTTCTGCCCCTTTGAAGGGCTTGAGCATCTGGGCTGAGCAGTGCCATCTTCTTCCATTCCTTTAATCAATGTTCACACGGATGGGAAGGATAATGCCAATGCTTGGGTGCAAGTGAAACTGATATTTTTTTGGGGGAGTCAGTGACAGGATGGGTGCCCAGAGTGAAAAGAGATTTTGGCAAACAGAAGAAAGGGCACCACAGGTAAAGACTCAAATAAACTCCCTCCACCTCTTAGCTTGCCTGGAAGGACTGAAAAGGAGAAGATGGATAATATTTATTTCAGGGTCTACCATGTGCTAGGTACCGTCCTTAGCCATTGACGGAAATGAACCAACACTGAGATAGATAACATAGACTCCATTTACAGATAAGGAAATCAGGACTCAGAGAAGTGACGCAGCATGCCCAAAGACACACAGCTTATGAGGGGCGGGGCAGAAATCAAACTCAGGGCCACCTTAGTGCTAAGTTCTTTCCACTGTGTGAATAGGTCACACTGCCTCCTCGGTGCTACCAGTGCTGAGAGCCTCACGTATGCACACACCATTCATGTAGAAACATATACACACACACACTCATGCACACACACTCATGTACACACATATACACATGCACACACATACTCATGCACACACATACACATGCATGCACCAACACACATGCACACACACATGCACACACCTACACAGTTACACGCACGCACACACATATGCACCCACACACATGCACACGCACATGCACACACCTACACACCCACATGCATGCACACATGTACGCATCCACATGCATGCACACACACACACTCATATACACACATACACACACCAGTAGGCTCACATTGCCTAACCAGGACCCACAGACCCGACACCAAGGCTAGGACTCTGAACTCTGAAACCAGATCACCTGGTTCAAGCCTTGGCCCAGCCTCTGGCTAGCTTGGTTGTGTCTCTGAGCTTCAGTTTCCTGTCTATAAACTGAGGATAATAACACCTACCTCACTGGGTTTGAGGGATGATGAAATGAGTTACTATTTGTAATGCACTTAGAACACTGAGCAAGCATGTGTCATACACGCAGGAGTGTGACAGAGAAAGCGCAAATAGGCCACAGGAAGCCAGGCCAGGGGTCATCCAGGTCTCCATCTCAAAACAGGAGGGTCCAGATGAAGCCCTCACCGCTTTTCCAAGCCAAACATCCTGGAAAGGGGAAACAGCCCAGCTCAGCTTTGAGCGACACTCTCCTGAGCAAATGGCAAACACTCCCGGGCTCTCAGAGGCGGCCCCCAGGGGCTCTCCGGGGACACAGGGGCTTTGTCCCAGCTGCTTTCAAAAGGTTGAACTGCAGGTTCTAAGCTGCTCAGTGTCCAGCCCAGAACAAGGCAGTGTCCAGTAAAACAGCCTTCAGAGGGAGGGGGCCAGCAGGGCTCTGCAGAGCCCTGGCCACAGGAATGCCCCAGACCCGGGGTGAGCTTGAGAACAGACACCCCCAGTGAGGGCAGCGGGGTTGGGGGGGCAAAGGGAAGGAGATGGGGCAAAGGAAAGGAGGCAGGGTCCTGAGGGTACCCCCTAAAGGAAACTGTGAGCCAGGCCTTCCTGAGTCCAGGGCCCCCATCAGCCGCTGGTTCATCAGAAGCCTAGGCTTCTAGTGTAGCCATCGCTCGAAAAATATGCATTGCACCTAGTAAGTAACTTCTCCACTGGGCTCAGTGGCTCACACTTGTAATCCCAGCACTTTGGGAGGCTGAGGCAGGTGGACCTCTGGAGCCCAGGAGTTCCAGACAAGACTGGGCACCATGGCAAGACCCCATCTCTATAAAAAATACAAAAATTAGCCTGGTGTGGTGGTGCCAGTCTACTCGGGAGGCTGAGGCAGGAGGATTGCTTGAGCCCAGGAGGTCGAGGCTGCAGTGAGCCATGATCATGCCACTGCACCCCAGCCTGGGCGATACAGGGAGATCCTGTCTCAAAAGAAAAAAAGTAGTATTTTCTCACCCCTCATGCCCCTCCCCTCCTCCCACCCTTTTGAGTCTCCAATGCCTATCCTTCCACATTCTGTCCCTGTGTTCACATTATTTAGCTCCCACTTATAAGTGGGAATATGCAGCATTTACTTTCTGTTTCTGAGTTAGAAAATATAGCTTTTAAATTGGGCTCTTCTCTTATTCAACTATCAGGTAGGGAAGACACAAACAAGAGAGCCCAAGACAGACAGAGACAGAGATGGACAGAGAGAGACCCCTACCAGCATGCAGTGAGTGCTGGGGTTTTCCTCTTAGACATTTGGGGCCTTCTGATTTATTAGCAAACATCTGGATTCCTGATTTCCAGCCCAATGTGGAAAGGAACTGACAACTCATGATCAATTCAGTCCAGCTCAGCAAATGCTCACTGGGCACCTGCCATGGACTAGGTCTCTAGGGAGGCACAAAGATGAATTAGACATGGCCCTTACCTCTAACAGCTTACAGTCTAGTTGAGGAGACAGAGAGCAAATAAATTATTATAAAGGAGATGCAGTCACTGCTAGATGAAAGATTCAAACGAAATGCCACGGAAGCCCAGGAAACAGAAATGTGGCAAGAAGGCTGAGAAGTGCGTGTGTTTGCTTTCCGGAAAGTGATCTGGAATATTCATCAAAAGACTTAAACAATGTTCATAACCTTTGACCCAGAAATTCTGCTTTTAAGGGTCTGTTTTGAGGACATAATCAGAGGTATGCATGAAGATTTATATGCAAAGACATATTTATGTCGTTTTTAACAGAAAAACATGGGGAAAAAATCACATGTACAAGAAGCACATTATATGTGAATAGGGTGAAGAGGGGAAGTCTTTCAAGCAGAGAGAAGAGAATAAGCGAGATGTTGTGGCAAGAGCAGCAGCTTCACGGACTAAAAGGAGGCCAACATAGATGGATGAGAGAGGGAGAGAGAGAGAGAGAGAGAGAGAGAGAGGGAGGGAGAGAGGGAGGGAGGGAGAGAGAGAGAGAGGTGTAAGTGGAGATCAGAGAGCGGGATGGAGACCAAACGATGCAATCTTAAAGTTAGGGTTCTGGTGGCCATCCTCAAGGCCGTGGGAAAGAAAGCTTTGCCATATTTTCCATGGTGGGGAGGCATGATCATATCTGTGTTTCCAAAAGAGCCTCTGGTTGCCCCATGGAGAATGCATGCTAAGGCATCAGGCACCTGTCTAAGTATTGTACGTGTATTTGCTTATTTAATTCTCCTCATCTTAGGAGACAGGGAAGCTGAGACTCAGAGAGGTGAAGCAACTTCCCTAAGGTTGCACAGCTAGTAACAGGCAAAGCCAGGCAGTCTACCCCCAAAAAACTTAACTCCTGTGCTATCTGAAAAGAGGGTAGAGTATGGATATGGGCAGATCAGTCAGGAGCCACTGCAGTGCCTCGGGTGGGAGAAGATGGAAGCTGCGAGATAAGCAGACTGCAAATGAAAAGAAAGGCAAATCAGAAGGACTTGTGATAGAAGAGGGTGATAGGGAGTGGGGAGCGGGAGACAGAGTGAAAGGGAGGGGCCAGGAGTAACCTCCAGGCCTCTCGCTTGCACTTCTCTGATTTGGAGGAAACTGAAGTGTGTTAATTACAGAGACACACACACCATGCACACCCAGGAGACATAGCTGCGTATTGGGCAGAGAGAGGGCAAGAATCAAAGGAAAGATAACAAAAGGAAAGCAGCGGCTCTCTTTCAGTGGTAGGATGATGAGTTATTTGTATTTCTTCTTTATACATGTCTATATTTTCTAAATTTCTTACAACAGGTGTATATCATTTTCATAATCAGAGTAAAATTAGTTAAACCTTCAAATTATGTGTCAGGATCTGTACAGTGTTTATCCTGCGATGTCCTTGGTTGTGCTGTAGGGATGTAGGCTATTTCCATCCACAGGACACTGTCTATAGGCACCTCTTGAAGTGTATGACCATGAGGGTGTCAGTGTCAGGCAGGAAGTGACAATCACCCTTCCACAAGCCCCCTGGGCTCGCAACCCACCCAGCTCTTCAAAAGCTACAGAAGCCCAGGGATGGCAGGCTCCATTCAGAGCCAGAGGGCAGATGTTTGAAGTCAATTCTCAGTAGGAATTCCAGACCTCTCCGAGAGATCTTAGCTTCCTGTAGAGGAGCAAGTAACACAAGTCCAGCAGGACCTAGAACCAACCACACAGTGGCTGAATGACAGATGAATTCACTGTGGCCCCTCAGGGGTGGCAGGAGGGTCTTCCCTGGGCCCCTGAGAATCTCCAAATTCCTGCTTGGCTTCCTCTCCAGGTGCAAGCCCAGGCCTGGCAGGGCCAGGTGGGAAAAGGGCAGCTTCCTCGAAGACTGGGTGGGAAGAAGAGAACACACCATTCTTCTAACACCATCCCCTGCAGAACAGGAGGGAGGGTCAGAGCCTTGGGCCTCAGACAGAGACTCCAAGAGGTCAGGAGAACCCTGGCCTCTGGCCGAGTGATCAGGAGTCTGGGGGGCACCCACAGTATCCCAGGGGAGTGAAATGAGCTCCTTGTGACACTGTGGGGGGTGGGAGGTGCTAAGGAGATAGGGGCTCCATGAGACCCCAGAAGAAGATGGGAGTCTGCCTGGCAGGCGCTTCCGCAGGACACCAGCTGCCTTCGCTGCAGTTAGAGGGACTCCTGGTTTCTAGAAAGAGTAGCGGTGGCTGCAGAGTCAGCACAACTTAGTTCAAAATCAGGCTGGGTTCCATGTTAAAAAATGGTGATTCTGGCAACCATCTCACAGGGTTATTGAGGTCACAAGACCCCAAGGGGGAGCCACTGTGGTTGGCATATGGACTCATGCAGTAGAAGTATATTCACACACTATCTCTATGGGGTTTGTTGCTGGGTAATGTCTCACAGTGGCCTGTCCACAAGACCAAAGATTAAGCACACACATACAATATGCACAGGTGTCAATATTCACTTCTTTAAAACTTTTTTAAAACTTTGAAATTTTTTTCTTTTTAGACAGAGTCTCACTCCATCACCCAGGCTGGAGTGCAGTGGCTCAATCTCCGCTCACTGCAACCTCTGCCTCCCAAGTTAAAGCAATTCCCCTGCCTCAACCTCCCACTGAGTCCTAGGACTAGAGGAACCCGCCACCACGCCCAGCTAATTTTTATATTTTTAGTAGACGGGGTTTAGAGACGGGGTTTCACCATGTTGGCCAGGCTGGTCTCAAACTCCTGACCACAGGTGATCTACTGGCCTTGGCCTCCCAAAGTGCTGGGATTACAGGCATGAGCCACCACGCCCAGCCTGAGTTTTTTTTAAAAGATGAGGTCTCATTATATAGAAATCCTCCCACCTCAGCCTCCTCAGTAGCTGAGACTGCAGGCACACCCCACTGCACCCCGCAATATTCATACTTATAGTTGAACACATAAACATAATCATAACCACTTAAATACGCATATACACATGCACAACCTGTTTACTCCCAAACATTCTTGTAGTCACATGTAATTCATCATAACTTGGGACAATTTGTAACTTATGAAAGGCTTGCCACCTGAGCCTTAGCTCATGTGATTATCAAGGATTGTCTGTCTCATCATGTGTACTTTCCAAATGATGAGATAGATAATCTAATTATTACTATCCAGTTCTTAAAGGCAATACGACTGAACTCAGTGCAACTGAGAGACTCCCAAAGACACACAGTGAGTAGTTGGCAGTGTCCGATTTAAATCCAATTCCAAACAAATTCTTCTCCACTCTGCCACATATGTACCCATGACATGTAAACACTTGTATCTCCTACGCAGCAAGTTGAAGTTCTTTAGCTTCCCAAAAGAATGCTTGGAATCAGCCCATCAGGTGGGAGTAGCTATGAATGAAGCTGAGAGTCAAATAGAGAGTCACCCCCCTCCACCTTCAAGCAGACACACACAGCTGAGACTCAGTTCACCCTTCTTAACCCCCAGTCTTTATCTGGGACATTCTTTCCTCCCAGGTCACCATCTCCCGATTCCTCTCCCCTAACCAACCCCAGCCCACACACTTGCTCTCTTCTCTGATGTCCCGCTGTAGTCTGTTTTTTGCAGCTTAGCCTTCCTGGTTCTCTAGTTGCTTCTCTGTGCTTAAAATGTTAAGAGCTAGGTCTCAAAAAAAAAAAAAAAAAAAAAAAAGTAAGAGCCAGGGCCCTGCGGTCAGCCAGATGCGGATCGAAGTCCTATCTCCCACTCTTCCTAGCTGTGTCCCTGGATATGTTGCTTAACCTCTCTGAGCCGACTCTCTTTGCCTATAAAAGGAGGATATTGATAGTACATACCCCATAGTTATGAGAACTCTATGTAAAAAAAAAACAGCACCTGACACAAAGCAAAAGCTCAATAAATATGAACAATGAATATAGTTCTCTTTTTCCAGCAAATGGCAAATCACTGGGAATTGGACATATTCTTTTTGGTACTCCCTAAAGGTCCTGGCGCAGTGCTGGGCTCAACCAAGTTATTCATCAGCTATGTCAAGATGAGTTCCAACTCAGTCACAGGCTAGCTGTGGGACTTGAGGTGACGCATTTCACCTCTCTGTGCCTCAGTTCTCTGAGTTGGTGGAGCTGCGTCAAACTCACTCCTAACCCAGAATACTGAGTGGACTGGTGAACTACACTCTCAGCTGCAGCTGCAAAAGGGAGGGTTAATTGCACCAGAGGGCATGACTCAGACCTGGGGTTAGATCGTGGCTCCACCTTGAACAAGTCATGCATCTTCTCCAAGCATTCATTTTCTCACCAATAAAGTGAGGATGGCGATGACTACTTCATAGTACTGTTATAATAATTAAATGGCATAATGCCTATAAAATTCCTGGCACGTGATGGACGCACAATAAATGGCCTTGGTGGTGGAGGTTGTTATTATTATTATTATGCCCAAGAGTGAAGGAGGGAGAAGGTACCGAGAATTCAAGCCACAATGGCTATGACAGCAATGACTTAGCAGAAGAAATGGATAGTAAAAATGTGAGAAAGTGTCATTAGGCAAATCCCAGGGTTACTCAGTGTCAATGGCCTGAGCCCCACGCCCTTGCCAGCCCCCACTCCCCCAGTGAGCAGAAGGAAGCTAAGCAGCTTGTCATCCTCTGTTTGTCGATGGGAAGATCCACAGTGCTGTCTGGGTTTTAGCTCCAGCTTCTCCAGTAGAGGCGCCGGCCAGGTTAGGCACAGAGAGGCCGCTATGAAGCACGGCGCCTGTCGGGGCTAAAATCAAAACCCCTGTGCCCCTGGGGACCTGTCCGCCTGCCTGAGGCTCATCCCCAAAGAGTGTAACTGCCTGTCACTGCCCGCAGGAGACCAGCGGCCTTCTGGAGTTGCTGGGCTGAATGGGAACGGCCCAAGCTTGTCTGAGAGCTGTCCCCCAGCCAGGAGGCCCACGACACATCTGTGACCCTCAGTAGGAGGATCTAAATGGAGGAGAGGGTTAAAAGAATCTCTCAGGCACCAGAAGAGGAGTCAGGCGTGAAAGAAACCCTTTTCCCAGCTCTGAGCACTTCCAAAGCCTGCCCTGACTCCTCCCTCCCCTGAGGCCACACCACAGCTGAGGCCGACTCAAGCCTGACTCCATGCCAGCCCTCAAGTGTCGCCTTCAGTTTGGGGAACTCAGCAGCTCCAAGGTTCTGACCTTCCTGCCAGGGCCACAACAAACACCTGTCACCAGCATGAGTGCTAATGACAGGCCTGAGTGAGTGGCATTAAGGTTAACACCTGCATTAGTGACGTGCCCTTCGAAGGTCAGTGGTGCCTATTTAAGCAGCCTAGGGGGAGGACGGAGGTAGAGACTAGCCACCATCCAATCTAAGCGGGTGGCTCTATTACTTGTGCTAAAGCTCTCCCCAGTCATCCATGTAATTGAAGTAACTCAGGGGATTTTTCTCTCCTTCACCCTGGAGCAGAGCAGGAAGAGGGGGACAGGAAGGAGGCATTTGCCTTAAGTGGCCCTGCTGACTTGCTGCTGGGCAGGTGGGCTCTCCTTGCACTTAGAGGAGTAGGGGGCTTGTTGAGGCTGACGCCATGGGTCCTGGAAATGTTCTTCTGCCATTAACTGTGCCCTAAGCCCTGAGTCACAGTATGAGGTCAAATCTCTCATCCACTGCTCAGCTCCCAGGCCTGGGCTGCTCTTGTCTGTTCACTCAAGCAAAGCTTCTCCCCTGGAGTGCTCCCAGCTCAGCTTCCAGGCCTTCTCATCCTCACTGCCGCAACCTGCCCTTACCACCCTCAGAGAGCCCACCTGTCTCTGTTTTGGAACTTTAACATAGCTCATCACTTTGGGACAACAGGAGAGATTTAAACAAAAGGCTTGCCCAAAGCAGAAATAATCACCAAAATGCAGGTCTGAGACTAAACAGGAGGAAGCACTGGGCATGTTTATAAATGCCACATGCCACAGAGGTTCTTTAGGAGAAGTAAGCCCTGATCATTTTCCTTCTAGTCATTTAAGAGTCGAGAAAAATATATGAAGGTTCTATTTCGTGCCAGAAACTGAAGTAAGTACTGGGAGGAAAAAAAACACAGTGCCCCACAAAGGGAACTAAGATAGAGTTGGGTGGGTAATGTGAATATTTAAGCATCCCTGCTCTGTGGCTTTGGACAATTCCCTCAACCTCTCTGAGCTTTCTCATTTATAAAACCAAGGTGATAATAAAGCGAGGATTACATGAGCTAATAGCCTTGGTGCACAGTTTCCTGAGGCAAAGGAAACATTGAAAGACACCAAAACAGGTGCAGACAAGGAGTTCTGGAAGAAAAAAGGAGGGCGAGACTGTGGCCCATGGGGAGAAGGAGGAAGGCTTCCTGGAGGTTGAGAAGATTTGGATGCGAGGCAATGAGGATAACACATTCCCATGGAAGGAACAGAGAAATCAAGGACTCCGCAGATGAAAGAAGCCACGACAGGCTGTTCCTGATGACAGCATGCCCGGATGGCCAAGGCAATGACCTAATCATAAGAGGAATTTATACAAGGATAGCTGCTCCATTTCAAGAAAATAGAGCAGGTGTTTCAGGAGGTGGGGGGGTAGTAAAACTCCTTAGGCTGATTGCTTAGGGGTCTCTGCATGTGATAAATGCCGGGTGGTGTTATGATGGTAAGAAGATGTCAGGAATAAACCAGAGACCTCCCTGCAGATGCCATGGCCGGATGGGAAGACTGACAGTGTCTGAACGTCAGTTGGCCCCAGTGTCGTGGGATTCTCCCAAAGCCTGCCTCAAAGGGCCCGGGCACCAAGCACTTCTGTCAGCAAAACAGAGGAGGGAAAAACAATGACTCAGCAACTTTCAGAGTTTAAATTGCACCCTTTGTCTCCCACCTGCAGTTTTATTACCCATCCCACATAGTATATTTCTCCTCTTCTCACAGGCCTTTAACACACCTCATGAGACCATTTTCAAGATGGGGAAAACTGAGCTACAGTCACACAGCTTAGCTCAGTGCAGAAACCAGCAGCAGTGATCGTGGTAACAGGTCATGTTGATACTTATTGCACCCTAGCTTATCACTAGATATGTGCCAAGGGTATTAGTTCATGTCATCCTCACTTTATTATCATCTGTTTTGTAAATGAGAAAACTCAGAGAGGTTGAGGGAATTGTCCGAAGCCACACAGCCAGTTAATTGGTGGAGCAACTCTCAAACCAGCCTTTTTTGACCCAAGATACCAAGGGCAGTTTTTATCTGCTATACCCAAGTGCAAATGGGCTCAAAGGCCAGGATCTGGACTGCGGCTGCATGAGAGGGACAGTGCCCCCCGATCAGCGAAGGCTGCAGGAGTGTGTGGGGAGTCCAACATACTTCAGAGATCACCTCCCATCTTTGCAGGAGAGAGAAGTTCTCAAAGACAGGCAGGGAAGAAAGCCCCAGGGTTTAACCCTGTATCAGTCAGTCTAAAGGTGGATTTCAGAGTGGGGAGGGCCATGAGAAAAGAAGGGAAATCAAAGCAGTAAACCTTGCCCTGCACAAATGCAGGTAACCAGGAAGGCAACGAGGCCAGCAGCTGTGCAACCCTCCACTCATATTTCATAGGCGAGATGACAACAATTAGACATGTCACTCCTGAAAACCAGAAACTCAAAGCAATTTGAGATGAACTTTCAGAATGATGAAACAAATGGCCATCTTTGTGTTATACACCAAATAAATCACACCAAAATGATAGTTGTAATCCCCAAAAGTACACAGAGAATTGATTTTACTATGACACTTATCATGATGAACGGGTGCACCCTAGGACGGAGCATCTTAAGTGGCGGCTGCTTAACCCCTGTCTTCCCAGGTCTGGTCCCTTCCCTGCAGAGTCCCCCAACTGTTCTCGAGGCACCAGCACACAAAGCCTGATTGCCAGGCTGATCCCTGGCCCTGTGACATGGGGCCCACATAGGTGGGCACACCAGCAGCTTCCAAAGCATTGGGTGAGTCCAGACCAAGCTCCCACCTAAGACAGAAAGGGGGCCAGGCATGGTGGCTCAAGCCTGTAATCCCAGCACTTTGGGAGGCCAAGGCAGGCAGATCACTTGAGCTCAGGAGTTCAAGACCATACTGGCCAACATGGTGAAACCCTGTCTCTACTAAGAATATAAAATTAGCCAGGCACAGTGGCATGCACCTGTAATCCCAGCTTCTCAGGAGGCTGAGGCAGGAGAATCATTTGAACCCGAGAGGTGGAGGCTGCAGTGAGCCAAGATCATGCCAGTGCACTCCAGCCTGAGTGACAGAGCGAGACTCCATCTCAAAAAATAAAAATAAAGTAAAATAAATTTTAGAAAACAGAAAGGGGCCTCGCTGGCCAGCTGCATCTGAGTGAAGGGAGGAAAGACCTGATGTTTTCCATTAATTGCTTACTTAATCTTTTTCTTTTAACTTTTATTTTACGTTCAGGGGCACATGTCCAGGTTTGTTATATAGGTAAATTGCATGTCATAAGGGTTTGGTGTAGAGATTATTTCGTCACCCAGTTGATAAGCATAGTAGGCAATAGATAAGTTTTTCAATCCTCACCCTCCTCCCACCCTCCACCCTCAAGTGGGCCCAGGTGTCTATTGTTCCCTTCTTTGTATCTATGTGTCCTCAGTGTTTAGCTCCCACTAATGAGTGAGAACATGTGGTACTGGTTTTCTGCTCCTGCATTAGTTCACTTACGATAATAGCCTTCAGCTCCATCCATGTTGCTGCAAAGGACATGATCTAGTTCTTTTTTATGGCTTCATAGTATTCCATGGTGTATGTGCCTGCTGGGCATCATTACTTACTGCTTGTTTTCAGACGGATTCATTGAGGCTCAGAGAGGCCAAATATTACCCAGAGATTTGAATAAAAGTCTTCATGATTCCAGATGGGTTCTCTTCCCACCACATTCTGCTGCTAAGATCCTTCCCCCGACTCTGGGCTGGGATTCATTCATTCATTCATTTATTCAATCAATCATGGTCCAGCATTAGATGTCAGACACTGGGTCAAGGATGCAACAGAGAATAAGACACTATTTCTGCCTCATAGAGCTCCCCACAAGTACGGAGGGGAGGGGCAGACCATCACATAAATGAATGAAAATCACAATCCTGGTTCATTCTTCTGGGAGACATGCATGGGCTGTGACAGCATCGTAACAAGGAGCTGCTGGTTCAGGAAAAGCAGGGGAGCCTTCCCCGAGGAACTGACTGGACTGAGATCTCATGGATAACATGGTGCCAGTCAGATGAAAGGACAAGGACGCAGTGGGCACCAGGCCTGGAGGCAGCTGGCCAGGAGCAGAAAGAGGAGGTAAGGAAGGCAGGTGGCAGAGGAGGCCAAGGAGGCGAGGGGAAGGGTGGGGGGCTACCAAGCCTGCATAACAAAGGGCTTCTCTCATCGTGAAGCTATGGAAAGCCATCACCAGGATCAGGCTGGGGAGACATGAGCAGACTTATACTTCAATAGCTCACTCCAGTCCGACTCAGGGACCCTGCCAAACCTCATCAGGTCGTGGGGAGGCCGAGCTCGTTTCAGATCGGAAGCTGAGAGTGCAGAAAGCCTTGCATCCTTACAGGAATCTTTGCCTTCTGCCACCCATAGGTCAGAACAGTATGGCTTACCATGAAAGCTGCTCTAAGACAGAGAACAGAGAGTAAATAGAAGATGTTCTATAAAAGAAGCTATAAAAATCAACTCAGGACAAAATTAAAGAGAGTTAATAATAAATAAAATAGTAATAAATAAAAATAGGTGACATTTCCAAGTTATATTGTAAACAAAGTCTTTAGATCTATATTGCCATGTTCTCTATTTTGTTTTGTCAGGAGATTTTTTTGTTTAGTTGTCTAAAGTGGTTAGTCCCATCCCAGTTCTGCTTGGGCAAAAGCCTTGACTTCATAGAACTTCAGTCTTTCCTTCAACTCTAAAATATCACGATCTTCTGACACACAGAGATTCTATAAATGATGTACATGTTTATATCAGACAGTGAGTGCTTGTCAAATTCAAGCTCTGGGAATATATGATCAGCCCAACTTCAGAGAGCAAATAACAGGATAGGCCTTCTAGCCCCCATGTTGCCCAAACACAAGCTCACTGGGCTCCAGAAGCTCACTGGCTTAGAGGAGAAGACATATTTTTTAAGCAAACAGCCATAACCACTTGCCCCATGTTTGCAAAGATGAGGAGTAATGGGGCAGTGATCAGAATCTAGCCATTGTAAAATTTTAAAAGGACAAAAAGCAGGAATTAGGTAATCACTTCCCAGTAAGTTTCTTCTCTCTTGAATTTTCTAAGTTATAGGAAAACAATGAATCAAACTAGAAAGGAGAGAATTTTTTCATAATGTTGTTCTCCTGCCCAAAACACATTTAAAGGGGAACAGTGATCACAGTATAACTCAGCAAAACCTAGATACAAGCTCCTACCAGATGCCTTTAAAACAGTAATATCCAGATTTAAGTAGTAAAGGATGAGAACACATTTAAAGGGGAGAAAACATCTCGCCAATCCCCAGGGGGTTGACTTAAATTATTTTACAGTAAAGTTAATATATCCAAATACTTATCTAAGTATAAATCCATATGTTTCTAGCACTTATGCAAATATAAAATAAAAACAAACTTGCAGAATAAATGCAATTAAAACTACCAAACCTATAAAATTCAAATTAACAGTATTAGTTTACTATGATGGATCATGAAGCTTTACAGAAGCTAGGTCTCTGGTGTTGAGCTTACCAACAGAAAGATATCATTGTTCTGGTTTTCCCTCATTGTCAGCTCAATTCTTTTGACTTTAACATGATGGACCATCATTTAATCCAGAGGTCAGCAAACATTTTCTGTAAGAGCCAGACTGTAAATATTTTAGGCTTTGTAGACCATACTGTCTCTGTCACAAACTACTCAACTCTGCTGTTCCAGGATGAAATCAGCTATAGACAATACATAAACAGATGGGCCTGGCTGCATTCCAATAAAACTTTATTTACTAAAACAGGTGCCAGGCAAGATTTGACCAGAGGGCCATAGTTTGCTGACTCTAGATTCAATCCATCATCTTTATTATGTCATCATTGGGCCTTTTGCCTTTGAACAACAAATTCACTTTTAACCACTGATTTATCATTTTTATGGAACAGTTAATTCAATAATTCACTCCAAAAGTCAACCTTGAAAAATAAATTAGCAGAAAATTTTCCTTCCCTATTTACTATTCAATAATTGCTAAAGAACTTGTGTGTGTGTCAAAGAGTTACCTGCACTCCCTTGTTTATTATAGCACTATTCGCAATAGCCAAGATACAGAATCAACCCAAGTGCCCATCAATGGATGAAGAGATAGAGAAAATGTGGCATGTATACACAATGAAGTATTATTCAACCACAAAAAAAAAAAAGAAATCCTTTCATTTGCAGCAACCTGGATGGAACTGGAGGTCATTGTGTTAAGTGAAATAAGCCCGGTGGCTCACGCCTATAATCCCAGTACTTTGGCAGGCCAAAGCAGGCAGATCACTTGAGCTCAGGAGTTCGAGACCATCATGGCCAACATGGCGAAACCCCATCTCTACTAAGAATACAAAATTAGCCAGGCATGGTGGCATGTGCCTGTAATCCCTGCTACTCGGGAGGCTGAGGCAGGAGAATCACTTGAACCCGGGAGGCAGAGGCTGCAGTGAGCCAAGATCACGCCAGTGCACTCCAGCCTGAGCGACAGAATGAGATTCTGTCTCAAAAAAAAAAAAAGAAAGAAAGAAAGAAGCCAGGCACAGAAAGACAAATATCACATGTTCTCACTCATATGTGGGAGCTCAAAAAATGTGGATCTCAGGGAGGTAGAGTAGAATGGTGGTTGCCAAAGTCTGGAAAAGAAGTGGGGAGGTAGAGGACAAAGAGAAGTTGGTTCAGGGGCACAAAATACCCTTAGATAGAAGGAATAAGTTCTATTGTCCAGTATTACAGTAGGGAAATTATAATTAATGATAATTTGTTGTATATTTCAAAATAGCTAGAAGAATAGTAAGTTCTCAACACCAAGAAAAATGTTTGAAGTCATAAGCACCCCAGGTACCCCAATTTGATCATTACACATTTATACAGGAATCAAAATATCACCGGTACCCCCAAAATATGCACAACTATTACATATCAATTAAAAAATTTTAACAGAATTTGTGCAAACTGCTGTGCCTGGCATGCTGGCTCACACTTGTAATCCCAGTTTTGTGGGAGGCCAGGGCAGGAGGATCACTTGAGCTCAGGAGTTCAAGGCTAGCCTGGACAACATAGTGAGACTCTATATCTGCAAAAAAATTAAAAAATTAGCCAGGCATGGTAGTCCACACCTTGTAGTCCCAGTTACTAGGGAGGCTGAGGTGGGAGGATGGCTTGGGCCCAGGAGTTTGAGGCTGCAGTGAACCATGATCATGCCACTGCACTCCAGCCTGGGAACCTCTGGGTGACCCTGTCTCTAGAAAAAAATAAAGAATTTGTGCAAATGGATGGTTTTTTAAAAGACAGGATCTGAGCCATACACTCAGTCAGAGAGGGAGGGGTGCCTTTAGCTTCTGGGTACCTACAGTTCCCTGGAACACGTGGTGGCTCAGTTCCCTTGCTTCCTTTCTCTACTTGGACTACCTGTTGGGCAACAGGTGGTGACACCCTTTTACCCTCGTTGGACATGAGCATATTATTGAAGATGGTCAGCCTCTGCTATGTTCTCTTTATTTTACCATTTATTCATTCAAACAAGCCAATAAACCAATAATGATTCAGTACTTCCAACATGTCAGGCACTGTTCTGGGCACTTTAGATCTTCAGTGAAAAAAGACAAAAAGTCCCACTGTCACAAGTTTTATACCCAGTTAGGGAGGGTGAGAGGTGGAGCCAGACAGTAAAAATAGAAATAGTGTATTAATACATACATTGTATTTTTTTGAGACAGGGTCTCACTGTGTTGCCCAGGCTTGTCTGAACTCCTGGGCTCAAGCCATCCTCCTACCTTGGCCTCCCAAAGTGCTGGGATTACAGCTGTGAGCCAGCACACCTGACCAAATTATGTTATTTTAATGAGATCAAGTTAAAGTCTTTATTAAAGAACCTCAGAAACCACCATCTTTATCTCAGAAAATTATCTGTACTCGTGAAACATCATCCCAAAGAGAAGTGTTAAGTTTTCACCCTGGACAAGAATTCAGCAATGGTAGAGAGGGAATGCTTATTTTCTTTGGCCACTAGGACAGGTTGACCTAACAGGGGTCAGGCTTGCTCGCCAACACAGCAGACACCCCCTGCTGTCCTTTGAGGGGATCACTGAGTGCCCATGGGGTCCAAGCACAAATGCTCCAGGACTGGAGTTGGGCGACACTGGTTGGTCCATGCCTGTGACCTAGAATATGCTGCCATTGCTACTTAGATGGCCTCATCTTTGTCACAGCCCTTCACAGCATGGCCAGAGAAGACCAAAGCCAGCCTTGGAAGGCCTTGGTCAGGTCCTGGCTCTGCCAATGGTGACTCTGGACAAGTCAGCCACCTTGTTAAGAGTCTTGGTTTCCCCATATATAAATCTGGAATGACATAAATGCCTTTCCTGTCTTCCTCATAAAATTCCTAAGAGATCCAAATAAGGCACAGTGTGAAAGCACTTGAAAATTAACCTGCTGAGAGCTGGTTTGGCACCCCTAAAAAAATTAGGGTCCCTAGCAAGGGGATTTATGTTGACAAATTTAATAGCCTTGGTCCCCTCCAGACCACCTGGCCCCAGTAATTTGCACTGGGTTCCCAGTTCTAATCAGCCTTGTATCCATACAAAAGCTCTGTAAATGTAATGTGGCCATATTATTATAATTATTATTATATTATCATTACCTTTGCAATGTGTTGAAAAAACTACTGATGACCAAATCTCTAAGATGCTCACATAGTTGAATCCTCTTTACAAAAGAGAGCCCCTAATCTCTGTTCACATTCATCTTAACTTCACGAACATCATTAGTTACCAAGCCTGAAGATTTTGTTTCTCTTTTATTTTTTCCGGAAAAAATCTCTAACCTTTTCTAGAATAACAATATATATTATTCCCCATTATCTTTTGCTTTAATCAGTTTTAGGAAACTACTCCCCAGTCCTCATTTTTATTGCATTTCCTTCGGGGCTTTGGGAAAGAGAAAACAAAATAAAACTCCATGGCCCTGCAGACCATATTTCCAAAGGTCGTGAAGTTGAATATGAATGGATGAGAGAACTTCTCTCCTAAACATTCTCAAAATATGCTCCAAACAGACACACGCACTCATCCTATTCAGCAGGCAGGTGCTCAACCTCTACGGAGAGCACCGAATCAGAACACCCTGAGCAACATTCCTTCCAAAGCCCTTATTATAGATAACACTGCCCTACACACACATCACCATCAACAAGAGGCTTTACTGAATTTCTACTGAGTGACGATCACTCTACGACATACACTCTATGAACACAAACACGTAGGCGTCTCTTTATCTTTCTCTTTATCTATTTCTCCAAATGTCTCTGACCATAGACCAGTTGTTCTCAACCAAGGGCCACCCGCATCCCAGCTCATAAGCTCCTGGGGCAATAGCCTGAGGGTTTACAAAGCCCAACAATAATGTGGTTCCCAAGAGGAATAAAACATTGCCCTTCACCCTCCCCACCCCCAGCCATCAAGACACCCCACTCTCAGGAGGCAGGCACCAGCCAGACTGCCCCAAGAAAACAAGTCTCCTAAGATGACAACATTTTCAATTTGCAATTTGATTTTTTTCTTTAATATGTCTGTTGTGTGCTTTCCCCTTTGTTAAAGAGCACAAACCTTTCATTTTGCCGTTTATTTGTCTTGTGGCCGGTACAGTGAAAATGTATTGGCTTTTCAGTTAGCGATTACACATCATCACATGCCCAATTTATAACACCATGCCCCAAAGAACAGATGTAATAAAGCAAGGGCAGGAAATAGCAACCTTATAAAACAGAGCTGCCGACTCAAAGGTCTTTGCATGTGTGCAGGAAAGAAAATAGTGCCGACGCAAGGCCTGGGAACTTGTATTTTGCAAACGACTGCAGATGTTCTGGATGTGGCTCCAGTGGGTGGGTGGGACAGAGGGCAGAAAAAGCAGGAGATCCACTTTCCTGGCCCAATGACTATAGCCCTCCAGCCACAGGGCACTGCAGGGAAGGATAATTCTATCTTTGCACTTAGCCCTCCAAGAAACCCTATGTCCACCCAACCCAAAGAAAAACACTTTCAGGACCAACTTTGCAAGGTGAAGAATCCTCATGTAACAGGTCAGGCCACCTCTGCAGGCCTGTGGAGTTCTACCCAATGGTTGCAAGAGGTTCCCTAGGACTAGGGTCTTGCATAGAGCCTTCTGATGGCCACTTCCTACTGAGACCCCACTCTGTCCTTCTCAGAGACCCCAGACTGCAGGAAAGAACTACCTCAAAGACCCCAGTAAATATTGCCTTGGTTCCATGAGCATATGAACCAAAATTACATCACTTTCTTCTAATGTTACTGTTTCTCAATAAAGGCAATTAATGAAATGTAGAGCTCCATGTAACTTATTTGTACACCTGCAGTAAATCAGAAAAAGTCTTTTGTCAAAAGGAGGGGGCCTTTGTCTTTGGCTCAGACAACACAGTCCCTCCACCCAGGGCTAAAGGGCCTCCTCACCTTGACAATTCCACCAGGGGCCTCTTCCCTGCATTCACGTGGTCTCAGGCCTGCCTTCCACAGCAAGGTGTGGAATTTCATCTTCCTCTGGACCCAGGCTTATCTGGCTGAGGCATTTAGCTCTCACCCCAAAAGTCCAGGTCCCTGCCTGTAAACAGGGTGCAAGTTTTCCTGGAGACCAGGTGAGAGGAGAACACAGACAGAACGGAACCCTGCAGTGTTACCAGTGCTCCTGTCCTTCCCCTCTGTGTTGTCCCCAGAGCAACCTCCCTCACCTTCATTCCAGCCAGAGATCAAGGCAGTTTCACAATCCTTCTGCTGCCAGAAGATGTGGGGTCCCCAAGTCTTCTTTTTGTTTTTTCTTTCTTTTTTTCTTTTGGTTTTTTTTTTTTTTTTTAGAAACAGGGTCTCACTCTGTTGCCCAGGCTGGAGTGCAGTGGCCCTATCATGGCTCACTGCAGCCTCAAACTCTCGCTCAAGCCATCCTCCTGCCTCAGCCTCCTGAGTAGCCAGAACTACAGCCACGTGCCACTATGCCCAGCTATTTTTTTTTTTTATTTTTGTAGAGACAGGGTCTTGCTACATTGCCCAGGAAGGTCTCGAACTCCTGGCCTCATGCGATACTCTTGCCTTGGCTTTCCAAAGTGCTGGAAAACAGGAGTGAGCCACTGCACCTGGCCACCTGAGTCATCTTGTCTTACTCTCTGTCCCCAGCCATTCCTCGTCCCTCTACTTTCCATTTCTCAGAAGACCAGGGAAGTCCTCATGCTCGTCTCCTCTAAACCAGGCCCCCAACACCCTGCACTCAAACACCACCAGTCCTTCAATGCCCTGAACACACAACACACTCTTCCAGATGCTCAGACACTCATACAACCCACGCTCACACACACACATGCACGTACGCACTCACACACTCCCATCCACACTTGCACTCACACACGCACACATGCACGCACGTAGAGAATCCTGTTTCAACTCCTCCATCCATGCTGATCACAGAATTTGAACTCTGCACCACACTCTCCACCACCTCATCATTTTTGCCTGATAGTTTTATGTGTGTTAATCTCCTGTGTCTCCCCCAAGCTCTCCCCTAAACTCCATGAGGACAAGCCAGGAGTCTAGGCTTCCTCCATCCTTGGCTCCCCGGCATTTAGCAAAGGACTAAACCGCAGGCCAGGGATCACTGACATTTTGCGTTCACTGAGCTGAGAGAGACCCTGAAGATCACCAAGCCCCGAATTTCCTCACTCCAAACTAGACGCACTGATTGATTAATTGGTGCATTGATTGTGGCCTGGTGGATTGGCAGGATCTGAAGGCCAGAGTGTAGGACTACAGAGATTAGACATGGTTGCTGCTCTGAATTTGGCATTTCTGGGGCCCTGCTGCTGGACACCCCATGCTGGGAGGGTCACTAGGCATTGCAGTGGCCAGAACTGTATCCTGGCCTCAGACCAACCTAGGTCCCAGGCTGGCTCTGCCTCTGACTCACTCTGTGACCATCGGCAAGTTTCTCCAACCCCAGCTCTTCACTGTAAGATGGAAACATTAATAGGCTCCGTTTCACTGAGCTGCTGTGGACGCTAAGGGAGATAATATGGGCAGATCATTCAGCTCAGGGCCCATCACATAGTAAAGACCCCATACATGATCATTCTCCTCAGAGTTACAAATAAAAAGAAGAGGTAGCCAGGCACAGTGGCTCACGCCTGTAATCCCAACACTGGGAGGCTGAGGCGGGAGGATCACTGGAGGCCAGGAGTTCAAGACCAGCTTTGGCAACATGGCAGAACCCGCCTGTACAAAAAAAATTTAAAAATCAACCAGGCATGGTGCTGCATGCCTGTAGTCCACACACTCGGGAGGCTTAAGTGGGAGGATTGCTTGAGCCCAGGAGGTCGAGGTTGCAGTGAGCTGAGATCACACCACTGCACTCCAGCCTGAGTGGCAGAGCAAGACCCTGTCTCAAAATAAAATAAAATAAACATTAAAACTAAAAAATAAATAGAAATAAAAAGGTGGGGTGGTTTTGAGTTCTGGATCTGCCATCAGTTGCCTATGAATATTACTTTACCTCTAAGCTGGATCCTTTGTTTTGTTTCATTTTGTTTTGTTTTAGGATTAGTTTGTTTTCTTATTGCCAAAATGAAGATCATAAAACCTATTTCACTGGACTGTTGTGAAGGTTAAATAAAATTTCAGCTCTGCAGTACCCAGCACCTCCCACCTACCTTTAGCTAGCACCTGCAACTGGAGAGAGGAGCTGCCTCTCTAAGATCTCAAAGCATTTGTTGCTGCTCAGAGTGATTCTCAAAGCGATTCTCCCACTTTTTTTTATAAACCAGATCCCAGCTTGGCTCCGTAATTCCAGAGCTGGATTCTCATCCTATTTCACAACTTGGAAAAATTGAGCCATTATTGTCCTCACATCTCCTGAGAAAGATAGCGGGGGCTGTGCCAAGGATGACACACAGGCAGCCACAGCCGTGGGCTGAGCAGGGAAGGGGGGTTCCAATGCCCTCATCCTAAAGGGATGGGATTTTGGTTTACGGATTAAGAACCAGGGGTGTAGGCCAGGTGCAGTGGCTCACGCCTGTCATCCCAGCACTTTGGGAGGCCGAGGTGGGCAGATCACTTGAGGTCAGGAGTTCAAGACCAGCCTGGGCAACATGATGAAACCCCATCTCTACTAAAAATACAAAAATTAGCTGGGCTCAGTGGCACAGGCCTGTAATCCCAGCTGCTCAGGAGGCTGAGGCAGGAGAACCACTTGAGCCCAGGAGGCAGAGGCTGTGGTGAGCCGAGATCACGCCACTATGCTCCAGCCTGGGCGACAAAGGGAGACTCTGTCTCAGAAAAAAAAAAAAAAAAAAAAACCAGGGAGGGATGATTGAGGGAAACTTCAGAATACACTCATGGAATACCTTGAGAATCTGAATAAACAGCTTATTCATTTGTATTTTTATTTTAAAGTTTTTTTCTGATTATAAAAGTAATCATAGAAAATATAGAAAAGCAAATATATTTGTAACAACTAGGCATATATATATATATATATATATATATATGCATAACATGACTGTTAATACTTTTGCATATTTCTTTCTGGGCTGTCTTCTAGGAATATTTTAACATTGAGATCTCTGTATTAGAAATTTCACATCTGTTTTCCAGTTAGTGTTACATATTATTATACCACTCATTTCCCATCTGATTAGAAACCTCTTTAATGACATCATCTTTAATGACTCCATAAATACTCCTTCATTGGAGACCACTAATTTATTTAACCGTTCTCCCACTCTTGGCCATTTAACATGCAACCAATTTTTAACCCCAACAACCTTTGGAGCACCACGAGGTTCCGTTTGCAAATCACTGATCTGGACCTGAGGTGACCGGTCTGCAGCCCACGGCCCACATGTGTCTCCTCCCCACCGCCCCAGCTTCACAATGGGGCCATGATATAATTACAGGATGAAGAATCAGAGCTGCACCATGTTGCCTCATGGCTAACATATCCAGAATGTACATTTTAATGGCCAAAGAGCAGTGCTGTTATTCTCATGGACGTTATTCTAGTCAATAAGATAGGTGATTTAAGTTGTAGGGGAATCCGTTTTCACTAGAACTGTGTAAGATTTATTGAATGAAATATGACTCATAAATATTTTCTTTTCTTTTTTTCTTACCTTTGGTCTGGACTTAGTCCTAACTCTTTTGATGGTAAAGATCAGAAGAAACCTATTCAAACAAGCTCTGTAAAAGATAGGGTGGTTGCGGGGTATACAGAGGTCTCCAGGGAAACCAGGAAACATTGAATCAGGCCTCGAGAAGGGAGAAACCAGGGATTTGCTCACTCACTCCCTCACTCACGCATGATTTCTCTGCTCTTCTTGGGGTCCTCACTCCCTCCTCTTTCTCTCTCCTGACTGGTTTCTCTGCATCTCAGTTCCGAATATATTCAGCAAGCACATAGTCCCAAAATAGCACTCCTTGCCCCAACTTTACCTGGCCTTTCAGCACAGGCACCTAACACCAGCCAACAATTTCTTTCTGGTCCCTGGTTCAGATTTCCCAAAGAGAGGCTCTTACTGGCTTAGGTGAACGTTTTGTTCCAGTCCACATAAGGCTTTCTTGTTCTCTGGCCAGCCCACAGGCAGGCCAGTCCTGGCTCCCACACCAACACTGGGTCCAATCAGTTGTGACAAGCGAAGGCAGTGTCACATGGGTCCTGCTCACTCAGCAAAACGTGGGAGGACAGAAGATTCCCTAAAAAAGGAGTCTGGGCCAAGCAGGAGCCACTGTGTCTAATTCCTTCACCAAGAGCTATTAAGAGTGTCACTGAGTCAGTGATTGTATTTCCAGAAAGGTTCTAGAAATGCAGCCTTCAGGAATGTGCCCAAAAAACGCTGTCTGTTCCCCAACAGTCAGATGGACAAACAACATGGTTTATGGAAACCATAAGCTCTGTGTACCCTTTCTCAAGCCCCTGATTCTGGTCAGGAACTTTGAGGCTCCAGCAGGTTCTTCCAATCAGCCAGGACCTGATCTACCTGCAAGCTCATGGGAACTCCAGGAGCATCTTGGGGTTGGAGTGAAGGTGTCCTGGCAGGCATGGCTGCTGCCTCCAGGCTTCCCCAGGTCACAGTGCAGTCTTCTGGTCTGCAGGAGGCAGTGGTGGTAACTGAAAGACACTGGACCTCACACCCCAACAAAGATTTCATAAGCAAAACACAGTAAGACACTTGTCATAAGGCAAAATGTTGATACATTAAACAACACTACAATTAGAAACTTCTTATCGTAATAATATACCATCAAGAGAATGAAAAGGCAAGCCACAGAGTAGAAGATATGTGCTCTCCTCTCTCTCTCTCTCTCTCTCTATATATATATATATGCGACAAATATATTGTAACTAAAATATAGTAAGAACTTTTGAAAATAAATGTAATAAAAAGTGGACAAAAGACTTGCATGAGGGCTTGAAAAAAGAGACATTTAAATGGCTTGTAAGTGTATGAAAATATACTTAACTACAGTAGCTATTGGGGAAAGGTAAATGAATAAACAAAATGAGATACCACTATACCTCACCAGAATGGCAAAATAAAAATATCAACTGCCAATATCAACTGTTGAGGAAGAGTGAAGGTAACAGAAGCATGCTTCTGCCTGGAGGTGTAAATTGATACACCCATTTTGCAAACCTATCTGGCAGTGTCTATCAAAGCTGAACCATACATATACCTTAGGAATCAGCAATTCCATTCTTAGATATATGTCAAACAAACAGAAATGCCTGCAACATAAACAAGCATGTGTTGCAACTGGAAAACAACTCAAATGTCCATGAACAGTGGAATAAGCTGGGCACAGTGGCTCACGCCTGTAATCCCAGCACTTTGGGAGGCCGAGGTGGGCAGCTCACCTGAGGTCAGGAGTTCGAGACCAGCCTGGCCAACATGATGAAACCCCGTCTCTACTAAAAATACAAAAATTAGCCGGGCATGGTGGCAGGCACCTGTAATCCCAGCTACTCAGAGGAGGCTGAGGCAGGAGAATTGCTTGACCCCGGGAGGCAGAGGTCACAGTGAGCCAAGATCATGCCACTGCACTCCAGCTTGGGCAACAGAACAAGACTTTGTCTCAAAAAAATAAATAAATAAAAAATGACAGTGGAATGGATACATTAGAGTCTAATCATACCATGGGATATTGCACAGCAATGAGAATAAATGAATGGACTGCCGCTAAGTACAACGCCATGGATGAATCTCACAAGTGAGACATGCCAGACACAAAAAGTACACACTGAATAGTTTCATTTATGTAAAGTTCGAAAACAGGCAAAACTAATCTATGGTGTTAGGACAGAGGATTGTGGTCTTTTGGGGGTGGGGGCAGAGAGAGGGTATTCTGGGGTACTGGTAATGTTACAATTCTTGATCTTGGTGGCGGTTACATGAGTGTGTTCACTTTGTGATTATTCACCGAGCTGTACGTTTATGATTTAGGTAGTTTTCTAGATGTATATTATATATCAATTTTTAAATGTTCATTTTTTTGCAAAGGTAATTACTATACCATGTAATACATATAACTATCCCCAAACATTATTAAATTCCACGTACATGTATAACTCCTGTGGACTGGAGAGGTTAAGTGACTTCCCCAAAGTCACACAGCTTAGTTAATGGTGGACCCAGTCTCAATCCAGGTTTTAAGACTCCAAGACCAATTGTCTTTCTACTATAATGTTGCTTCCATTTATATATTAAAGCCTCACCCATAACTCCTATTCCTGGCAAGACTGATCAACTATGCCTCCACCTCACAGAAAAAAAAAATTAATATTTAAGATATTTTTTTAAGCCATGAACTAAACTTGATGTAATGAAAGCTCTCTAGTGGGCATTAGCCAAACTCAACACTCTTTTGCCTTGCATGTGTAAGTCATTCCTGCAGAAACACCTCATCAAGAAGGCACCAAACCAAGGTGCCCCCCTCCCACCAGCCTTCCCAGACAGCTGCTGCAATGCTGACCTCATGTCTGATAATATAGCCTTGGCAAGGAAGCTGTGTTGCTCTTCGCAGACCCATTGTTGCTTTAAGGATCTATTTGGTTCAACTTAAAACAAAAATAAAGAAACAACTACCAAACTGTACTAAATTAAGAGGACAGAGAGTAATCCCACTGGATTTCACTTGGACTTGATGTCCCTCTTGAGACTGTGGGTGTCTCGTGGGAAGGAAGAATAAAGAGATCTGTCCTAGGAAGAGTCTAACATCACAGAATTTTAAAGTTGAAAGGGACTTTAAAGTTCAGCTTCTAAGAGCAGAGAATAATAAAGACAATGCTAGAAAGTACCTCATAGATTCCAAAGTCTTTTTACATTTCTCCATTGATCTTCCAGGCAATCATTTCAGGTAAGATATTATACTCCTTTTAGAGGCAAGGAAATCAAAACTCAGGCAATTTGCAGAGTTACTAGTGGTGGCCTCTTATTTCTGGGCCCTGGCTGGTTGAGCTAAATTCTAAGCTCTTTCTAGCACAGCACATTATAAACCACACCCAGCTCACGGGAGACACCTGAAATTTGTCATCACTAGTTCTCAAGGAGCTTTAGAGTCAGAGACAAGTAAGATTCTAAGAAACACAACTGTTAGCTAGCCAGATTCTTGGGCTAAAGAGTTATGTTTAGCCCAGGAGTCTGGCTGGTTCCATGCTGAATGTCTGGATTTTTACAGAGATGACCATGGGTTTGTAACACACTGCACTCATAGAAAGTATCCTCCTCAAATGGATTAATGGCATTCACAGCAACCTGGATAGGATTGGAGACTATTAATCTAAGTGAAGTAACTCAGGAATGGAAAACCAAACATGGTGTGTTCTCACTCATAAGTGGGAGCTAAGCTATGAGGATGCAAAGGCCTAAGAATGAAACAATAGTCTTTGGGGACTCAGGGGGGAAAGCATGGGAAAGAGGTGAGGGGTAAAAGACTACAAATTGAGTGCTATGTACTGCTTGGGTGTTGGGTGCACCAAAATCTCACAAATCACCACTAAAGAACTTACTCATGTGACCAAATACCACCTGTTCCTCAATAACCTATGGAAATAAAAAAAAATTGTTTTAAGAAGTAAACAAAGAAGCTATTTGATTACAGTTTAAAAAAAGAAAGAAAAAAAGAAAGAATCCTCCTCAGTCAGCCCTAACTCTGCAAGGCTTAACCACTCCAAGGTGCTTACCCACTTGGGTTGTGACCCAGGTCTACATTAAAACAAAGGTACAAAGTTAGTGGTGAACAAGTGGAATCTGCATAAAGCATGCATCCCTAGCATCCTTTGTAATTTCTCTCCGTAGATGCAAGTGCTGCCCTGATAGCTGCAATTAGGTTGGTGCAAATGTAATTTGCATAAAGTAATGGCAAAAACCTCAATGACATTTGTGCCAACCTAATAAAAAAGGTCCCACCTGTTCTCTTCAGCTGACTCCTAGGAAGCCACAGAACACATCTGTGGGAAGGTGGGTGCCAGAGGAAGGGCAGTGAACACACACAGCAGCAGATCCTGGAAAGGGATGGGAACATAGTGAAACCCCATCTCTACTTAAACAAATACAAAAACTAGCCAGGTGTGGTGATGGGCTCCTGTAATTCCAGCTACTCAGGAGGCTGAGGTGGGAGAAATCACTCGAACCCAGAAGGAGGAGGTTGCAGTGAGCCGAAAGCGCACCACTGTACTCCAGCCTGGGCCACAGAATGAGACTCTGACTCAAGAGAAAAAAAAAATTGCTTTTCAACCATGAGCTTTTTTGTTCATAGCCTAGCCCCAGAAAATGACAGGGATAAAGGAGATCTCTTCTATCTACACAAATGAGGAAGGAGAACTCAGAAAGACCACTCTCCCTTATGTTAAAAATGTAGCTGCTGCAAAGAACTTCCTTTTTCAGGATTCTCTTCCTCTGCACACATATTCTAGTTTCCACCATTACAAACTCTCCTCACTGGGCAAATTGAAAATAAGTAATGGTTTCAATACTGCACTACTGCCACTACCTTAAAAAGTATGGCCACAGAGCCACTTTGGTGGGCACGGCCGGCCGGCTGGAGGCAGCTTGGAGCTAAAAGCCAAACCCCAGGTAGCCACTCACTGCCTTTTCCTCCCCAAGTTTCCTGAAGTTCTGCTGACTGCACCCTAGAGGCCCCAGCTCTTCCTGCACATGCCATGAGCTCACACACAGCCCTGGGCATGCCATGGGTTTGGCATAAAGGGCTCAGCTAAACCAGTGGAGTTGTTCTTATGGCCAGGAGGACTGGGCCCGGCTGGCTTTCAGAGAAGCCAATCCACAGAGCTTGAGTTCCAACCATTCCAAAGCCTTTCCCTATAGCAATGGGACTGTGAACAGGCGATTCCCCTGCCTGCTGCTCCCTCTGCAATCAAAAGGAAGAAAAATATCTGGGCCTGGAAAAGTGATTGCCATAGGCTACAGCCCAGCACAAAACAGCAGACACCCAGACATCCATCAAGTGCAAGTATTGACATTTATTGACTGCAGACAGAGGCTACACTACGAGCTCGGAGGGTTACTGAGGATCAGCCTCAAAGGAAGCCCCAGAAATACCACATTACCTTTGCAGAACATTCTGCAAATCCTAGTCCCTCTGCAAGAGGGTTGGCCTGAACAGCACAACTATACCAGACACAACAGAATCACATCAGCCAAGACATAAATACATACCATTATCAAAGAAGGGTCCCTTCGCACAGTGGTTCTCAACCAGGGAAGTAACTCCCACTCACAGGGCATCTGGAAATTCAGGGAGTGAGGTTTGTGTTGTCAGAGGACCTGAGAGATGCTACTCGGGGGCAGGAACCCAGGATGCTAAGCTTCCAGCGATATAGGAGATCACCTGCATAAAGAACTGTCCTGCCATAAATGCCACTAGTGTCCTTGGTGAAGAAAACAGTATACCTACCATCCCTCAACCTTAATTCTCAGCCTGATTTTGTCTTGTCACCCTTGAATCAATTTCACATTCTCAAGCAACGCCCTGCAGTCTGGGGGACTCCTTAGCATACATGAGAGGGCACTGTGCTAGTCGGTATAGATGCCGTGGGACACAGTGGTTATAAGCATGGATTCTGGATAGCTTTCCAAGGTTAAAACCCTGTATGTGTGGATGATAATTTTCTCTTCCCTCATAGATTCATAATGAGGATTCAACGAGATAATGGGCCTGCAGGGCCGTGCTCAGTAAGTATAGTGATTTTTTTCTATTTGAGAAATTTTTGTCCAGGAATCTGGATTTAGATTTTTCAGTAGCAAACACAATGTGGTAAACTGAAATGAAGACTGGGATTTAGAAAATTGAACTTCAAACCCCAGATCTACTTGTTTTACCCATGAAATCACAGGTCAATCAGCTGACGTCTCTGAGCCCCATCTTCTCACATTTGAAATGTTCAGAATAACAATAAAGCCTTCACAGGGAGATTATGGGAATTAACCGAAAGGAGGAAGTGAAAGTGACCTGACTGCTACAGTGAGTGTCAAGCACCCATCACATGTTCTATGTGGAACCACCTAAAACAAGAGCATCACATAGTGTGTGTTTCCTCCTTCACTTAGGATGGCATCACTTCCTCTGAGATTAAAACTTATCAACACGATGACATATAGAAAAATGTCCAACCTCACTAATAAAAAAAGATGTATATTAAAATATCAGGAGATCATTTTCACACAACAGTGGCGAAGATTCAAAAGGCAGATGATAATCAGTATTGGTGAGGGAAACAAGCTTCTTTATATACACTGTGGGTGGGAATATTAATTGATACAATATTTCAAAAGACAATATCGCAAGATACACCAAAAATATGTGCGTGTGTGTTTGCATACATATATATGAAGGAAATAATTAGTGCTCACAAAAAACTGTATAAAATGCTTATTGCAGCATTCTTTACAATGGATGAAAATTAGAAACAGCTTAAGTCAGCTGGCATGGTGGCTCATGTCTGTAATCCAGCACTTTGGGAGGCCAAGGCAGGTGGATAACTTGAGGTCAGGAGTTCAAGACCAGCCTGGCCAGCATGGTGAAACCCTGTCTCTACTAAACATTTTTAAAAAATTAACCAGGCGTGGTGGCCAACACCTGTAATCCCAGTTACTCAAGAGGCTGAGACAGGAGAATAGCTTGAACCCGGGAGGCAGATGTTGCAGTGAGCCGAGACTGTGCCATTGCACTCCAGCCTGGGCAACAAAGCGAGACTCCCTCTCAAAAAAAATGATAATAGACTAAATGTTCTTTAATTAAGGATTGGGTCATTAAATAATGCCACATCCATACAACAGAATATATGCAAGTCATTACAAAACATAAGATAGAGCTACACATAGTCTCATGGAAAGATGTTTGAATTAAATTATCTTTAATGTAATGGTACATAACAAATTACTGGAGAGTATATGGGATGATCCCACTGTTGCAAGAACAAATACAAATATTTTATAGAAATATTACAAGGCCCTTAAGCACCAGTGGTAATCTCTGGAGAAGAGACCAGGGGTTGGGGGAAGAAAAGATTTTCAATTTATATTTAGGGGTACATTACAGTTACAGGTACATTATGGCTGAATGCCAAATGGCCAAGTGTTAAAGTTCAGCTGAAGAGGAGGCCAAAGCCTGTGCATAATTTTAAATACAAATTTTATTATTACAATTTTGAATTAGAGCTATAGTAAAGTTTTAAGGGCTGACATAGGGTGCAGAAACAGTTTTCTTGGGCCGCCAGCTTGAAGGGATAATCCAAGGCCCTTCCTGTGCCCATTTGAGTGACTGAGGGTTGATCACTTCCACCCATGTGGGTGAGGAGCAAGATGTTTGGAGGGAAGTCCCATTTTTCTCTAACAGCGTCTCTTTTCTTCATTTTTATATTCTCTTTTATGTCTGGATCAAGGATCATGTATCATGGATGCTGTATGCGATTTTGGAATGTTTCCTCTTTTTGAAATTTTAAGGCGGCAAAGTTGACATTCTGTCTTTTATTCATCCTCACAAGATGTGAAAGATTTTCAAATGAGACTTTTTCTTGAAAGATTTCTGGCCTCGAGGGAATTAAATATTTAAAAATGAAAAACAGCTCTGAAAGGTTGTTTTATTTAATGTCATGCATGTTGCTACAACAAATAATTCTGTAAAAATGAGATTTAATGACATCAGCTAATCAACTTTAATAAAAAGTTATTAAAAGTTATTTTTTAGGATTTTATAATAGTTTTGGCTCCCAAATAGGATACAAGGATATGTTTTCCCTAAAGTTGTCTAGCTAGCATTACTCCCCTATGACTCTAATTAAGTGCTGACTCTTCCCGTATTTATGTAACTATTTGAAAGTTCATCATAATTCCTGTACGTAAAAGTAACAACACTCACTTTCACAGTTATTGCAGCTCTTTAGTCTTGCAATGATTATAAATGCACATTTTAACTTCAACCGACTGATGGAATTTGATGGAATTTACAGCACAAAAGAGATTCCCACTCCAAGTTACACCTAGAGGATGTGCCTCTATTTCAGAATGAATGTTTTGCTATTAATAAATCTCAGTGCCATACCTTGTTCATATCACTGCTATGGTTATGATCATTAGATTCAATGCAATCACATACAAGTTCAGGGATGCAAGAAATGACATTGAAGTTGCCATCAACTATACAGCCTTCTGCAGGCCAACTCCAGAGCTGAAGCCAAATAGCAGATTTGAGACAAGTAGCAAGGCCAAGGCAGACTTTTCATGCATCCCTAACTTATTCTTGCCTATATTTTTTTTTACAAGAAGCATGTATTTTCATTATATCAAAAGGATACCTGCACTTGTGTGTTTATCACAGCACTATTCATAATAGCAAAGAAACGGAGTCAACCTAAGTGTCCATCAATGGAAAATTGGATAAAGAAAATGTGGTCTATGCACACCATGGAATACTATTCAGCCATAAAAAATACTATTCAGCCATACTATTTGCAGCAACTTGGATGGAACTGAAGACCATTATCTTAAGTGAAACAACTTAAACAAAGGCAAATACTGCCTGTTCTCACTTAATAAGTGAGCTAAATAATGTGTACACATGGAAGCAGAGTGTGGAATGATGGACAATGGGGACTTCAAGGGGTGGGAGAGGGTGGATGATGGGAGGTTGCTTGGTGGGTACACTGTGCATTGCTCCAGTGACGGATGCACTGAAGGCCCTGACTTCACCACAGTGCAATACATCAAGGTAGCACAATTGCACCTGCACCCCATGAATATATACGAATACAAATAAATAAAAGATGTATTTAATGATTTTAAACATATTTTTATTAAAATCACATACACACTAGTACCCTACCCCTGAAAAAAAAAATATGGTGGAAACATTAAATTGGACCTCTATATTATTCCCAACCTTTTTGAAAAATTGTTGTTATTTGATCACTATTTGAGTGTGAATCACACATTCTCAGAGCTTGTAGTCGCTACAGTAATCAACATGACCCTCCGCACTTCCCACTCAGATCATCACAGACTTAGCTGTCTCTCTGACGTCAGTCTCCCCTCACTGCAAACCACGCTTCAACACACTGCCAAAGGCAGCTGGCTCCAACACAGACCTTGCTATGTCCAGCCCCCAACACAGAAATGACTATGTCCAGCCCCTGGACAAAACTTTCAATGCTTTATTTTCACTGACAGGATAAAGCCTAACTCCTTGGGGTAACATTTAATGTCTTCCAAAATATGGCTTTGCCCTGCCTTTTCCATCTTATCCCCAGCCACCCTCCCTTGCAAACCAAGCTACTGGCATGCTGAACTCTGCTCATCCTGTTCCCTTCCCTAGAACTACTGGTCCCGGTAAACTTGTACTCATCCTTCAAGATCCAACATCAACATCACTGCCTCCGTGATGTCCTCTTCTACCATGCCACAGTGGAATTATCTCTCCTTGCCAGTATAGACAGAGTGGACCCCTCACTAATCTGCAAATTCCCAAGAACAGGGACCTCATTGTTGTCACTTTAATCTCCAGCCCCCTGCACAGTTCTAGCAAATACCTCCTTTGAGCCAATAGAAGGACCCCAACCAATTTTGAAAGAAAGAGTGAATGAGTACGTATCATTAGTCCCAAATTTTTGTGTAAATTTTTTTAAATTTTTTGATACATGTTCTCACTCTGTCACCCAAGCTAGAGTGCAGTGGCACAATCGTAGCTCACTGCAGCCTCCAACTCCTAGGCTCAAACAATCCTCCTGCCTCAACCTCCTGAGTAGCTGGGACCACAGGTGTGCTCCACCAAACCTGGCTAATTATTTTTATTTTTGTTAGAGATGGGGTCTTGATATGTTGCCCAGGCTGGTCTCAAACTCCTGAGCTCAAGCGATCCTCCCGCCTTAGCTTCCCAAAAGTGCTAGGATTACAGGTGTGAGCCACCTTGATATTACTAGGAATGTTCTGACTAGACTGCAAAGCTAGAGTTAAAATCACTGCACCACTGGTCTTCAAGCCTCACTCTCCAGAGACCTCGGGTTCACAGTAGAGACGGACGACCACTCTGTTGTCAGGAGGAGTGGTCCCTGCACTCATCCATGTCACGTAGAGCAGATCTTTCCTGTTCCTTCATCCGGGTTCTGTGGGACAGTGTGTTCGTAAGACAGGGGGATGTTTATGCTGCCAGAAAGAGTCTGAAAACCACTGTATCACAGCAAGAGGCCCACTTATGGTGGGCAGGCTTCCTCTCAGAGGGCCACCCATCAAGTGAGAATGTCACTGAAATAAGTGTCGGCTCCAGAGTGAAATCAGAGCTCCCTCTGAAACCAACTGCATATCCCTGGGCAAGCCATGCCTCAGTTTCCCCACCTGCAAAGCAAGGCTACTGATGCCTGTCCTCTGTGTCTGACTTGGGGTGGGGTGGGAGTGAAGGGAGTTGAGGCATAACAAATATAAAATGTGTAAAGTGCATCAATCTTACATTTACAGAGTGATGTTTTTTCTTATGTGTACCCTGTGTCCCCGCCATGCAAACCAAGATATAGAGCCATTTACAGTACTGCAGAACTCCTTCGAGTCTCCTCTCACTTACACCCCCCACCACCCAGTGGCAAACACTCTTCTGACTTCTTCCCCCATAGATTTGTTTTGCCTATCTTTATTTAGACTTCAGATAAGTTGAGTCCCAGGGTATATATTCTTTCGTATCGGACTTCTTTCATTTAACATAATATCTGAAGTTTCATCCGTGCTGCCGTGTATTTATTTGGGTGCTGAAATATCCAAATAAAATACCAAACAGGCCGGGCGCAGTGGCTCACGTCTGTAATCCCAGCACTTTGGGAGGCCGAGGCTGGCGGATCACTTGAGGTCAGGAGCTCGAAACCAGCCTGGCCAAACCCTGTCTCTACTAAAAATACAAAAAATTAGCCCACGTGGTGGCACACACCTGTGATCCCAGCTACTCAGGAGGCTGAGGCAGGAGAATCCCTTGAACCTGGAAAGTAGAGGTTACAGTGAGCCAAGATTGCACCACTGCACTCCAGCCTGGATGACAGAGACTCCGTCTCAAAAAAATAAAATAAAATAGCAAATGAGGAAATTATTTAGAATGCATAAAATACAAAAATAGGCAAGACACAGTATTACTAGCTGAATCTCAGACTGTCTATAGACTGTAAGCTCCTTGAAAGTAAAAACAATGCCTATAATTCAGTTTTGTATTTCCAACCTTTAAAATTATCCCTAGCTCATAATAGGGGCTCAACAAATGTTGGTGGGATTGAACAGTATTATTACTGCATAGATAATAATCTGGCCTTTTTTATCCTGCCTTTTTTTTTTTTTTGAGACGGAGTCTGGCTCTTGTTGCCTAGGCTAGAGTACAATGGCACCATCTCAGCTCACCGCAACTTCCGCCTCCTGGGTTCAAGCTATTCTCCTGCCTCAGCCTCCTGAGTAGCTAGGATTACAGGCATGTACCACCAAGCCCAGTTAATTTTGTATTTTTAGTAGAGACAGGGTTTCTCCATGTTGGTCAGGCTGATCTCAAACTCCCGACCTCAGGTGATCTGTTCCCTTGGCCTCCCAAAGTGCTGGGATTACAGGCATGAGCTACCGCGCCCAGCCAATCCTGCCTTCTTTTTTTAACCCGAAGCCCAATGGGCCTCTCCCTACCTCTTCAACCCACACCCGCCCTGCTGAACTCTGTTCTTTGTCTTTCCTTTCTGGGCTGTACCCACATGGTCTGTCCTTGTTTGAGGCTGCGTTGTCTCCTTCTCTGGACACTGGAATGACTCACAGGCTGGAGGGGAGGGAACTGAGAGGGGGCAGGGCTGACTGGCTCAAAGACCCCGACAGAAAACTGTCAGGGAAGGGTCCTTCCCAGGGAGGGAAGGAGCTCCAAGCAGCACGCGTGGCCCCGGGGGTCAGAGAGGAAACAGAGGCGTGTCCAACAGGGCCCCTGGCCTGGGCTCCAGACCCGGGAGCCCCCTGGTCTTAGTCTGAGGCCCGTGACCTTCTCTGGGTGATGTGCACCTTAGCCAAGTTTACAGCTCACCCCAGCTGTCGGAGCACACTGTCACTCCAGCTGTTACTGAGCAATGGATTCCTGTTGCCAAGATATGGATTTGGTTTTAATAACAGTTAGTGCAAACACTGTAAATTTACTGCTGCAAGAGAGAGTTTTTGAAAACGTCCACTCTGGCTATAATTTTTCAGCCGCGCCAGCTGTTTGTGCTCAGCTCATACCTGACATGGTGCTTTGAAATAGCAATCACTGTATTTATAAGAAGGCAAGGACTCATAAATATGTCACAAGTGGAATATACAACGCCATATTTCACCATTTTCTCTTTTAAAATTGTGAGTTATGGCTGCAGAAATGCACGCCCATTAAAGGTGATATGATGTATTTTCTGCCTTGTTCAGGAGTCCATCCATCATCAAGACAATAAAGAAAACCGCACTTACTTTTTTCCTGTCGTCTGTAATTTATGATCTCCAAAAAGCTGTAACCTTTTGGCAGGCTTTGCAGAAACCACTGCACTGTTAGCAACTAAATAACCTTTTATAAGGTTTTAAATGTGTTGCTACAGTCTCAATGCACTTGCTGTATTGATCCAGAAGATCTTGGGGGGGAAAAGAAGGTAGGGGGAGGAATGGAAGAAGGTGATCTATAACAAGATCGATAACAGCATATAGATTGTTGAAAGATGCTTCTAATGATTTTTGCCAGCCATCATCTTTCAGCACGCCACTCCCTATCTCTTAGGCTTTGGTCTTGTCTCAGAATTGACTGACCTTGCCTCCCAGCTGCCTCCCTCTCTCCCTCCCTCCCATCCAGCAGCCAGACAGGGAGAAGAAAGAAGAACATATTGGCCACCACAGGCTATTTGCAGAAAAGCTCTGAGAATCACAGGGCTGAAAGGTACCTTCAAGTCTATCTCAGGATACAGATATGGAAACCGAGGCCCAGCGAGCGGCTGTGACTTGCCCAAGGTCGAATGAACCCGGATTTGGATGCTGGATTCAGTCTACTCTTTTCCAACCCTATCACCCCACCTCTCATGTTTGCCCCAGAGAAAGAGGGAGTGGAGGGAGCAGGTGAATGCATTTCTGATGAGCTTTGCAGACCTAATAAATCTGCCTGGCAACAAGGTGTGGTAGAAAGATAATGAGCCTGGAAATCACATAGACCCAGGCTGGATCTCACCCCCACCCTCACTCCCTTGGGCAGGTAACTGACTTCTCTTGGTCTCTGCTCCTCCACCTGTATGAGGGCAATCATAATTTACCTTGTAAGATGATGGAGAAGATTAGATCTTGTGTCTGGGAGACACTGAGATCAAAGACTGGTGTGCACATAGCAGGTGAACACGAGAAGTGACTGGCTATGGTGCAGCTCATCCAGCTCCTCCCATATCCACCATTTTCTGGGCTCCCTCCTCTTCCTTTGTCCTGCCTTATCCTCCAGGTCAATGGCCATAGAAACTTCCAGGGAAGAGCCAGCAATGGAGGAAAGTAGGATAATCTTTAACCACAAAATCTTTAGCACAGGGCCATTTCCCTGATTGTTGCAGAGGAAAGCACTTGGAGTGAATAGGTTGTCTAAGCCTAAGCTGGGCCAAGCTCACACAGCACGGGGACCAGGCCTGCACAGTTCCCTTTAGAGATGCCCACAGGAAGCTGCATGCATGAGCTTTTTTTTTTTTTTTTTTTTTGACTAAGTCTCCTCTGTCGCCCAGGCTGAAGTGTAATGGCATGATCTTGGCTCACTGCTGCAACCTCCTCCTCCTGGGTTCAAGCGATTCTCCTGCCTCAGCCTCCCAAGTAGCTAGGACTACAGGCGTGTGCCACCACGCCCGGCTAATTTTTTTGTATTTTTAGTAGAGACGGGTTTTCACCATGTTAACCAGGATGGTCTTGATCTCCTGACCTCATGATCCACCCGCCTCGGCCTCCCAAAGCGCTGGGATTACAGGCATGAGCCACTGTGCCCGGCCGCATGAGCTTTTAACACTACCTTCTTGGCAGTGATAATTTGCAGGTTAAAAAATATATATATGGGGGTGGTGGGGAAGGGGAGGGAGAGCATTAGGACCAATACCTAATGCATATGGGCTTAAAACCTAGATGACGGGTTGATAGGTGCAGCAAACCATCATGGGACATGTATACCTACGTAACAAACCGGCACGTTCTGCACATGTATCCCAGAAATTAAAGTGAAATTGAAAAAAAAAAAATGGGCCTGGCATGGTGGCTCAAGCCTGTAATTTCAGCACTTTGGGAGGCCGAGACAGGTAGATCACTTCAGGTCAGGAGTTCAAGACCAGCCTGGCCAACATGGTGAAACCTTGTCTCTACTAAAAATACAAAAAAAAACAAAAACAAAATAGCCAGGTGTGGTGGTACAGGCCCAGAGTCCCAGCTACTCAGGAGGCAGAGGCAGGAGAATCACTTGAACCCAGGAGACAGAGGCTGCGATGAGCCAAGATCACACCACTGCACTCCAGCCTAGGTGATAGAGCAAAACTCTGTCTCGAAAAAGAAAAAATGTCTGGGCCTGGGCACAGTGACTCATGCCTGGAATCCCAGCACTTGGGAGGCCAAGATAAGAAGATCTCTTGAGCCCAGTAGTTCAAGACCAGCCTGGGCAACATAGTGAGGCTCAGTTTCTACAAAAAAGTATATATTTAGGAGTTAGCCAGGCGTGGTGGTGCGCACCTGTAGTCCCAGCTAATCAGGAGACTAAGACGGGAGGATGGCTTGAGCCCAGGAGTTCAAGGCTGCTGTGAGCTATGATCACACCACTGCACTCTAGCCTGGGAAACAGAGAGACCCTGTCTCAAAAAAATTTGTTTTAAAATGTCCTGTAATTCAACCAGACTGCAGTACAGTGGATGTGTCTCGGCATATCCATGATCAGGGAACCATCCCACAAGACAGCCCTCCTTTCTCAAAATCCTGGTGCTTTTCGCCCCAGGAACCTGCTGCCCTGGAACATGGATCCACAAACTGCAGTCTGCAGGATAAATCCAACCAGAGCCTGTTTATATAAAGAAAGTTTCGTTAAAACACAGAAGTTCCATTCCTTGATGCATTGTGCATGGCTGCTTTCGAAATACAACAGCAGAGTAGAGTCGTTAAAACAGAAATCAGAAGGCACACCACACCTAAAATATATACTCACTTGCCTTTTGTGAGAAAATTTGTAAACCCCTGTTCTGGACTCTATCCAGCAATGCTGCATGACAGGGGAGGCTTTTTAGTAAAAAGCAATCAATAAGTAGTATGCATATGGCGATGTATTGTTTACCAAGTGTGCTCATGAATGGGATCCCAGCAATCCTGTGAGATGGAGATTCTCATTATTCCTGTATTACAGAAGAGCATACTGAGAATCAGAGAAGCAAAATAATTTACCCAAGGTCACACAGAGAGTCAGAGGTGGAGCTAGGGGTTGAGGCCAGGCCAGGTGATCTAAGAGCCTAAGCATCCCTACTATTCCACCCTGAAGTGGAGAAGCCCTGGGCTGACTCCAGTGCTACTACCCAACAGCTGGTGACCTTGGGAAGGTCACTTAACCTCTCTGGACCCTAGTGTCTTCAAATCCAAAATAAGGAGTCACAAAGCTGAGCGCAGTGGCTCACACCTGTAATCCCACACTTTGGGAGGCCGAGGCAGGAGGATCGTTTGAGGTCAGGAGTTTGAGACCAGCCTGGGCAAAAGAGCAAGATCCCATCTCTACAAAAAAATAAAATAAAAAATCAGCCAAGTGTCGTGGCACATGCCTGTAGTTTCAGCTCCTCACAAGGCTGAGGCAAGAGGATCCCCTGAGCCCAGGAGTTCGAGTCTTCAGTGAGCTATGATTGCACTACTGGACTCCAGCCTAGGCAACAGAGTCAAACCCTGTCTCTAAAAAAGAAACAACAACAACCACCAAAAAAAATGAAGAGTTGTTCATTGGCGAGCCACTAAAACACTCATTTTGATAGATGCTAAGGGACTCTCCAAGCAAAACCCACAATGCAAACAGCGTGTGAAACATCTCCTGAGGCAAAAACCCAGTTTCCCTTGCCTGATCCGACGCCTCCTCCACCCACAGACGGATCACAGAAGAAGCTCCCGGGCAGGCCTGTGGATGTGAAGGAAGGGGGTCAGGAGAGGCCTGCTTCGAGGACTGGCCCTCCTAAAGCCCCTCAAGTGCTCCTGGACCCCAAAAAAGCCCCATCAGAGGGTAGAAACATTATCAGCAGGCAGGAGAGGTTGCTGAACACACAAAGACACCTCCCACCCCACACCAACCTCACCGCCGCTCCCTGGTCATGCGGCCTCCGGAGAGAGCAGTCTGCGTTGCCAGAAAGCCCCCGCTGCCTCAGTGGTGCTAGGCTGCCTCACACCTGTTGCGGAGGTTGAGGCAGGGGCAGGTGAAAGCAGGAGGGAGAATGCTCATCCCTTTGTCATAGGAACTGCCATCTCTCTGTGTCGACGTCGCTGTCTTCTTTCTCTCTTTTCGTACGCTCTCCCAGAGCACCCCCCAAATCATTATTAACATGATCAATAAAAATGAGAAACAAGTTATTAAATATAAAATATGCAAAGTTCCTCCCAGAACTCACTGGGCAGTTCATAAATGTGGCAGCTTAATGTTGCTGCTGATGCAGGCAGCTGATGGAGCCTCACCGGCTCCTGGCTAATTGAAGCTGTTAACGAAGTGGAAGAGAGAGGTGATTACGGGTGGCTTCTTCCCACCTGTGGGAGGATCAGAAGAGCAGCCCTCGACTAAGACCCACGACAGAGTCCATGGTCCTCGTTGTGTACCTGCAGCCACCGACACCAGGGCCAAGGGCCTGGAAATTCCCAACCTACTCAGATCTCAGAGTCTCCACCTGGAGCCCACTTTACGATCCAACAGGGTCCTCACCTCTCATCTCGAGAGAAGCATTTTCTTCTTTTCTTTTTTTTTTTTTTAAGAGATGGGGTCTTGCTCTGTCGCCCTGGAGTGCAGTGGCATGATGAGAGCTCACTGCAGCCTCGAACTCCTGGGCCCAAGGGAATCTCCCCGCCTCAGCCTCCCCCATAGCTGGGACTATAGGCGTGCACCACCACACCTGGCTAATTTTTGTATTTTCCGTACAGACAGATTTCACCATGTTACCCAGGCTGATCTCAAACACCTGAGCTCAAGCCATCTGCCCGCCTTAGCCTTCCAAGTCAGGGTTTCACCATGTTATCCAGGCTGGACTCAGGCTCCTGAGCTCAAGTCATCTGCCCACCTTCCAAATAGCTGGGACTACAGGTGCACACCACCATGTCAGGCTAATATTTTAATTTTTTTTTTATGGAGATAGGGGTCTCATTATGTTGCCCAGGCTGGTCTCAAATTCCTGGCCCCAAGCGGTCCTTCTGCCTTGGCCTCCCAAAGTGCTGACGTTACAGGCCTGAGCCACTGCATTCGGCCTAAGAAATGCATTTTCACCCAGAGATTGGGGCAGGGTCCAGAAACAGTTGGTTTTAGGGTAACTGAAGGGATTCTGACTCACATAAGCTTTTGTCCTCAAAACCCATGCCAGGTAGAAACAACCCATCTGTCTGCCAACAGATGAATGGATAACACATTGTGGCATACACTTATGCTGGTGTTCAGGCATAGAAGGAATAAAGCGTCGATGCCACACACAGAGGGGCCTTAAAAACATGATGCCAAGTGGAAGAAGCCAGGGACAGGAGGCATATGATTCCGTTTTCCTGAAATATCCAGAATAGGTCAATCCATAGAGCCAGAAAGTGGACTCACAGGGAAGAACTGCTTAACGCCTGCAGGGTTTTGTTTTGGGGTGAGGAAAGGGTTTTGCAGCTAGACAGAAGTGGAGTTGCACCACATTGTGAGTGACTGAATGTGGATGAATTGTTCACTTTAAAAGGCTTAATTTTATATGAATTTCACCTCCATTTTTAAAACGGGGGGAAAAACACAAAACCCAGGCTGCTTGACCTCCCCACGTCCTATGAAGCTGTGCTCCTTTTTGTGGGCTTCTGATTTTTCCCTCAGGAAACTCGATCAAGATCTAGCTCTGTCACCCAGTTCCTTGCATGGAAGGGGGTGACCCGGTGCCTCTGGCTTCCCCCTCTTCAACCCATCCAAGCATCAGAAAGACCTGCCAGCCATTTCCCCCAGTCAGGGGGCGTAGAGGAGGAGCAAGGGAGCCTTTGGGAGGCAGAGCTCAGTACAGAAGAATGAACAGGAGCTTCAAGACCAAAGAAGCCAGTGCCGCCACTCCACTGTGGTGAAGGGTGAGCAGAAGGCAGGTGGAAGGGAGCATTATTGCAGTTCTGCTTTGCCTGGGTTTAGCTGTGCGATCTTGAATAAGACTCTTGAATTCTCTGATCCTCAGTTTCCTCATCTATAAAACAGGGATGTAGATATCAGCCTCGCCCTCTTCATGGATTTATTTTAAGCATCAAATGAAATCCTTTGTATATCTGTTATTGATAACTCTTCTAAAAGCAGTGTATTAACCAACAAGCGTTTATTAAGGAACGGCTAAATTCCTAGCAGAGGTTCAGGAATGCACAGGAAGCAGGAGTTGGGAGCCAGGTGGAGGGGATGGAGAGTAGCTATGAGGGACAATCCCTGCCTTCTTTATAGGAAGGCAAAACTAATAGAAACAAAACTACTAGGAAGCAAAGAACAGTGATCTACGATCAGTCCTGTGTATTGACACGGGAAAGATCAAGGGTTCTGAACACTGAGAATCCAGGAACCGATGTTCTAGCCACACTACTGCCAATGCTGTAAGCTACTTGGGAGTCATTTGAATATTTTGGTGTTAGATTCCTTGTTTTCCAGGTGAAAGAGTTCAATTAAAAGTCCTCGGCCGGGCACGGTGGCTCATGCCTGTAATCCCAGCACTTTGGGAGGCTGAAGCGGGTGGATCATGAGGTCAGGAGATCGAGACCACCCTGGCCAACGTGGTGAAACCTCATCTCTACTAAAATACAAAAAATTATCCCGGCGTGGTGGCAGGTGCCTGTAGTCCCAGATACTCAGGAGGCTGAGGCAGGGGAATCACTTGAACCTGGGAGGTGGAGGTTTCAGTGAGCTGAGATTGTGCCACTGCACTCCAGCCTGGCGACAGAGCAAGATTCCATCTCAAAAAAAAAAAAATCCTCAGTGCGGTGGCTCACGCAACGCCTGTAATCCCAGCACTTTGGGAGGCTGAGGTGGCTGGCTGGACCTCTTGAGGTCAGGAGTTCAAGACCAGCCTGGCCAACATGGTGAAACCCCATCTCCATTAAAAATACAAAATAATCGGGCGTGGTGGCATGCACCTGTGATCCCAGCTACTTGGGAGGCTGAGGCAGGAGAACTGCTTGAACCCAGGAGGTGGAGGTTGCAGTGAGCTGAGATTGCACCACTGCACTCCAGCCTGGGTGACAGAGCAAGACTCTGTCTCAAAAAAAAAAAAAAAAGTCCTCAAAGACTCTTTCTAGCTTTAGGAATCGGATACTTAGCCAAATTAAAAGGCAAAAGATAAACCAGGAAATACACTTTTAATAAATAAGCCAAAAGATAACTGTTTTTGATATGTAAAGAAGTCAATAGGGGTGGGGCACAGTGGCTCATGCCTATAATTCCAGCACTTTGGGAGGCTGAGACGGGCGGATCTCTTGAGATCAGGAGTTTCAGACCAGCCTGGCCAACATGGTGAAACCCCGTCTCTACTAAAAAAAAATACAAAAATTAGCCGGGCGTAGTGGCACATGCCTGTAATCCAGCTACTTGGGAGGCTGAGGCAGGAGAATCGCTTGAACCTGGGAGGTAGAGGTTGCAGTGAGTCAAGATCGTGACACTGCACTCCAGCCTCGGTGACAGAGTGAGACTCCATCTCAAATAAGTAAATAAATAAATAAATAAATAATAAGATAAAATTAAATAAATGAATAAATATTTGTTGAATAAAGGGTAAGAATTGAGAGATCGTAGGTCTGGAAAAAATTGGACAAGAGGCGATAGAAAGTGAGGTTGGCCTTGAAGGACGGGCAGCAATGGATATTTATAAATTTATTCATCTACTCAGTGAACCTGCTAGGTCTGCGCACTGCACTGGACACAGAGCTAACTATGACACTGTGCCTCGCTGGGAGGAATCGCAGGTTAGAGATAGAGGTAGACACATGCAAAAAGATAGGAATAAAATAATGAAGCTAGAACAGGGAACACCAAAGAAGAAACTGTCCATCCTGCTGGCACAGAGGGCAGCAAGAGCAGTTGTGGAGAGGGACAGGCCATGAGGACAGTGCTGGAGGGAGAGGGAGGACGGGAGAAGGTGTCCTGCAGCATGCATCACAACTCCATCACCCAGTGACCATCCCCAACTTCCACACAAAGTTCACAGGCAGGGAAACCAAGGACCTGGAAACAGGAACACCTCCTCGGGAGGGCAAATCCACACGCCTGCAGCCTGGGTTGGTGTCCCAGCGGGCTATCCCTGTGTAGCAGTCCATTCTTGCATTGCTATAAAGAAATACCTGAGACTGGGTAATTTATAAAGAGATGTAATGAGCTCACGGTTCTGCAGGCTGTACAGGAAGCATGGTGCTGGCATCTGCTCAGCTTCTGGGGGACCTGGGGAAGCTTCCAATCATGGGGGAAGGTAAAAGGGAAGCAGTCATGTCACACAGCCAGAGCAGGGGCAAGAGAGAGAGGAGGGGACGCCACACCCTTTTAAACAACCAGATCTCATGAGAACTCACTATCACAAAAACAGCACCAAGGGGACAGTGCTAAATCATTCATGAAGGATCCACCCCTATGATCCAATCACCTCCCATCAGGCCCCACCTCCAACATTGAAGATTACAATTCAACATGAGATTTGGTGGGGACACGGATCCAAACCTATCACCCTATGGCCAATGCCTTGGGCCTCAATATCCAAGTCTGCAGGAATCATGTGTCCAACTCAAACTGGGAAATGATTTTCACCTTGAGAAGAGGTGGTCCTTAAACTGGGGACCCAATAATCATGCTGTCTGCATCACAGTGCCGTCACCCCGTGGCAATGAAGGGAGAGTGGAAGGCAGGTGGAAAGGGGAGTTTCTCCCCATGTTTGGCTCCCTGACTTTAAAATGAGGTGACCTTACCTGGAGAGTTGGTGGGACTTCTCCCAAGGAGTTCCCTGAAAGCATGTCTTCTGGATACAAGAAAAGTGTTGTTGTTGTTGTTGTTTTTAATTTTTTAATTTTCACACACTTAGGGGGCAAAAGTGCAGATTTCTTAGGTGCATCTATTGCATAGTGATGAAGTCTGGGCTTCTAGTGTATTCATCATCCAAATAGTGAACACTGTACACCATAGGTAATATGTCAGCCCTCACCTCCCTCCCAGCCTCCCACCCTCCCACCCTTTGGAGTCTCCAACGTCTATTACTCCCCTCTCTGTATGTCTGTGTGTATGCATTGTTTAGCTCTTACTTGTGAATGACCACATGCAGTATTTGACTTTGTGATTCTGAGTTATTCCACTTAGGATAAGTTCCATCCATGTTGCTGCAAAGGACATGATTTCTTTTTTTTTTTTTTTTTTTTTTTTTTTTTTTGAGACAGAGTTTCGCTGTTGTCGCCCAGGCTGGAGTGCAAGGGCACAATCTCAGCTCACTGCAACCTCCGCCTCCCAGGTTCAAGCGATTCTCCTGCCTCAGCCTCCCACGTAGCTGGGATTACAGGCACGTACCACCACACCCTGCTAATTTTTGTATTTTTAGAAGAGACGAGGTTTCACCATGTTGGCCAGGCTGGTCTCGAACTCCTGACCTCAGGTGATCCACCTGCCTCGGCCTCCCAAAGTGCTCGGATTACAGGTGTGAGCCACTGTGCCTGGCCAACTGTATTCTTTTTTATGGCTGTACAGTATTCCATTTTCTGTATCCAGTCCTTCATTGATGAACACTTAGCTTGATTCCTTAACTTTGTTATTGCGAATATGCTGCAGTAAACATGAGTGCAGGTATTTTTTTACACAATGATTTCCCTTGGGGTAGATACCCAGTAGTGGGATTGCTGGATGGAACGGTAGTTTTATTTTTAGTTCTTGAGAAATCTCCATTCTGTCAGGAAGGGGGTTTTTATCTATGCAGTAAATACCAGTGTCTGCCTCAGAGCTGCTGCTGGCCCTGATCTGGAATGCATTATTTGAACACAAGCAAATGTAGATTGTCGTCTTCAAGTGGAGCTTCTCAGGGAGGTAACAAAATGTTGCCATTGGCCTGGAAGTCAAATGAGGCTCTGCATGACATGGTGTGACCTGTGATGCTGACACGCCGGCCCTCCCCTTCCATCCCAAGGAGAGAAAGCCCAGGATTGGGAACAGAGCCCATGACTTCAACCACTTCCCAGAGCACCCCTGGACGGCAAGGAATCCTCGTGTGGCAGGTCCATGGAATTGCGTTGTCCCCTCTCCAGGACACATGCACGGCACGTTCAGTCATTCTTCGTGCAGGGCTGATTGTCTACCACGTGTCTTACACTGGGAGAGGTATTGGGGGCAGCGGTGGCCTCCGAATGGAGAGCAGACCCAGGTCCAGCCTGCACAATCTTTCTGGGACTGTGGTCAGCCCTCATTACCACCCTGCAGCTCTCCTCCCCTCCACAGACACGTGAAAAGACATCGTTGTTGGCTGCTTCTGGGGGGAGTGTTTTAGGGAGGAAGTGGGACTTGAACAGTCCCACTTTGAGGGAGCAGAAGGCTTCGTTACAGGGAAAAAGGCAATCCAGGTGGGGGCATTCAGACCAACCAAGGCACAGAGGAGACAGTGATTCAGAACCCTAGGCCCACGGAGCTGCTGTGGGAGGTGGAGTGGTGAAGGCCCCTCCAACAGCTCCTGCTTATGGGTTGAGAAGACGGCAGGTACCACTCTTCGGACTTCCCCCTGAGAGGAATGATGTGAGGCCTCTTGTTAAAACCTGCTCTGAGCTCTTGCTGCTGGCAGCTCCTAGAGGACAGGGGAAACCTGAAATAGGAATGGCATCCACCCTCCGCAGTGCCCCTCGGGTGAGGTCTGGTGCTGTGGGAAAGCACCCATTCTGACCTGGTGGCGGCTTCCCCTGAGGAGCTCATCCACCTGGAGCATGTTGCCCTGTTCTGTGTTCCAGGCAGCACAGTCAGGGAAAAGGACTTAGCTCCGGGCATGCAGGGTGCCCTCCGGGCTCTGCGTGGATGCTGAAGCAGGGACCAGAGGCTGGCACCAGAGCACGTCTCAGGAGGTTCCCTTGGTCTAGTGTCCTCGCCTACTTAGCAGACAGCACTAAGTGGGGCCCTAAGGTCCACAAAAGGGACAGGACTGCCCGGAATTGCCCACAGGGAGTGAGTGGGCAAGGTAGCAGGCCCAGGCCTGCACCATCCAAGCAGGAGGAGGAACGTGGTGGGTGGGCTGCTTTGACACGGTGGTCACAGGCCTGGTCGTGGGAAGGCCAAATGTCACACTGGTTGAGTTAGACCAAAGTGCCCATTGCTTTTCTTTATTTTCATTTTCTATCTTGATAAAAGCTTGCATGTGTGTGAGTGTGCGTGTGTGCACCCATGTGTGTTTGTGCATGTGTGTGTTTGTGCATGTGTGTGTATGTGTGTATGCATATGTATGTTTGTGTGTGCATGTGTGTGTATGTTGTGTTTTACATTGCCACAAGATAAATAGAACCATGACTTACACTTCATAATTCCCACAGGGATTTCACATGCATTTGACAGTTGGGGCATGTGTCCTGATGCCATAATTTTTTCCCCATCTAGAAAGATAAAGGGGGTGGTGTTCATGTTCCCCAAAACCACAGCCCTCTAATGTTATGTCTATGCCATGCCTCCTCTCCCACTGCCTCCCAGCCCCACCAAAGGGCAGTAAATCACAGAGACTAAGCACTATTCTCAAGGCAGCTCCTGTCCATTCCTTTGGGGCAGGTGTCATTAAGAATTAAAACCAACTTCTGCCCCCAGGTACGGGGACAAATCCTCCCTCCTTAGCCACACTAACCTCCTGGAGAAGGTAAAACCCTGAACTCTGAGAAGAGGTCAGATGACTTGGACACAAAGATGGGCTTTTCAAAAAAGGCACGGGGATGGGAGTGGCTGGAAGAGAAAGCAGGAGTCCAGTGCATAATGTTATGTTTTAAACCACATGCCTTTTTCCAGACTGGGTTATTAAATTAATTCAGAACTTATGCTCACACTTAAAAGATTTCTGTCATATTTTATGAACACGATGATCTCAGAGTAATTTGCACTGGAAATGTGTCATATTAAATCAGGGGCACTAATAAACTTTATTACTTAAACTCCACATGGATCAGACATGGCAGATAAACCATCTTACTTTTGCACTCATCTTTATACCATAGAAATATGGCCCCTCCTATGGGAAAACATAAACAAACTTGATAGCCTTTCCTGTGCCCCACCATAAATGTATCCATCTGGGCTGGAGGCATCACCTGCCTGTCCTACTACCCCACACAGAAGCTTAGCATGGAAGTGGGAAGGTCTGATCCAGGCAGAGAGATTTCATCAGGGTTTTAAAATGCTTTCATTTCTGTGGCTTTATCACCTTTTGTTCACACTGGCCTGGCCTTTATACTGGGCTGTGTGTAATAGCTAAGAATGGGTTTACAGGTACAAGTATGGTATAAAAAGTACTGACTGGTGAGTTACGAGGCCTGAGTTCTTCTGGTTCTGCTACCAGCTGGCTCTGTGATCTGAGCACAAATCAGACAGGACCATGTAATAGAAAAAGCATAGGCGTTGGGATCAGAGGTTTATTTCCATTTAACAGATGTTTTTTGAAAGCGTAACATGATCCAGGCCCTTGGCAGGGCACTAGAGATGCAAGAATGAATAAGAATTCAATTAGAATCCCAACAGAGTTATTTGGGACATGAAGTTAAATTGTTACAAAATATGTGTAGATCCGAACCATTCTACAGATTTAAAGTATTTGTGATTGTTTTAAAAACTCATATCAAAACATCTAACAATAGCCAAGAAAATTAAGAGTAGCATGGAGGGACTTGCCTCATGAGATATTAAATACAAAGCCAATGTATTCAAAATGGTGTGGTGTTAGCAAGCTCGTAAGCTCATCTACCAACTTTCAGCCAACAACCCTGCGGTCATGGGAGTTGAGGTGAAAAGAAGGGAAATGATCGGAAGCCGATATTTGGAGCATGTGGACTTCCCAGGAGTCTTCACCAATGCAGGCAGCCAGGCATCCACCTTTCCCTAGGAAACTGTAAGGTTTTTTCTGGAAAAAAAAAATGTAAACCGAAGAGGTTCTGAATTCAGAGAAATGGGATCACCAAAGGACAGGCGCAAGGCAAAGACAGTACAACAGTAACAATAGGGAAATTTGGTGAAAGTTCATTCTTTACATGGAGAAACATGAAATTGCCAGCCCTTTCCTGCTCTGTTTCTGGGCTGCAAGCAGCTGAGAACGCCCTCACACACATCACCGGAATTCTGGAGCAGGAGATTGTATGACACTTCCAGGGTAGAAAGAAAAAGACCCTCACATATTAACACTAGTGGGATGCAGTGGTAACCTCATCTCCCCCAGGAAGGCCCTCCCCTACACACAAACAGCCTCCACTTAAGCATGGACACAGGGCCAAGGACCATCAGACCCTTGAGGAAATATTCTCCTAGAAGATACGATCAAAAACAAACAGGAAAAAAAGGAATTTGGAAGGAAAATAGACAAGGCAATAATATCCTCAGAGAGATAAGATGATTTCTCATCCATAAACAAAAGTAAATGCTATTAAAAAGCCCAACTTGAAAACAAGAAAGAGCTCTTGCAAATTTAAACCAATAACCAAAATAACATTATTCGGAAGGATTAAAATTAAAAGTTAAGGAAATCTCCCACACATTATGACCAAATGGCAACAAAATAGAAAATAAAAGTGAAAGAGATATAAAAATCTGGTGTAAGCACAAAGGGCTAAAATCCAAATAACAAAGAGCTAAAATCCAAATAACAAGAATTTTATAAAGGTAGAAGAGAAAAATTGTGCAAAGGAAGTTATTGATGGAAAAAATTAAATATAATTTCCCAGAATTAAAGGACATGGAGGGTACTCCAAGTGACTGTTCTAGTGAATGGAAAAAGACCAACATCAGGGAATATAACTGTGACATTTCAGAACATCAAAGATAAAGAGATGATCCCTACAACTTCCATGGGTCAAGATGGGGGTGGAGGGAGCACGTACATTAAAAGTAATAGGAATCAAAATGGGTCAAACTTCTCAAAAGAAAACCTAGATGTCAGATGATGGTGGATCAATGTCTTAAAAGTTATTGGCCAGGCATGGTGGGTCACACCTGTAATCCCAGCACTTTGGGAGGCCAAGGTGGGCAGATCACTTTAGGCCAGGAGTTCGAGACCAGCCTGGCCAACATGGTAAAACCCCATCTCCACTAAAAAAACAAAAATTAGCTGGGTGTGGTGGTGCACACCTGTAATCCCAGCTACTTGGGAGGCTGAGGCACAAGAATCACTTGAACCCAGGAGGTGGAGGTTGCAGTGAGCCAAGATCACACCACTGCACTCCAGCCTGACAGCAGAGTGAGACTCTGTCTCAAAAAAAAGTTATGAACAGCCAGGTGTGGTGGCTCATACCTATAATCCCAGCCACTCTGGAGGCTGGGGCAGGAGGATCACTTGAGTCCAGGATTTCGAGGGTGCACTCCTTGAGGTATAATTGTACCTCTACACTCCAGCCTGGGTGACAAAATGAGACCCTATCTCTTTTAAAAAAAAAGTTATGAACGCAAAAATCAATTTCACTTCTATACAATAACCATGAACAATCTGAAACAGAAATTAAGAAAACAATTCCACTTCCCATAACCTCAAAAAGAATAGAATGCTTAGGAATAAATTTAAAGGGCTGAAAGACTAGTACACTGAAAGCTACAAAATGTTGTTAAAAAAAATTAAAGAAGGCACAAATAATTGGAAAGATAGTCTGTGTTTACGGACTGGAAGATTTAATATTGTTGAGATCTCAACACTACTCAAAGCAACCTACAGATTCAATGCAATTGTTGAGATCTCAATACTACTCAAAGCAATCTACAGATTCAATGCAATCTCTATCAAAATCTCAACAATATTTTTTGCAAAACTAGGAAAATCTACCATAAAACTCATATGGAATATCTGACTAGTCAAAACAATCTTGAAAAAGAACCAAGTTGGAGGTCTCCTACTTCCTCCTTTGAACATGTACTACAAAGCCAAAGTAATCAAAATTGTATGGTACTGACATAAAGGCAGACACCCAGTGGAATATAATAGAGAGCACAAAAATAAATCCCCACATATGTGGTCAAACGATGTTTTTTAATTTTTGAGTCAGGGTCTCACTCGGCTGCAGGGGTGGAGCGCAGTGGCACCATTATAGCTCACTACAGTCTTGACTTTCCAGGCTCAACTGATCCTCCTGCCTCAGCATCCCCCATAGCTGGGACTACAGACACACACCACTACACTGGGCTAATTTTTTTTTTTTTTTAGAAACAGTGTCTCACCATGTTGTCCAGGTTTGTGGTCAAATGGTTTTTGACAAGGCTACCAAAGCCATTCAATGACAAGACCATTCAACAGTCTTTTCAACCAACAGTGTTGGGAAAACTGGATATCCACATGCAAAAGAATAAAGTTGAACTTTTACCTTATACTGTATACAAAAATTAACTCAAAATAGATCAAAGACTTAAACATAAGCGATAAAACTATAAAACTCTTAGGAGAAAAGTTTCATGACGTTGGATTTGGCAATGATTTCTTGGATATGATGCCAAAGGCACAGGCAATAAAAGAAAAAATAGATCAGTTAAACTTCATCAAAATTAAAAACTTCTGTGCATCAAAGGACACTATCAACAGAGTGAAAAGGCAACCCACAGAATGGGAGAAAATATTTGCAAGTCATATATCTGATAAGGGCCAGAATATGCAAAGAATTCCTACAATTCAACAACAAAAAAACAAACAACCCAGTTGAAAAATGGGCAAAGGACTTGAATAAACATTTCTCCAAAAAAGATAACAAGTGATCAATAAGCATATGAAAAGATTCTCCACATCACTAATTATTAGGGGAATGCAAATCAAAACCACAATGAAATACCACTTTATACCCATTAAGATGGCTACTAACAAAAAGACAGAAAATAAGAAATTTTAATGAGAATATGGAGAAATGGGAACTCTAGTGTGTTGCTGGTGGGTATGTAAAATGGCTCAGTAGCTGTGGAAAATGACGTGATGTATGAACATAGAATTACAGTAGGATTCGTTAATTCCACTTCTAGGTATATACCCCCAAAAAAGTGAAAACAGAGACTCAAACAAATATTTTTACATCCATGTTCATAGCAGCATTATTCACTATAGCTGAAAGGTGGAAGTAACCCAAATGTTCATCGGCAGATGAATGGATAAACAAAATGTGGTATATCCATATAATGAAATAGTATTTAGTAATAAAAAGGAGCCAACTACTGTTACCTGCAACAATATGAATGAAGCTCAAAAAAATATGCTAAGTGCAAGAAGCCAGGCATAAAAGGAAATATTGGCCAAGTGAGATGGCTCATGCCTGTAATCCCAGCACTTTGGGAGGGCAAGGCAGGTGGATCACCTGAGGCCAGGAGTTCAAGACCAGCCTGGCCAACATGGCAAAACCCTATCTCTGCTAAAAATACAAAAATTAGCCAGGCATGGTGGCACACACCTGTAATCCCAGCTACTTTGGAGGCTGAGGCAGGAGAATCACTTGAACCCGGGAGGCAGAGGTTGCAGTAACCGAGATGGCACCACTGCACTCCAGCCTGGGTGACAGAGTGAGAATCTGACTCAAAAAAAAAAAAGTAAATATTATATGATTCCATTTATCTGATATTTCTAAAGATGGAAAATCAGTAGAGACAGAAAGCAGATCAGTGGTTCCCTGGGACTGGGGGGTGGGAGTGGAGACTCACTGCGAATGGGTCCCTGGGAACTTTTTGAGGAGACAGAAAAAGTTCTAAAACAATTTTAGTGATGGTTGCACAACTGTATAAATTTACTAAACTCATCCAACTATACACTTAAAATAGATGAATCTTATGATAAACAAATTATACCTCAATAAAATTTGGGGGTTTGTTTGTTTTTGAGACAGAGTTTCTCTCTTGTTGCCCAGGCTGGAGTGTAATGGCGCAATCTCGGCTCACCACAACCTCTGCCTTCCGGGTTCAAGCGCTTCTCCTGCCTCAGCCTCCTGAGTAGCTGGGATTACAGGCATGTGCCACCACGCCCATCTAATTTTGTATTTTTAGTAGAGACAGGGTTTATCCATGTTGATCAAGCTGGTCTCGAACTCCTGATAGGTGATACACCCACCTCGGCCTCCCAAAGTGCTGGGATTAGAGGCGTGAGCCACTGAGCCCAGCCAATGAAGTTGTTTTTTTAAGTCACTCGAATTGGTTATTCTTTCCAACACTTAACTGTGTGACCCAAGAGCTTTGTTCTGAAATTCTGAAAGTGAGCAGAGAGGGGTTGCATGGGTGAGGCAGGCAAAATGAAAAAGATCAAATTGTCCACTGAAATGCTTTATGACACCCAGAGGAAAGAACTGTAGGCTTTGGGGGCTGCTCTGTCACAATCCAAGAACAGATAGAGCCAGGGTGGAGCCAGGGTCCCTCCTGCAATGGAGAAGTTATGAGTTATGGGCAGCAACGTCCTGCCCTCTGCAACTCACGGGTGCTATTTCTCAACCTTCCCCTGGGACATCAGAACACCAGTGCAAGGTGAAGATGGCCCTGAGGAGAATGTTTTTCCTCACTGTCCCCCTGCCAATTTGCAATGCACAAAAGACAGGAGAAAGAAGTAGTTTATGGTTAGAGGACAGTGTGTGTGTGTGTGCGCGCGTGTGCGTGTGTGTGTGCGCATGTGCGTGTGTGTGTGTGTGCAGTTAAACCCATACACGGACCCATTTGTATGTGTGAGGGGTGGGAAGTGGGAAGATAAAAAATGTAGAGTTTCATCACAATTATATTGCACATTTTTAATTATAGGGAAAAGATAAGAAGGCAATGCACTCGAATGCTATTCTTGGTTGGTTGTTAATTTTTAAACTAGGAAATGAATGTTACTTAAAAGAAAAAAAAAACTTTCCTTTTTACATGGGTTGGCCCACATGCAAATTGGCAGACAGAATCTACAAGTAAAGAGAAATGCTTAATTCAAGCTTTTGTGTAATGAAATTAATTTTAATATAAATAAGATTTTAAAAGGATAAAGACAATTTAGAATGTTAATTTCAAATTTTGCTTTGCTATTGAAAGAACTATTAGGAAACAGGGAAACAAAAACACTTTCACTGGGTTAAAACAAAAACTTTCGCTAACTTCGTTGGCTTGGAGATCAATGTTCTTTAACACAACAAGAGCAATATGATGGTTGTTGTCATCTTTGTTTATGATACCAGAAGATGAGGAAGGCTGAGAGGGCAGAGGTAGACTTCTCTGTGCAGATGAGACACCTAAACAATGCAAGTCGTTGAAGAGAATTCTTTTGCTCATATTTCCTGAATGGCCAGTTCCATATCACATAAGCCAAATATTTATAGAATTTCTACTTTTCCATTATGCTTTACAGACAAAACAAAGGGTATAATTTATTTGTATGGAAAAAATTCATTGAAATCAAATATGGTTTGAAGTCAAATGCCATTTACAGGCTATCAACCTATGTGTGTCCCAGTTTATGCATGTTTAAGATCAACAAATGTGGGTACCAGTTCTCGCATGTTTAAGACATGGAGTATAATTTCTACCTCTCATGATTGTCTGGGGAATGTTTTCTTTTTTCAGATGGAGTTTTGCTCTTGTCACCCAGTGCAATGGTGCGATCTCAGCCCACTGCAACCTCCGCCTCTCAGGTTCAAGCAATTCTCCTGCCTCAGCCTCTCAAGTAGCTGGGATTACAGGTGCACACCACCACATCCAGCAAATTTTTGTAATTTTAGTAGAGACGGGGTTTCACCATGTTGGCCAGGCTGGTCTCAACTCCTGACCTCAGGTGATCTGCCCACCTCAGCCTCCCAAAGTGCTGGGAATACAGGCGTGAGCCACCGCGCCTGGCCTGTCTGGAGAATTTAAAGGTGTAATGTCTGGTAAGGCACTTGCCAAAAATAGGATGACATTCAGTAAATTGTAGATCTTTTCCATCCCATTCCACATCTCTGCCCATTGTCCACCACCCCACCCAAATACACACACACACACACACACACACACACACACACACACACACACTTTACAAGTCTTACTCTGCAAAGCTTCACTGATACATCCCATGGAAAAATTAAATAAACCATTTTCAAGAAGAAATGCCCCACTGCACACAAGAAGACTGTAAAGGGCATTCCTGCTCCCAGGGAAGAAGAGCTGGTGACTGGAAACAGCAAAAGGACACCTTATTCCCCTGCCTTCCCCCTGTGCTGGCAGGATTAGAATTAGAAGAACCCAAATCTGGCTAGGAATCTGCTGGGTGAAAGGCAGAGCCTGGTGAACTTGGCTGATTCTGAGGTCAAGGTTGCATATTCAAGCCCCATAAGAAAGATTTATCCTGGCAACAACCTCCCCCTGGCCCTGGCCCATTCGTGGATGTTTCCCATTGCATGGAAGAGCTTTGTCAGGGGGTGGGGTAGAAAAGGCTAAACACAATCTGTTCCCATCTTCATAAAACTAATACTTTTTAAAAACACAAAACATTGTTCCTCCTGACAGTGGGGCCAGATGTCCTTTTCAAATATCAATACCTGTGAGAAGCCGCAAAGAAGCAGAGCTCTGGCGTATACAGGAGAATCACATGACACAGGGAAAACATTCAGTTGCTATAACAAGTGTCAAAATAATAGTGGTTTAACATGGTAGTTTATTTCTCTCTCACACAAGAATTCAAGCATAAAAAATCCAAGGCAATAGGGCAGCTCTGCAAGATGAGGAACCCAGGTTCCTCCTAACACACAACCCTGACTGCCTGGCATGAGGTTTCCATTTTGCAATCTAATATGGCTGCTGTAGCTCCACCATTACACACACGTCCCAGCCAGAAAGATTGGAAAGAGCAAGGAAGGAGCAAAGGCAAGGCACCACCCTTCCCTTCTGTTTAAAGGCACAATTAGAAAGTTGCACACATGACTTGGGCTCACATCCCAGTAATTAGAACCTAGTAACAGAACACAGCTACCTAGCTGCAAGGGAAGCTGGGAAATGTAGTCTTTCTGTTGGGTGGCTGGTTGCCGAGCACAATTTAGGTGGTAGATTGGTTTCCTGGGGCTGCCATAACAAAGTTCCACAAACTGGATGGCTTAAAACAACAGAGATTTGTGCTCTCATGGTTCAAGAAGCCAGAAGTCTGAAATCAAGGTGTCAGCAGGGCTGGTTCCTTCAGGAGTCTCTGAAAGAGAAACTGTCCCACATACCTCTTTTCTTAGCTTCTGCTGGTGTCTGGCAATCCTTGGCACTCCTCGACTTGTAGCTGCATCATTACAGTCTCTGCCTCCGTTGTCATATGGCCTTTGTGTCTCTGTATCTAAATCTTTTCTTTTATCAAGGCAACAGCCATTGGATTTAGGGCCCCACCCCCAACATAGTATGATCTCATCTTAAATTTGATGACATCTACAAAGTTCCTATTTCCAAATAAGGCCATATTTACAGGTACCAGGAGTTAAAACTTCAGCCTATCTTTGGAGAAGACACAATTCAACCCAACAGAGGGGCTTCATGCCAAAGGAAGAAGAGGAGAGTGGATACTGAAGAACAACCCCCTTGCCGCGGGACCCCAGGGAATCGTGCTGGAAGACAGCCACTGTGATGTCAGAATACACACTCTGTTCCAGTTTCTTGCAAGTGAACCTGACCAACATCTTCCTCTGCAGACACTTCATCTTCCAGGCACGTCACATGGCCTGTGTCTCCCAGGCTCATCTGTTCTGCTCACAGGTCCACGTCTCAAAATGCCCTCCCATGCTCTTCCCCTCAGCCAACCCCTAAGGAAGAAGCTGCTCCCATAGGCTTTTCTCCTTGCCCCAGCCCACAGTGGCTGACAGCTGTCACCCTGGGCTTCCATTATGACTTTTATGAAACCTAGGCACTTGCCCTCATGGGCCCTTCTCCCTATGAACAAAAACTAATCCTTATTAAAATTTTTGTTTAAGTGTTTATATCATGCCGGGCCGGGTGTGGTGGTACGCATCTGTAGTCCCAGCTACTCAGGAGGTTCAGCCCAGAAGTTCAAGTCCAGCCTGGGTAACATGACAAGACCTCCATCTCAAAACAATTAAATAAATAAATGTTGTATTAAAAAGCATTTTATGATTGCACTTGGTATAAAGATGAATGTATTAATGCTATGCACAAAAACATTCCCTTCAACCTAAAAGATTTTTTCGTCATCATTTTAAGGAAACTAAAGCATTTCCCCGGATCCTTAAAAGTATTATGGGCACTAGGCACTGCCCTGCCTGCTGAGCAGATAAGTCAACTGTGCTGGAAAAGATGCTGAAAGGGACAACAGAAAAAACCCCAGCCACCAAATCTTACCACAGAGTGCTGAGTAGAGAGTGTGAGTGCCATCCACCACCTCTTCCTCCCCCAACAGGGAGGATACTTTATGTGCTCTCAATACAACCTGGGAATATGCAACAAGATCTCAACCCACTGATAGGTCAGAAAAGACAGCCTCGGCCAGGTGTGGTGGCTCATGCCTGTAATCCCAACACTTTGGGAGGCCGAAGCGGGTGAATTGCCTGAGCTCAGGAGTCTGAGACCTCCCTGGGCAACATGGTGGAAACCCGTATCTACTAAAATAAAAATTTTTTTAAAAATTAGCCAGGAGTGGTGGCGTGTGCCTGTCGTCCCAACTACTATGAAGGCTGAGGCAAGAGAATCGCTTGAGCCTGGAAGGTGGAGGCTGCAGTGAGCCAAGACCATGCCACTGCACTCCAGCCTGGGCTACAGAGTGAGACTCCACCTCAAAAAAAAAAGGAAAGAAAAGAAAAGAGAAGAGAAGAGAAAAACGAAAAGGCAGCCTCCTCTCAGAGCTGTGAAATAAGCATCCTTCACCTTCCATCATTGTTGTCAAACACAACACAACTTAAAGAGTGGCCACCCATGCAACACAGTGGATACAAAGCCTTTATTAAAGGATGCGAGAAACCTCCCATCCTTCAGCATCATGAACTGTTCGATCCTTTGCCACAAATCTGAACTATCCCAAAATATACTTAATCCCAAACTAGTCTTCCTTCTTATTTTATAACCCATGTAGATTTCAAAACTATTATTTTCTAATGTATTTAGTTTCAATTCATAAACTGGTTTGCAAGACATGTTTGCTAGGGTGATCAACTCATCTTGGTTGGCTCAGAACTTTCCTGGTCTTGGCCCTGTTGCATCCCAGAAAACCTCTCTGTCCCAAGCAAACCAGGACAGTTGGCCAACCTATAAAGATATCTAAGCTTCATCATCCTCTTCTGAATTGTATGTGTTTAGACCAACAAGACAAAAATCACCGAGAAATGTTTTAAAGTAGCAATTGTTGTTCTGGAAAGTTCAAGTATGGCCCAATGCAACAGCTCAGCAAGATGTAAACAGGCACTCAATGTGGCCCAACCAGGTCCCCCTGGCTCTCCAGGCAATGTTGGCATGGGAAGGGGTGGCTATGAGTCATCTCCCTCTTTCCTGGGCTTCTCAGAATGGTCTCTTCCATAAATATTTTAGATGAAGGAGGAGGATTTGGATTTCTGCCAAAGGAGAAAAAGGATTCCAACAGTGATTCCCAAACCACAGTGCACTTAGGAATAGCCTGAAGAACTTGTTAAAAATAGACAGGTCTGGGCTCTATCCCCAGAAAGTTTAGCTTTGGAGAGTCTGAGAAACACTCTTGTTAACAAGTACCCTGGCTGATCTTGATGCATGTTATTGGTGGATGACACTTTTCAAAACTCTGGATTTGGGGCAAAGCTGTGAAAGTTGCTTCCTCTTCTGTCTGAAGTGAAGCAGGACCAGAGCTTACAAGAAAGGAAGGGATAACTGAATGCAGTAATAAAGAGGGAGGCACTTAGTGTCAGGGCTACTGTTATCTAAAAAGCACTTTCTTGTAAATCTTGAGATTGTTGGAATATCTTAGGCAAAGCATATCTGGGTTAATCAGGGTAGCTATGCTTTACATACACATACACGCTGTGTGGTACATAGATCCATACAGCTGTAATGTAGACACAGATAAAGCATACACGAGATAGCAGCCATGAGGCTGATTTGTATATAACAGGCACTTATAGGTGTTTATACATATATATATGTCATGGAGGTGTGTTTAACATATATAGTAACAAATCAGTAGTCCTGTTTTGACCGTGTTAAATCTGAGATGGCCATAAGATAGCTAAATGCAGGTGACAAACAGGCAGTTGGATCTAGGCACCTACAGCTCTGGGATTTGACCAGGGGTCAGTTAGGACTAGAAATGCAGATTTAAGGAGTTATCGGCATATAACCCCCAGGACATCAATAAAACAGAAGCCACAAGGCCTGAGGTTTTCATGCCAAGTCAAGGTCACAGGCCCTATGGCTTTACAACATAAGCTAGGTTCACTAAATGAAACCAGAAACTAGTAGAGCTTAGGCTATCCATAAACAGGAACTAGAATGTCCTTGTTCATCAGCTCAGGGTACAGCTCAAAGGCCATGTGTAGGAGTCCTTTGCCTCTCAAGGTGAAAACCCTAATTCAAGTTAACCCTCAGTGCAGAAACCCATAGGCCCTAGGCTGAGGCAAGCACGGTTGCCCCATAGGCAGGCCTCCACAACACAAGACATGAACAGGAAAACAATTTCCACAAACAACATTCCCAGGGGAGATGCACTCATGCCAAAATCACAAAATACATGAGGAAGTCCAAAACCAGGGCAAGCAACTTATAAACCCCACATCACCCTCATCCCTATCTCCAAAAAAGGAAGAAATCATATCTAAAGAGGTAGAGATAATAGAACAATCTGAAAGGGACTTTGAAATCAGCACAGTTGGAAACAGAAAATTCGGAGTCTTGAAAAAAAGCAGGATATGCTGAAATTAGTGTTTTGAAGTGATTAGAGCAGCAATGACATGCAGAATTAAATGGAGAAGAGTGGGATTAGAAGCAGCAAGACCAGCCAGGAGGCTTCATGCAATCCACCTACAGGTAATACTTTCTCTATCTCCTGAAGTCCTGTAAAATTTAACTGGCATATCTCTGATGGCCTTATGACCTCATCAACTTTATTTATTGTTTTATAGCTGCTTTCACATATATAAACCATATAAAGGAACTCATTGAACTCAATGCTCCTTGGAGTGGTGTGTTTGTGTAAATAGCAAGATAGTGCATGGATAGATAGTTGATGGGTGGATGGATGTATGGATGGATAGATAGATAGTAAGTAGAGTATGGATAGATAGATATATGGATGGACGGATGGATAGATAGATAGATAGATAGATAGATAGATAGATAGATAGATAGATCTTCCTGTATCCCCCACAGCACTTAACACAGTGTACTAGGCACATGGAGATGTTTCATAAATGTTAAATAAATAACCAACAAATGAACAAGAGTCACATAAGAAACTGATTGATCAGAACCTCTAGCTTGAACTAAAGCACAAAACGAAACTGATGGCCCACCATTAACTGATCTCCCTATGACCTAATAGGCTCCCTAAGCTGGCTGTCTTCTTCTTATCCCATGGGTACATCATCTATTAATGCATTTAAAAGTCAGCTAAATTCAATGACAGCTTTAAGCCCTGTAGCACTGATGAGAATCTTTTGCTATGTATGGGTCTCCCTGGTGCAGATTGCTATATAACCTGTCTTCCTTTTCAAATTGATTGTCAGTCCATAACCATTTGCCTATAGGTTACAGCAGGCCTTGACCTAAATCTGACTGCTGTATTCCTAATTAGATAGAACCCTTCCCCTTCCCTCTTTAAGAAAAAAATCCCTAACTCAATGGCCAAGCCTTGGGAAACAGCAATAACTTAGTGATTTGCACAAGGACACAAACCTGCCACGCTGAATAGCAGAATAGCAAAGATTTCAGGACCCCCTGAGAGGCCTAGAGTCATACTTATCTCCAAAGCAGGGTGACACTCATGATGATGACAATGACACAAAGCTGTCTTTTATTGAGTATCTAATACTGCCAGGCATCATCCTAGGCATCTTCAATACAATCTGGCATATAATCCTCACAAGAAACCAGTAAGGAAGGTACCAGCATGATGACTTAGTCCGTTTTATATTGTTTATAACAGAACACCAAAAACTGAATAATTTATAAAGAAAGGGAATTTATTTCTTAAAGTCGTGGAGGATGAGAAGTATAAGGTAAAGGGGGGTACATCTGGTGAGGGCCTTCTTGCTGGCGGGAATTCTCTGCAGGGTCCTGAGGAGGCTGAGCATGTTCGCTCAGGTCTCTCTTCCTCTTCTTATAAAGCCACCAGCCTCACTTTCATGGTAACCCATTAAATCATTAATCCATGAATGGACTCCTCCACTCATGAAGGTAGAGCCTTCATGACTCAATCACCACTTCTTAATAGTCCCTCATTGGGGATTAAATTTCAACGTGAGTTTTGGAGGTAACAAAATTCAAACCATAGCACATGCCCATTTGGCAGATGAGAAAACTGGAGATGAAAGAAGTTAAGTAAATTGTGCATTGTAAAAATCTAGTAAGTGTCAAAGCCAGGATTCAAACCCAGGTCAGTCTGAATGCAGTTTGTGTTCTTTCCACTTCCCCACACTGCTTCCTCTGCCGATGCTCATGCGCCAGCAAAACAGCGAGTGGCACTCAGCCACTTTGAGTGATTGTCTCAAGGACTTCAGATGATAGACATGGGCTGTAGAGCTGGAATTGTTTCCCAGGAAACTATAAACACACACAAGCACCAGCTTGCTCTGTTTTGAGTCCAATCTTATCCATGGCTTGCAAGGGAAAGACTAACTCAACCTGGTCTTATCATGCTGCCTCCATTTCACTCTATGGAGAATGAACTGGTCCAGCCCAGTTCCTGATTTTTGTGTCCCCATTGCGAGACCAGCTACTTACCTCCATGGCCGAAACAACTGCAAACAAATAGCTCTGAAATGTTAATGGTCTTCTTGGGGGATACAGAATAAGGCATAATAGGGAAAGACTATTCATAGCACGTTCTAGTACCTACACCATTGAAATGTCCATTACCAGTGTAGTCCGAACTCATTGTACTGGCTTGATTTTTAGGCTCAAATTAACCACAGAATTAATTATTTGAAATGATTTCAAGAAGCTTAAGATGAATTATTTCCTTTAAAATGATTCTACAAACCATATGACCATCAACAAGACAATGGGAGAAGTTGTGATCCATTCATACTGTGGAATATTATACAGTCATAAAAATAGATGAATTATAACTGCTTGCAACAACATGGAGGAAGCTTAGAAACATAATGTTGGTTGAAAAACCAAATCCCAGAAATCTACATACAATATGTGGTAATTTTTAGAGGTGTTTGTAAATTTTTTGACACCCTACCATTCCAAAGATGGAGACTAATTTCCCTTTTCTTAAATGTGGGCCAGATTTAGTGACTCATTTCTTTTCTTTCTTTCTTTTTAATTTTTTGTAGAGACAAACTCTCACTATGTTGGTCAGTCTGGTCTCAAACTATTGGACTCACACAATCCTCCCACCTCAGCCTCCCAAAGCATCAGAATTACAGGTGTGAGCCACCATACCTCGTGTAGTGACATTTTTTTTCCCCCCAGACAGGGTTTCACTCTGCTGCCCAGGCTGGAGGTGCCGTGACACAATCTCCTCTCGCTACAACTTCCACTTCCCAGGTTCAAGCGATTCTCCTGCCTCAGCCTACCAAGTAGCTGGAACTACAGACACATGCCACCACGCCTGGCTAATTTTTGTATTTTTAGTAGAGACAGGGTTTCACCATGTTGGCCAGGCTGGTCTTGAACTCCTGGCCTCAAATGAACCACCAGTCTTGGCCTCCCAAACTGCTCTTTAGCATGAACCACCGCGCCGCCCTATTGAACATGGAAAAAGTGATGGTATGTTACTTCCATAACTAAATCAAAAAAAGATATTGCCACTTCTGCCTTACTGTCTTGTATCATTTGTTCTAGAAAAGCCAATCACGACCAGATGCAGTAGCTCATGCACGCCTGTAATCCAGCACTTTGGGAGGCTGAGGCAGGCAGATCACTTGAACTCAGGAGTTTGAGACCAGCCTGGCCAACATGGTGAAACCCCGTCTCTACTAAAATACAAAAATTAGCCAGGTGTGATGGCAGGTGCCTGTAATCCCAGCTACTTAGGAGGCTGAGGCAGGAGAATTGCTTGAACCCAAGAGGCAGAGGTTGCAGTGAGCTGAGATGCTACCACTGCACTCCAGCCTGGGTGACAGAGTGAGACACCCTCGAAGAAAGAAAGAAACAGAGAGAGAGAGAGAGAGAAGGAGAGAAGGAAAGAATGAGAGAAAGAGAGAGAGAGAGAGAAGAGAAGCCAATCACTAGTCCTCAAGACCTTTAAGCAGCCTGCAGAGAGGCCCACATGGAGAAGAACTTGGTCTTCCTGCCAATATCTAAAAACAACTTGCCAGCCACATGAGTGTGCCACCTTAGAAGAAGATCCCCCATCCCTAGTCAAGCCTTCAGATGACTGTAGCCCCTACCAACATCTTGACCTCAACCCCATGAAAAATCCCAAGCCAGAACCACTTCCAAGTTCATGATCCACAGCTAAGCCACTGCCAAGTTCATGATCCATGAAAAGTTGTAAAATCAATATTTATTGTCTGAGGCCACCAGATTTGGTGACAATTTGTGATACAGCAGTACAAAACTAATAAACAATATGATACCATTTCTTTTATTTTTAAATATTTTTTCTGCAGTTTGTAGCAATCATTTTTTATAAATATCAAGAGCAAGAAATTGCTTATACAAACATGTACATGTGATAAACTATTTTTTAAGTGTGGGAATATTAAACAACCATTCCACTGATAACAACTGTAATGTTTAGATTAAATACATAAAACAATTGTGCAAAAGCATCAGAGAGCAAGAGAGTTTGGCAGGACTGGTGGGGCCAAGAGTACACAGATAAAGGAAGTGAGGTAAGCCATACATTTGGCTCTGATTTTTCCTTTATGTTACTTGCCATTTTATGATGTGGAGCAATAAAGGCTGAAGGCAGAGTAACAGAGAGGCTTGCAGAAATCTCATTAGGCTAGGGAGTCAGAGGTTGGAGTTCAATGCCCATCAATGGGGAAGGAACTTGGAAAATACTTGAGGATTTTAGTTGAGATCGCTAAAGAACTGTGCCCCTAGAAGAGAGTTAAGCTCCAGAAGTAAGGAAGATTATCCTTAGGAATCTTGGAATATCCCCTAGGCACAGTTAGAGGTAGAAGAACCCTAACAAAGCCCCTAGACCTATCCTCAATTGCATCAGCATGAAATTGAGAATACCCTATTTCCCTGCCATAAGAAAATGTAATAACCTTTGAAGGAAGATAGCTAGAGAATAAAATTTTTCACACGTGATGTCTAGATCTCAATTGAAAATTACTAGGCATGCCAAGAAATAGGATCAAATAACTAAAAACCAAGAGGGGAAAAACAATAGAAAAAAAAGTGATGCAGATATTGGAGTTATTAAACAGAGACTTTTAAATAACTATTATTAATATGTTCAAGGAAATAAAAGAAAGGACAGAGAATTTTACCAAAGAACTGGAGTCTGCTTAAAGAAAAAAAAAAAGTCAGGCGAAGGCGGGTGGATCATGAGGTCAGGAGTTCGAGACCAGCCTGGCCAACATGGTGAAACCTCGTCTCTACTAAAGATACAAAAAATTAGCCAGGCGTGGTGGCTTGTGCCTGTAATCCCAGGTACTTGGGAAGCTGAGGCAAGAGAATCGCTTAAACCTGGGAGGCGGAGGTTGCAGTGAGCCGAGATCGTGCCATTGAAATCCAGCTTGGGTGACAAGGTGAGACTCTGTCTCAAAAAAAAAAAAAAAAAAAAAGTCAAATGAAAATCTTAGAATTAATAAAATAAAACTACTGAAATTAAAAATTGAATAGATGGGTTCCATAGCAAATTAGACATAGCCAAGACAAGATAGTAAAGAACAGAGACAAAAGAATGAAAAATGGGGGAAAAAACGTAATTGGCCAGTCACGGTGGCTCACACCTGTAATCCCAGCACTTTGGGAGGCCAAGGTGGGCAAATCCATTGAAGTCAAGAGTTTGAGACCACCCTGGCTAACATGGCAAAACCCTGTCTCTACTAAAAATATAAAAATTAGCTGGGCATGGTGGTGAGTACCTATAATCCCAGCTACTCGGGAGGCTAAGGCAGGAGAATCACTTGAACCGGGTAGCAAAGGTTGCAGTGAGCCGAGATTGTGCAACTGCATTCTAGCCTAGGCAACAGAGTGAGACTCAATCTCAAAAAAAAAAAAAAAAGTAATTGATATAGGGGCATGGTTAAAAACATCTAACATATTTGTAATTGGGACCCAGATGGAGAGAAGAATGGGATAGAACCAATTTTTAAACAAATACTGGCTGAGAGTTTTCCAAAAATGATGAAAAACATCAAGCTACAGTGTAAAGAATTTCTCCTCATGCAAGCAGACACAAACACACACACACACACATACACACACACATACACACACACATAGCTATATCACAGATAAACTGCTGAAAACAAAAAACGGAAAAATCTTAAAAGCAACCAGAGGGAAAAACCCACATTGTTTTCAAAAGAGCGACAATAAAACTGACAGCTAAGCAAGAGAAAAAATGGATTAAAAAAATTGTTAAAGTGCTGAAAGAAAATAATTACCAACTTAAAATGCTATACTCAGTGAAAATATCCTTCAAAAGTGAAGGCATAGTAAAGACATTTTAGGGCAAACAAAAACTGAGAGAACTTATTGTTGGCATAGCTACATTCAAAGAAATACTGGAAGAATTTTTTCAGGCAGAAGATAATCCCAGATGAAAGCAGTAATGCAAGATGGAATAAACAGGCTAGGCGCGGTGGCTCACACCTGTAATCTCAGCACCTTGGGAGGCCAAGGCGGGCAGATCACCTGAGGTCAGAAGCTCTAGACCAGCCTGGCCAACATAGTGAGACCCCGTCTCTACCAAAAATACAAAAATTAGCAGGACGTGGCAACGCATGCCTATAGTCCCAGCTACTGGGGAGGCTGAGGCACAAGAATCACTTGAATCTAGGAAGTGGAAGTTGCAGTGAGCCGAGATCATGTGACTGCACTCCAGCCCGGGTGACAGAGCGAGACTGTATTAAAAAAATAAAAATAAAAATAAATTTAAAAAAAGAAGAAATAAACAGCACCAAAAAAGTAAAATTTCTAAATTAATATTTACTACATAAAACAATAACACTGATGTCTTACAGAGTTCAAAATATAGAGAGACTTAAATATATGTTAACAATAGCACAAAATGTATGAGAAGGGTAAATGGAGTTAAAGTGTTGTGAGTTTCTTGCATTGTCCAGGATATGACATGTACAGTTGTTCCTCTGTATCTATTAGGGATTTGATCCAGGACTTCCCACAGACACCAAAATCCACAGATGTTCAAGTCCCTTACATAAAATGGCATAGTATTTGCCTATAACCTACACACATCCTTCCATATAATTTAAATCATCTCTAGATTACTTATAATACCTAATACACTGTAAATGCTATGTAAATAGTTGTTTTACTGAATTGCTTAGGGAATAATAACAAGAGAAAAGTCTGTACATGTTCAGTACAGATGTAATCATCCATTATTTTCCCCAAATATTTTTGATCAAAGCTTGGTTGAATCCACAGATATGGAACCAATGGACATGGATGCCAATTCTAGTAATTTAAGATAGGTTATAATAAAATAATGATACATGTTGCAATCTCTAGGCTAATCATCGTGTTCACTTTGGCAACATATACACTAAAATGGGAAGAATACAGAGAAGATTAGCATGGCCCCTTGAGCAAAGATGGCAGGCAAATTCTAGGGTAATCACCAAAGAACAATAAAAGAATGTACAGTTAACAAGCTTTAGAGTAGGGAAGTGGAATCATTTTTTAAATGCATGAATAATCCAAAGAAGGAGAGAAAGGGGAAAAATTAACAAAAAAAAACCACATAGAACAAATAGAAAGTAAATTGTAAGATGATGGGTTTAAATCATAGTGTCAGTAATTAAATATAAGTGGTCCAAAGATGCCAATTAAAAGACAAAGATTGTGAGACTGGATAAAAATAAACCTCAAATATAAGGATATGAAAAGAAAAGTTGTGTGGCAGTTTTAAAACATAGCCACAAATCCTTTGGCACCCCTCTCATTAAGAGATGGGGTCTGTCTCCCTTCCCCAATCTGTGTGGGCATGTGGTTCCTTCAACCAATAGAGTACAGAAGAAGTAACACTGCGGGACTTTTGAGGCAAGAGCGTAAAAGTCTATGCAATTTATGCCTTGTTTGGTGAAAGTCACTTTTGGAGCTCTGAGCCACTGTGTGAGAAATCTGACTACTCAAGTCTGCCATTTTATAAGGAAGTCCAAGTAGGCACTACAATCAACAGTCCTAGCTGAGTCCAGTCTCAAGTTAGCCCAGTACAGGTAACAGACATGTGATTGAAGAAGTCTCCAGATTCTAGCCCCCAATCATTCACATCTTTCCAGCTAAGACTCCAGACAATGTAGAACAGATATAAAGTGTCCCTGCTAAGCTCTGTCCAAATTCCTCACCCACAATACCTATGAGCATAACAAATTGTTTGTTGGTTTATGCCACTAAGTTTTGGGGTGGTTGGTTATGCAGCAGCACAAAAATGGAAAAAGTTGAAGCTAAAAGGATGAAAAAGATACATCAAGCAAACAATCAAAAGAAAGCTTGTGTAGCTAGACAAATATCAGACAAAGTAAACTTTAAGGCAAGCAGTTTTACTGAATGATATTTCCTAACAATAAAGGGATCAATTCAATTAAAAAAAAAATTGCAAGTCTAACTTTGTATACACATAATAACGTAGCCTCAAAATAAATAAAGCAAAAACTGACAGAACTAAGGGAGAAAAATTCAGATCCACAAGTACTGTTGGAAATGTTAACATACCTAAGTAAATTTTAAAGTACTGAAGTAATTCTAAGGATATTCTCTGATGACAATGAAATTGAGCAAGAAGTGCAAAACAGAAAGATAACTAGGAAATCCCCAGATATTCAGAAATTAAGGAATATACTTTTCTAAATATGCATGAGTAAAAGTGAAAAAAACTCATTAAAATATCAAGCTTCTAGTTAACAAAAAAAATACCACTAATAACAAGAAAAGGCAAGTCACAGAATGGGAGAAAATATTTGCAATATATGTATATGGAAATCAGAAAATATTTTGAACTGAATGGCAATGAAAATAACATATCACGAGTTATTGGATGCAACTACAGCCAGGAATGGTGGCTCACTTCTGTAATCCCAGCACTTTGGGAGGCCAAGGTGAGAAGATCACTTGAGCCCAGGAGTTCAAGACCAGCCCAGCCAACAGCAAAAAGCAAAACCCCATCTCTACAAAAAATACAAAAATTAGCTAGGTTATAGTGGTGCACGCCTGTAGTCCCAGCTACTCAGGAGGCTGAGGTGGGAGAATCACTTAGACCCGGGAGATCAAGGCTGCAGTGAGCAGTGTTCATGCCACTGGACTCCAGCCTGGGCTACAGCAAGAAACCTTGTCTCAAAAAAAAAAAAAAAAAAGAAGTATTGAATCCAACTAAAATAGAGACAAAGGGAAATGTATAGCCCACTATAGCCCATGACAACTACCAATATGGCTGAAGGTGTTTTTCAACTAACAATACCAAATATTGGAAAACTGTTTGAAGTATCTATTATAACATGTACCTAAGTGGTGACATAGCAATTACACTCCTGTTATATCCAACATTAATGAGTAAATATGTGCCCCAAAAGATGTGGACAGGAGAGTTCATGGCAGGTTTCTTAATAATAGCCAGAAAATAGACACAGCACAAATGCCCATGAATAATAACATGAGTGAACAAATTGCATGGTTTATTCTACAGTGGAATACTCCTCAACCACAAAAAAGAATGAGCTACTGATGCATACAACAACACGGAGGAATCTTGCAAATAGAATGCTGCCCAAAAGACAAGAGTACATACCTAAGAATTCCAAAACTAATCTACACTGACATGTATCAGAACAGTGGTTACCTTGGGATGGGGGTGGAGGGAGGATTGACTGGGAAGGGACATTTCTAGAGTACAAATAATATTCCATGACTTAATCCAGATGTGGTTACATAAGTGTATAGAGTGTAAAAATTAGTTGAGCTGTACACTTAAAATCTGTGCAGTTTATTATTATGTATGTTGTACTTTAATTTTTTAAATGAAGCTTTTTTAAAAAAGCAAAAGGAAAATAAACATAAAATTCCAGAAAGTAGCTGGGCGCAGTGGCTCACGGCTATAATCCCAGTATTTCAGGAGGCTGAGGCAGGTGGATCACCTGAAGTCAGGAGCTCGAGACCAGCCTGGCCAACATGGTGAAACTTCATCTCTACTAAAAATACAAAAATTAGGGCAGACATCGTGGCTTATGCGTGTAATCCCAACACTTTGGGAGGCTGAGGCGGGTGGATCACGAGGTCAGGAGTTCGAGACCATCCTGGCCAACATGGTGAAACCCCGTCTCTACTAAAAATACAAAAATTAGCCGGGAGTGGTGGCAGGCGCCTGTAATCCCAGCTACTCGGGAGGCTGAGGCAGGAGAATCGCTTGAACCCGAGAGGCAGAGGTTGCAGTGAGCCGAGATTACACCACTGCACTCCAGTTTGGTCAACAAGAGTGAAACTCCTTCTCAAAAAAAATAAAATAAAATAAAATTCCAGAAAGTGGCCATTTCTGGAGCAGAGACCAGAAGACAGAAGAGGAGAGGCTAACATTTATATATACAATGCATACACCCTTTTGTATGCATCAAATATTAAGTGCTAACAAACACATTATATTAGTAAAAAACAAATTCTTCAAATATTTACCACGCATGTACTGAACTCCAGAAGAATTTTAAAAGTAAAATGAATATAAATGACTCTCACTGATGTTTAAATACATGAAGACAATTGCATTAATTTAATAAGTGCCCTCCTAACATCATGCTGATTGTACCTTCAAGAGACCACTTTGTATGACGTAGGGCCATAAGCATGACAGGCATTATTGAATGCATACTGTCTGTTGGGCACAGTTGTGAATGCTTTACATGCATTTAATTGTCATATAACCCTATGAGGCCGGTACTGTTATCACCCCAATTTAACAGATGGGGAAACACACACAGGGAGTTCAAGTGATTTGCTGGTGGCCTCACAGCAGGCAAGCAGTCGAGCCAGCATTTGAAGCCTGCTTTTGAATGGCTGTTTGGTTTCAGAGCCTACTCGCTCTACCTCTGCACCACTCTGCCTCTTTTAAGGAGCACAGCTCCCATTTCTGGGAATTTTCCACCATGCCCCTGACTTCCAAAGAGGACTGAAATGGAGTTGCAGGGTGTCCATAGAGAGAGGGGCTTGTGACATGTCTGTAATTACAATGACAATGAATTACGTTGTCATCACTGACAATAACTATCATAATAAACATTGAGCCCTCATTGTTCTATATCACAGAGTATATTAAAAAGTTGCTATGATTAAACAATTAACAGGTTTTTTAATTCCAGATCTTCACTAAGAAATAACCTGGGTCAGCCAGGCATGGTGACTCCCGTTTGTAATCCCAGCACTTTGGGAAGCCGAGGCGGGTGGATCACCTGAGGTCAGGAGTTCAAGACCAGCCTGGCCAACATGGCGAAACCCCGTCTCTGTTAAAGATATAAAAATTAGCCTGGAGTGGTGGCGTGCGCCTGTAATCCTAGCTACTGGGGAGGCTGACACAGGAGAATCGCATAAACCAGGGAGGCAGAGGTTGCAGTGGGCCGAGATCACAGCACAGCACTCCAGCCTGGGTGACAGAATGAGACTCCCTCTCAAAATTAATAAATAAACAAACAAACTAAGAAATAACCTGGATAAATTATCTTCTCTCTCTGAATTATCTTCCATCCTTTTCTGGCTTATGGCACCCACGACTTTTTTTTTTTTTTTTTTTTTTTTTGAGACGGAGTCTCACTCTATCGTCCAGGCTGGAGTGCAGTGGCGCAATCTCGGCTCACTGCAACCTCTGCCTCCCGGGTTCACGCCATTCTCCCGCCTCAGCCTCCTGAGCAGCTGGGACTACAGGTGCCCACCACCACGCCCAGCTAATTTTTTGTATTTTTAGTAGAGACGGGGTTTCACCATGGTAGCCAGGATGGATCACCTACGACTTTATAAATGCCCTTGAGTTTTTCATGATCTGTGGCTTATTTCTCCCCCAGGAAGATAGCATTTGTTTCTGATTCTTCTTCGCTTTCTTGTGGGGCATGTTACTTAGACATGGTAGGTGCTGAGGAAATATCTGTGTAATATCTGTGAAATAGCTGAATCCATACATGACAAATAAATAAAGATGACGTCAAACATCCAAGGTCTTTGCAAAACCTCCCACATATCCCTTGGCCTTGCCCGTCATATTCACTGCTGTAACCCTGAGATTTAGAAAAGAGCCTGTAAGTTGTAAGTGCTCACTCAGTACCAAGTTTTGGTTCAATGAATGAAAGCAGGAATGACAGATAATTCTGGCAGTTTGTAAAATATCTGTAGACCAAGACTTATCTCTGTGAAAGGCCTTGCTGACACTGGAATGAGTCGACATGTCTACCAACTCAGAGGGATAAGGAAAAGGCACTATACTGCTGGGTCCTGATAAGAGAAGAAGGTGTCTACAATGCTGGAGTGGACAGCAGGCTGGAGGGAGAATCATTTTGAGAAAGCCCATGTATGCGGCAGGTGCAAGTCTCCCAGGTTTGCGGTGAGCGGTTCTTACCTTGCACAGGGAGGATAGGGATGAGGGTAAATGTCTTCAGTATCTTTGAGAATTTTCTTTTTTCGTCTTTTTTTTTTTCTGAGATAGAGTCTCGCTCTGTTGTCCAGGGTGGAGTGCAGCTCACTGCAGCCTCCAACTCCTAGGCTCAAGCCATCCTCCTGCCTCAGCCTCTTAAATGGCTGGGACCACAGGTGCACCACCACACTTGGCTAATTTTTTTTTTAATTTTGTAGAGACAGGGTCTCACTGTGTTGACCAGACTGGTCTCAAATTCCTGGCCTCAAGCAATACTCCTAAGCTTGGCCTCTTAAGCCTAGCGAGAATGTTCTTTCCTCGACTAGTGAAAGTTCAGCTGTGTCTGTCAGGCTGAGCAAGTGGAGCTCCGGGGTCAGGTGGGTGGAAGAAGTTCCCGTCCTCAGTCTCCCTGCTCCACTCCTGTCTCTTTGGCGATGGGGAAGGCATGTGACGGCCTTTTTAAGGATAGAACATCACGAGTCATCTGGAACCGCCTCTTGGGGAAAGACTGTTCTCTTCCCTTAAAAAGCATGCGTTGTTCTTCCAGGACAGATGCTTGACTTCCTTCCTCCCCCTCCTCTCCACCCTTCCCTTCCCACCCTAGCCTCTCCTTCAAGCTGTCTTGCTTCCTCTTCTCTCTACTCCTGCCTTTTTCTCTGGTCCTCAGCGGGGAAAGCCAGAAGCCTAATCACAGGAGCAGAAAAAATCTCCAAACCAATACACAGAGCCCAGGAGAAATGATCTGGAGCAAAGTGCTTCTCAGGGGCTCGTGCAGCAGAAAATCAGAACTTGATCATCTGGCCTGATGTGTCTGTTCATATCCTTTGATTGCAGAAGATCAAGTTCTGGCCATCACACATGTTGATGTCTGATACAAGGCATTGCTTAGCAAAGCCCTGAACTCTGCCTCCCACCAACACCCCCAAGGCTAAGTGAGGTCAGGGGTGCTGACATTGGCCTGGCCTCATCACTCTCTGACTCTGAGACTCAGAACCTAGTATCAGGGAGATTTCATCCCCAGACCTCCTTGTCTTCTGGGGGCCTACATTCACTCATTCACAACATTCTGAGTGAGTTCTTATGTCACCTGCCTCAACAACTTTGGTTCTCCGCTTCCAATTATTTCTATCTTGGTCCATTTTCCCAGCTCTTTCTCTTTCCACCACTTTTCTCTCTGTCTCCTTCATTTCTTTCTGTTCCAGGTGCTTCACATGGCCCTGTCTGCAGGCGCCTCTCCTGTCTCTGTCTCCGGGAGCGTTCTCCTCCATCCTCCCTCCTTCCTGGGGACTCTGGGAAGTGCCTGAGTGTGGCCTTGCAGGTTGCGCCACCGCTTTCATCCCAATCCAGGTGGCTGCAATCCAGTACAGGATTTACGCTGCCCTGACCCTGAGCCGTCAAGAAGGAACAGCCAGATTAATGGGGTGGGCGGGCTGGGGTAATAATCGTTTGTTTGATGTGACAAGCCTGATAGGCGTTGATTTACTTACAGACTGATGGGCTTTTAATTGAGCACGCCATCCTAGTCACTTCAAAGGCAGGGGAAGTTGACAAGGGGCCCCTTTCACGAGGGCTCCTGGTGACTGACAGGCCCCCTCTGCTAAGACTCCCGCCTGGCCCAGGACCGGCCCGGGCAGCCCTCACCCGGCTCTGTAGCAAAGGAACACATTTTCTGTAACTCAGAAATGGCCTTTTGTCTGCTGCCAAGGAAGGCAGCCCCTGCTCGGAAGGCCTCGCATCCCTCAGAAGGTTGAGGAATAAGGAGGAATGGGGGATCCTGAGATGGGGCTGCAGAAAGGGCCTGGAGGAGGTGGGGGAGATTCCAGGCCCTTGATGTGCAAAATGGCTACTTTGTTCTGACCTCCTGTGCTGAGTCAGCCTCCTCCACCTCACTTTCTCCCCCTTCTCCTCACTTCCTCCCTCTCTCTCTCTCTCCATATGTATGTGTGTGTGTATTATATATGTATATATGTATTATATATATAATATATATCAAAATATGTATTATACATATAATATATATCAAAATATATATTATATATATTATATTTATATTATATATACATATATACTACATATATTAATATATATTCATATATAATACATATATATGAAAACATATATGTATTATATATACATATATAATACATATATATAAAATTTTCTAATTTTTAAAAAAAAATTAGAGACTGGGTCTCATTATGTTGCCCAGGCTGGTCTCAAACTCCTGGGCTCAAGGGATCCTCTAACCTTGGCCTCCCAAAGTGCTGGGATTACAGGCGTGAGCCACTGGGCCTGGCTGCTCCCTCTGTTCAGTCCCTTCTTTTTGTATTATACTTCCCAGTTCTCAGGCCCCTTCCTTCTCCCCCTCTTTCTCCTCCCACTTCCTCCTTCCTTCTCCCTCACAGGAGAGGCCAGAAAAGGTGGAGTCAGCTCCTAATGTCCCTGGAGTAGTGGCCCGTCCACAGCAGCCCCCTCCTCCCTGACAGCCACCCTTCTTCCCCCAGGCTGTAGGCTGTGAAGCCTTCAGACCAGGACCCCCTTGGACTTGGAGGTGGGGCCTTTACAGCAAACCCCTCTCTCCTATAGACAGCACTACAATGAACAGGGTCCACAGACACCCACGCTTAAGGCCAGGGACTCAGGCTCGGTGCAGTTTCTGTCCTATTCTTGTTTGGTCTGGAAGATGCTAGACCAAATGTGATTAATATTAAAACAGAGGTTTTATTCTGTTTGAAATATTAGAAAACATTCTTTATCAAGGATGTTCTGTCAAAATGGATTTGCTTTGGTTTTGTTTTGTTCAAGTCCCATAGGACACAGTCCCTGACCTCTAGGAGGAGCGACCTTCTACATCAGCCCCCAAACTTCCTCACTAAGTGGGGAGTGGGGATGGAGGGGAGATCAGTGAGACTCCCACCCTGCAGGAGCTTTGAGTTCTAAGTCAGGCCCCTTTAGTGACTGCCAGAGACTGTAGGCAAGCCCTGTTCCCGGCATTCCTCTTTTTTTCCCTGTGGTAACTTACCCAAGCACACAGAGCCAGGCCCTGGCTAGAAAGACCATGCATTCCATCCCATCATTTCATTTGGAAAGGACTTTCTTTTCTTTTCTTTTCTTTTTTTTTTTTTTTTTTTTTTTTTTTGACAGAGTCTTGCTCTGTCGCCAGGCTGGAGTGCAGTGGCTCAATCTCAGTTCACTGCAACCTCCGCCTCCCGGGTTCAAGCGATTCTCTTGCCTCAGCCTCCTGAGTAGCTGAGACTACAGGTGCACGCCACCACACCCAGCTAATTTTTGTATTTTTAGAAGAAATGGGGTTTCACCATGTTGGCCAGGATGGTCTCGATCTCTTGACCTCGTGATCCACCTGCCTCGGCCTCCCAAAGTGCTGGGATTACAGGCGTGAGCCACCACACCTGGAGGCACTTTCACATATATTATCTTAATTAATCTTTTAACAACTGTGGGAGGTAGATAAGCGCAATGTTACTATGCCCATTAGACAGATGATAAAATTGAGACTCAAAGGATGATGTGCTCCTAAGAGGCAAAACTGGGTCTCAAACTGGGGGATTCTCCTGCTTCTTCTTCCACCACCCCTCACTGCGTCCCAGTGACTATTGCCCCATTCCTCTGGAAGCTGCATTTTCTCACTCTAAACAGGTGGTTTAGAGGCCATGTATTTTTCCCCCTTTTAGGTTCTTCCCTGATTTCCCCACCCTCCTGGCCTCGGTGTCCAGAATCAGAAAGCCTCTAGCCCTCACCTTACAAGGCAGAGCTCTCCCGCTGGTGTCTGTCTCAAAGCTCACTTACAAATGTTACCTGAGAGCCTGATATTCCCTCAAGATTTGCTACTCCCAGCTCTCCTCTCATCCACAGAAGAAAGGGCCATAGGTGAGGTGCCCGGGCCTTTGGTTCTCTGCTGTGAAGAACGTGTTCACTAAAGTAGCTCATGACCTGTTGGAGGGATATTTCCCACTGCAGAGCTAAGCCCTAGGGCCAACGCTTGAGAGAAATCAATTAACTCTCCCTTCTCTGCCTCTATGCCTTGAATCTAATATTTCCACAGAAATATTAATGCCCTGAGATATTATGGCTTGTTTACACGTTGGTCCCCTCACTAGAGAGTCCAATCCTTTACGGCAAGTACATATCTTTTCATCTTATATCGCCAGGGCTCAATAGTGCAAGTTTAGCTGAAATGTTTTTTGTTGAAAGTTTTGTTGGCCCAGACTGTGTGGTGGTTCATGCCTGTAATCTCAGCACTTTGTGAGGCCGAGGAGGGGGAATTGCTTGAGCCCAGGAGTTTGAGACCAGCCTGGGCAACAGGGTGAAACCCCATATCTACAAAAAATAAAAACATTAGCTGGGCATATTGGCATGCTCCTGTAGCCCCATTGACTCAAGAGGGTCAGGTGAGAGGATCAATTGGGCCTGAGAGGTCAAGGGTGCAGTGAGCTGTGAGCACACCACTGCACTCCAGCCTGGGTGACAGAGTAAGATCTTGTCTCAAAAGAAAAGAAAACAGAAGAGAAGAGAAGAGAAAAGAAAGAGAAGGAACTAAGGAAGGAACGAACCAAAGAAGGAAGGAAGGAAGGAAGGAAAGTTGGTTTTGTGTGAAAGGCTGAATAGTGAACTGGTGGAGTCAAACAGCCTACGAGAATTTCAATCCCAGCTCCACTGCTTGACAGCTAGTGTTGGACAAGGCATTTAAATGTTCCATGCCTCAGTCTCCTCATCTACAAAATGGGACAAAAATAGTACCTACCTCATAAAGTTACATTATGAGGCTTTCATGAGTTAATAACATATTTCATCTCATCTGCAATGCGCTGTTATTTTAGGTCCAACAAAGAAAGAAAACAACTGCTGTTAAATGATCAGTGACATGGTGCCTTTTTTATCAGTGTCAGAGATGTTTAAAATGTAGGGAAAATGCATCTTAGAATTGATTAGTGATCTCTGTGTGAAACACACAGAACAGTCGTTGGCACACAGCACCTGCTATGAGAGTGAGAGCTACTGTCTGTCATTGCTGTTGAACTGAATTCTCACAAGAACCTGATGATGAGTTCACTTAATCCTCATTTTACAGATGAGGAAATAGAAATTCAGAGAGCTGAAGTGGCTTGACCAAGCTCACTCTGCCAGGGAGTACGCGAAGGCATTTAAACCTGCCTTTGAGGTGCAATAATCTATAGTGATTACAGTTGCTGGCAGCCGCCCACCAAGCTACCAGGGAGTTAGGAGCTGGGTTTTGTTCTCAATTGCATTCTCTTTCCTTAATCTAAGCTTTTTTTCCCCTCTGGTATAATTAATCTCCTTATTCCTCCCCCTCCTCCTTTTTACTTGGCTCTGATCTTTCTACCTTTCTGCTAATGGCTTCAGGTTTTACTGCATCTGCTATGAAATCGTAAGCAACCTCAGATCTTTTATGGCGGTAGAAGGAGTATAAATAAATATAAAGGCAAAAACTGGCTTTTAAAGATGACAGGTAGCAAGAAAAAAGATAGAGAGAATATGCCCACAATCACATGTGGGGTGTGTAGGCTCCACATGGACACACTGAGGGACAGCCCAGCCAGTGCCCACCCAGACACCCTGCCCCCTGGCTCCCTCCAGCCTTCTGTGAGAGCTTCTGATGCCAAGTGCCCTGATAAAATATGCAGAAAGCTCCACATGCCCCTCAAGCCAGTTGTTGGCCACACCAGACTCTTTCTCCCATGAACCAGTGAGACACTATGGCTTGGAGGGGACGTTTGATGGGGGAGGGAAGTGGTTACAATTAACTCTTCTAGAACCTTCTCTGGCTCTGTTTGGCACCTCCAAAGAAGCAGCAGCTACTTGAAAGTGTAAGTTTCTAGCTTGCTATTGCAATGAGTCTGAAGCAAAGGAAGGAATCCTGTTACCTCCAAATGGAACCCATGTAAAAGGTATATCACTGTTTTTACCATCAAAAAAAAAGTCTTGACCAGGTACTGTGCCTCACACCTGTAATCCCAACATATTGGGAGGCTAAGGCAGGAGGATGCTTAAGGCCAGGAATTCGAGACCACCCTGGCAACATAGCAAGACCCCTTCTCTACAAGAAAAAAAAATGTTTAAAATTTGCCAGCATAGTGACACACACCTGTCATCCCAACTACTCTGGAGGATGAGGCGGGAGGATCGCTTGAGCCCAGGAGTTTGAGTCTGAAGGGAGCTAAGATCACAGAACTGCATTCCAGCCTGGTCAACAGAGCAAGACACTGTCTCTAAAACAAGGAAAGGAGAGGAGAGGAGAGGGGAGGGGAGGGGAGGGGAGAGGAGAAAAGAAGAGAAAAGAAGAGAAGACAAGAGAAGAGAAGAGAAAAGAAAAGAAAAGAAAAGAAAAGAAAAGAAAAGAAAGCCTCTAGGATATACTTTATTTGGGATTTTGTAGTAGTCATCCCACAACCTTAAGTGGCTGTCACAGGTCACAGAAGGATGCCACTCCTGAATCATTCCCCCAAGTGATGAGCCCCAATATTCTGCCACTTCGGCCAGGTTTGCCACGCTCACCTTAACAGATAATGAATGAAATATGTCACAGTATCATACTGAGTTTTTTCCTCCCAAATAGGGAGGCCATGGGCCGGCTAGAGGGTTGTATTTGTGAATTTGCTTGAGTTTGTCAGGATGGGATCAGGAATGGTCAGTGGGGAGACGGTTTCTCCCAAACTTCTCCCCACTCTCCCACATGGCCTGTAACCTATTGAGTTAAAGGCTGGGTGAGGAAGAGGTTTTTAAAAGGACAATTGCATTTGGGAGGTTTGCCAGGGCAGGGAGGGAGAGCATGCCATCCTTCAGTAGCCTGAATGCAGCATACAGTCTTTCCAGTTCCGAATAAAATGTACTCAAGGCTCAGATCCATCAGACAAAGAAAGATACATCAGCAGAGGAGGGGAAAGATGAAAATGCGAGTCCAGCTCTTCATTCATGTACATGTAGTTCATCTCTAAGGCTTCCAAGAAAGCAGCCGCACACCAAATCCCTTCCGATGCTGTCTGTATCTGAGCCTCCTGTGAGATAATCCTCTTAATGGAATATTTAAGAAATCGGATATAAATCACCAACCTTTTATCTCACCTGCAGATTCATATACCATAGGACGTATTGTGTATATGTCTATCTACATATAGATGGTTGCAGCTGCTTTTATGAGTGGATATTGCCATGTTTTTAGGCTCAATATGTTTTTCAATATCTAAACCTATTTTTTTCCTGGAGATATGGGTGCAAAAATATAAATTTTAGAGCTCGGAGCCCAGAAAATAGATGTACCTAGAGAAGTTTCAAAATTAAAACACACATCCCTCTGAAAATCTTCTTTGTCATTTGCAGCCACTAAAAATGCCTATTGTTATGATGCACTCATAAATAACTTGATTTTGGCATATGCTTTTATACCATACAGAAAATGAATAAATTAAATTTGATTTACCACCTTTTTCATTTTTATTAGCACTACTCTGAAGAGTTTATGTAAGGGACGTGCCAGAGCAGTTATGCCAAATGTTTTAAGGCATTGGTATTGATATTATATAAATTAAGGTGTTTTAATTTGCATTCTTTGATTAACTAAATACTGGCAGAAAAATAAAACACAAGGGCAGCCCTGAGTTATTGCCTCTATTAAACTGCTGACATCTCCAAAAAGACGCTTTAAGTAATTCAATCCATGCGGTGGGTAGGAGGGGGATATTAACGCTCTCTTATTTGGCAAAACCTATTGGGGTTAAAGAAACCAATATCATGCTTTGCTTGCAGAGTGGTAAGGGACTGGGTGTGTTCTAAGAAGGTCTGAATTTGTGTCCCCAAGGAGAAGTTAACTAAATGCTTTTAATTCTCTGCCCTGCCCAGGCCTGAGCTCGGCGGGCTGCTGGGTGCAGGGCCCTGGAGACCTCTGCTGGCTATCTTTGCCCCCAGGGCTGAATCCCTGACAACTTGAGAAGTGACAAACTGGTTGAATTAATTAAGTAGATTCCATATCAACATAATTTTACCAGAAACAACAAGAGGAATCATCAAAGACCCTTCAGCAGAGCTGGCTGCTCCCAGTCCATCCTCTTCATCACACTTGGGCCCCCAAACCATGAAAAGAAGTTTTCTCAAAAGATGTGCAAAAGCTACTCACCATAGCAAAGACATGGAATCAACCTAAGTGCCCATCAACAGTGGACTGGATAAAGAAAACATGGTATCTATACACTATGGAATACTACACAGCCATAAAAAAAATAATGAAATCATGTTCTTTGCAGCAACGTGGATAGACCTGGGGGCCATTATCCTGAGAATCAGTGCAGGAATAGAAAACCAAATATTGCATGTCATCACTTATAAGTGGGAGCTAAACATGGGGTACACATGGAAATAAAGATGGCAAGAATTGACACTGGGGACTACTGGGGGGCGGGGCAAGGGCTGAAAAACTAACTATTGGGTACAATGCTCACTACCTGGGTGACAGGATCAACCGTACCCCCAAACCTCAGCATCGTGCAATATATCTATGTAACAAACCTGCACATGTACCCCCTGAATCTAAAATAAAAGTTGAATATTTTAAAGAAAGAAAGAAAAAGGCTATCCGAGTTTTAAAACATTTTAAAAAATAAAATTAAAAAGATGTGCCAGGAGTACTCTAACTCCCTTCCAAACCCTGGGTCTCATCACCACCTCCTGAGACTTTTTAAAAAATTTCCCATCACAGAGGAAACAGCAGCTTCTTTCTCGGCTAAGTAAATGCTTTCTTTTCCCTCCTTGCCCTCATGTGTTCTTGATTTTTGCTCTGTTTCTCCTCTCTCTCCTGTAGGACACAAGTAAACTCTGCTAAGTTCTCATCTTCTTTAATTCTCCCTCCAGATTTTTAAGAGGGAGCAGCCCTAAGGAGAGGATTACAATCGCCAGTTGGTAGCCATAGGAAAGGAATTGATCCCAAGCACAGGCTGAGACAACTGTATTTGTCTTCCCTAAGGCCAATGAATCCTCAGTGAACTGTCTGTACAACAGCCTTTACTGTTCTGTTGACATTCTGAGGACATCTGTCTTGCATTCTTCACCACGTCTGGGAAGCCTCATGTCTAGGGGCCTCATAGATACCTGCTAAGTTGACCTGAGACATCACGCAGGCATCATGGGGCTGGGGAGTGGAGTTCACCTTCTCCTGGCCCCCACATGACCTTGGCATTTTCATACAGCAATGTCTCTTGTGAGAGGGCCCCATAAGAAGCAGTTCAAGGGCACCCCAAGCCCTAATGCCCAAGTCTCTGAGTACTGTTATTATGCAATGTCCTTACCCCAGCTTTCTTCTTAAGACGGAGTCTCGCTCTATCACCCAGGCTGGAGTGCAGTGGCGTGATCTCGGCTCACTACAACCTCTGCCTCCCAGGTCAAGCGATTCCCCTGCCTCAGCCTCCCGAGTAGCTAGGATTATAGGCACACACCACCAGGCACATCCAGCTAATTTTTGTATTTTTAGTAGAGATGGGGTTTCACCATTTTGGACAAGCTGGTCTCGAACTCCTGACCTCAAGTGATGCACCTGCCTCGGCCTCCCAAAATGCTGGGATTACAGACGTGAGCCACCACGCCCAGCCCTGAATGTTTTTTTTACTTTTTATTTTTTAAGACAGGGTTTCACTGTGTCACCCAGGCTGAAATGCAGTGGTGTGATCACAGCTCACTGCAGCCCCGAACTCCTAGACTCAAGAGATCTTCCCACTTCAGCTTCCCAATTAGCTGGGATTATAGGTGTGCATCCCCACGGTCAGCTGCTGCTGCTTTTTTTTTTTTTTTTTTGGAGACCTGGAGTTCTCCTTGCTTTCTTACCCAGGCTGGTCTCGAACTCTTGGGCTCAAGCGATCCTTCCACCTCAGCCTCCCAAAGTGCTGGGATTACAGGCATGAGCCACCACCACGCCTGGCCCTGGGTAGTTTGCTTTATTTGTTCAAGGAAGAAAGCATAAATTCCAACAGTTGATAAGGAAAACACTTCTCCTTTGCCAGCCTCCTATCTCATCCTCCCTAATTTAAAAAAAATCTCACTTTCTTGTCGTTTCCCATCTTGCAGCTCTTGTCAGTTGTTTTAAAACAACTGTTTTAAAACATGTCTCCTGTCATCAATAAAGTCATCATTATGCATTTTGGCTGCAGTGATGAAAAATTCACCCAGCTTAGAGAGAGGACAGAGACCTGGGAGAGCCCATTCAGGCCTGATGGGAAGTGAGAATAAACATAAGGAAAAGGACACATTCGACTCATGGTTTTTAACTGCTGTCGCTTTTCTGGTTCTGGTTGGTTTGATTTTGTTGTTGTTGCTGTTTAGTTATTTGTACATTGGTTTATTTCTTTAAGGAAATTAAGGAGAAAAACAAACACACCCTGGAAGAAAGCAGTGGTGCTGACCTCATCAATGTCAGGCCTCGAGAGACACAGAAGGAGTGCCTCAGGATGCCCAGTGACTGTTCTTCAGCACACGGGGCAGCAAGTGACACAGACGCAGTGGGTGACACAGAACTAGAATTCTTGCTAGAAGTTTACTTTAGACATCCTGGAATTTCCACTCATCCTGACTCTACAAGCACATCAAGATACTGACCAGTCCTGATCCTTCTTCCCAGTGTCACAGAGTCAAAGTCACTCACAAAGAGTGCAGTTTGACCCCGAGGCCCAAGCCCGGGACTGATGGTGAAGAGACGAAAGTTGGGCTTCAGCTACTGGGGAGGCTGAGGTAGGGGGATCGATTGAGCCTGGGAGATCAAGGCTGCAGTGGGTCAAGATCATGTCACTGCACTCCAGCCTAGGCAACAGAGCAAGACCCTGTCTCAAAAAAAAAAAAAATGGGGGGCTTGAGCTGTGAGTCTTTGCAATGAGAAGCTGTGTAAACCAAAATGCCTAGTGAATGAGAGACTCTGCTTGACTGTTTTTTTCTTCGTAAATGGTTGATAAAGCAGAAAATTCTCAACATCTCTGCCCTTGTTGAGAAATTATATAGATGCGCCCTTTGTACCTTTAAATTTTGCAGGTAATACCTATGCAAAAAATAAATAAAAACAAGGACAAAATAAAAACAACTTTCCTGCCCTGGTGAGTCCTCTACTAACAATAATTATTTATTTCATGTTTTGATATCTTCCAGTGCTTTACAGTTCTCATTCGGGCAATTCATGATTAAGCCTGAAGATGAACCTCTGCTGACACTACCAAAATCATTTCATATATTTATTGTCTTTGACATAACCTTTGCCTTTTTATGAACATGATCCAAAAAGGTCTGGATAAACCAGAGTTTTAATTAGGTTTCAGTTACTGGAAATTCTGCTTTGTTAAAATATCTATTTGTCAATATCCTGGATTCTTTTAGGCTAGCTTTGATGTATTCCTCTCCTCCTTCTTCTCTTACTAAAGGATGGAGAGGGTGGGAAGGGGAGAAGGGGAACATGAGAAGCATGATATTTACTTAAATCCAAAGATGGAAATGCAACCACTTCCTCTATGAGCCTTTATAGTTCTCCAAATGAATGTGACCAGAAGGTCCCAGAGGCATTTCCTGTGTATTCCTGCTCACACCCCAAAGCTGAATTTCTTTCTTTTTTTTTTTAACTGAGTCTCACTCTGTCACCCAAGCTGGAGTGCGGTGGTGAGATCTTAGTTCACTGCAACCTCTGCCTCCCGGGTTCAAGTGATTCTCCTGCCTCAGCCTCCCGGGCTCAAGTGATTCTCCTGCCTCAGCCTCCCAAGTAGCTGGAACTACAGGCACGCACCACCATGTCTGACTAATTTTTGTATTTATTAATACAAAAATAATAATTATTATTATTTTTGTAATTATTAATAATTTTGTATGTTGTAGAGATAGGGTTTCACCATGTTGGCCAGGCTGGTCTCAAACCCCTGACCTCAAGTGATCCACCCGCCTTGGCCTCCCAAAGTGCTGGGATTACAGGTGTGAGTCACCACAGCTGGCCCCAAAGCTGAATTTCTAACACACTCCAAGGCTACCCTACCAATTTTCTTAAAACAGAGTTGTTCTGAACGCATATAGCTTTTGACCCAACAATTCTACTCCTAGGAATTTCCCCCATACTCATGCTAGCACACATTGAGAATAAATGACATACATATATATGACATTATATGTATACAATGACATATATAGTTATGCACTGCAGGAGCAAAAGGTTAAAACTATCTAAATGTCAGCCAGGCGCAGTGGCTCATGCCTGTAATCCCAGCACTTTGGGAGGCTGAGGTCAAGAGATGGAGACCCACCTGGCCAACATGGTGAAACCCGGTCTCTACTAAAAACACAAAAATTAGCTGGGCGTGGTAGCATACACCTGTAGGCCCAGCTACTCGGGAGGTTGAGGCAGGAGAATCGCTTGAACCAAGGAGGCAGGAGGTTGCAGTGAGCCGAGACTGAGCCACTATACTCCAGCCTGGCATCAGAGCAAGACTCTGTCTCAAAACAACAACAACAACAAAAAAAAAAAAAACTAAATATCTAGCTGTAGGGGAGTGGTTAAATAAACTGTGGCATATCCATGTAACAATGCTGTGGAACTGGAATAAATAAATAAACAAAACATAGAAGCCCATGAAACAATCTCTAAAATATATTATCTTTAAGAAATAAAAATAAAAATAAATAAAAAGCAAGTACAGAACAGTTCATATAGTATATTCCCATTTGTTTATAAAAGGGGGAAAGAGGCCAGGCACAGTGGCTCATGCCTGTAATCCCAACACCATAGGAAGCCGAGGCAGAAGGATCACTTGAGCCCAAGAGTTCAAGACCAGCCTGGGCAACATAGCAATACCCCCATCTCTACAAAAATTTTTTAAAAATTAGCTGGGTATGGTGGCATGCACCTGTGATCCTAGCTACTTGGGAGACTGAGGTAGAAGGATCACTTGAGCCCAGGAGGTTGGGAGTGCAGTGAGTTGTGATTGTGCCACTGCACTCCAGCCTCAGCGCCTGCACGAGATTCTATTTTTTAAAAAAAAGGGGTGGCAGCAATTCACAATTGCAGAAATATGGAACCAGCCCAAATGCCCATCAATCAATGAGTGGATAAAGAAATTGTGGCATGTATATATATATATATATATATATATATATATATATATATATAAAAAATACTACTCAGCCATAAAAAAGGAATGAATTAATGGCATTCACAGAAACCTGGATGGAATTGAAGACCATTATTCTAAGTGAAGTAACTCAGGAATGGAAAAGTAAACACTGTACGTTCTCACTCATAAGCAGGAGCTAAGCTATGAGGATGAAAAGGCCTAAGAATGATACAATGGACTTTGGGGACTCAGGGGAAAGAGTGGATGGGTGACAGATAAAAGACTACAAATTGGGTTCAGTGGATACTGCTTAGGTGATGGGTGCACCAAAATCTCACAAATCCCCACTAAAGAACTTACTCATGTAACCATGTAACCAAATACCACCTGTTCCCCAAAAACCTATGGAAATTAAAAATGCAGCCGGGCGCAGTGGCTCACGCCTGTAATCCCAGCACTTTGGGAGCCCAAGGCGGGCAGATCACCTGAGGTCGAGAGTTCCAGACCAGCCTGACCAACATGGAGAAACCGTCTCTACTAAAAATACAAAATTAGCCAGGTGTGGTGGCACAGGAGAATCGCTTGAACCAGGGAGGCAGAGGTTGCGGTAAACCGAGATCGCGCCATTGCACTCCAGCCTGGGCAACAAGAGTGAAACATCGTCTCAAAAAAAAAAAAATCACCACTAAAGAACTTACTCATGTAACCAAATACCACCTGCTCCCCAAAAACCTATGGAAATAAAAAAAAAGTTTAAGGGTGGCGGAAGAAAATATATATATATATATGTATTTGCCAATATGTGAAAAAATACCTCTGGAAGGATGGGCAATAAACTCAAAGCACTGATGCACTGAGAATGATCAACAGCTGGAAGAAGGTTTTTTCCACTCATAGCTTTGGAAATTGGTGCCATGGGAATGCACTTCATTATAAATAAATAAAATGCATTTTTCGACAAACTTAAAAATAATTCTAAATCACTTTTAAAGGGGGCTTGTTATGTAAATCCCCACTCTGAATGAACCATTATACTTTTGGCCATGAGTTTGGTTGGGGCCGCACTTCTCAGGCCCCCTTCTCCAAGCAGAGGCTGGCAGAGGGCCACTGAAATAAACACTCCTTGAAATTTTCCTGACATCTTAGAATTTGGTTTTATCAAATACAACTTGCGATCATCAAGTCACTTCCTGAACAGCTCCCCTTTTTCTCGAATTGTGTTTGTTTAAATGAATTTGGAGCTGCCCATCCCAGCTTGGAAGACTGGCCGAGAAAGGGGCACATTTTGGACAAGCCTAGACGTTTATTCCTTAGAAAGGGGGTCATGGAAATATCATCACCTTCATGACTAAAGCCACGGCGAGGGTCAGAACCAGGTGATAACTCACAGCCTGACACCCAGCAAGGTCTTCTGGAGGGGCTGAGGTTTCCTGTGGTTCTGGCTAGCGGTCACTCAATGCAGGGAAGGGCAGGATGCTGGGGGGCACAATGCCCTCAGGTAAGCATGGGCCCTGCTTCTTATTTCAGGGGCCTTTCACTCTAATCCTGGATTCCCCTTCCACCCAAGTGAGAGAAGGTGCATGAACACACCTAGAATAATGCCTGCACCCAGAAGCTGCTCGGTAAACGTTACTGGAAATCTGAATTTAATTTGAAGTAAATGCACTTAAAAAAGAAGTGGGGGTCAGGTGCAGTGGCTCAGGCCTGTAATTCCAGCACTTTGAGAGGCCAACGAGGGCAGATCACTTGAGGTCAGGAGTTCAAGACCAGCCTGGCCAACATGACCCCGTCTCCACTGAAAATACAAAAATTAGCCAGGCATGGTGGCGTGCACCTGTAATCCAGCTACTTGCAAGGCTGAGGCAGGAGAATAGCTTGAACCTGGGAGGCCGAGGCTGCAGTGAGCTGAGATCATACCACCACACTCTAGTCTGGGCAACAGTGTAAGACTCCATCTCAAAGAAAAAAAAAAAGTGGGTGGGCCAGCGCAGTTTCTCATGCCTGTAATCCCAGCACTTTTGGTGGTCAAGGCAGGAGGCTTGCATGAGGCCAAGACCAGCCCTGGCAACACAGCAAGACCCCAATCTCTACCAAAAAAAAAAAAAAATTAAAAATGAGCTTGGTGTGGTGGCATGCACGTGTAGTCCCAGCTACTCTGGAGGCTGAGGTGGGAGGAGCACTTGTGCCCAGGATTTTGAAGCCGTGATTGCACCACTGAGGTCTAGCCTGGGCAACAGAGCGAGACCCTATCTCAAACAAACAAACAAACAAAAAATCAGGGAGCAACTGAAAGATGGGGATACTAAGCAGGATTTCAATTACAGCCTCCTGACTTTTTTATTTCTTAATCTGCAAAAGGAGCACGCAGATGCAGAGAGGATAGGAACGTGCAGCTGCTGAATGTGCATCATCGAGAGACAGGCACGGGGCTTGCTGGCTTCCTCTGGTCTTTACCCACCATGAAATCGCCTTGAGCCTTCACCTACCAAGTGGTCCATAAAGAGTAACTGAATGCATGATTAATTGAGTTAATCAATTCAATCTAATCAATTAATGGAATAAATGGAAGCTCCCCTCACTTCCTTCTCTGCCTCAGTTTTCTCCCTCCCCTATTTCTCATTTCTCAAGATGAAAGGAAAATCTGATGGAGAAGACCAGCCCTCTGGAAAATGATCAATTTGTCTTCAGTTTCTCCTCCTGCTCTCTCTGACTTTAAGCCTCCCTCTCCTTCAGTCCCGCACTCTGTAGAGTGGAGTGGCTCAGGAACCAACTATCTGGACTTGAATCCTGGATCTACCACTTTCTAGCAGTGTAACTCAGGCAAGTTGCTTAACCTCTCTGGGCCTCACCTACAAAACAGTACCTTACCTATAAAACAGGCATAATAATAGTGCTCACCATGGTTTGCTGTGAGAAGTAAATGAGTTATTACAGGCAAGGTGCTCAATACAGTGTCTAGCAGGATAAGTGTTCAATAGATGTTATTATTATCCTGGGAGGAACACTCACTCTGCTAACCACAATTGGCTGATAAAAAGGGTTTGACGCCTCCCAGCAACATTAGCGACTTAAAAGAGGAATCTCTAAGAAACTTGAAGGTCCAAAGGAACAAAGCAGTCAGGGGTGAATGCCCAGGGCTAGCGTTGATGTATCAGGGCAGGTCAGGCTAAGGAAGGAGAACTTCAAAATCACACCTACTCCATCTCCCCGGCCTAGCTCCCCAGGAGCTGATAGGAGATAAACCAAACCACCCTCTTCAAAGCAGCTGCTCAAGGACCGGGATCAAACGCACAGGCTTGGAGACAAGCTTTGGTCCGCACTTCCTTTTGTCCCTTCCTCCCCACCACATCTCTAGAGGAAATTCTTAGGTGAGGAAAAGGAGTTCATTCTTCCTTCTTTTATCAAAAGGAGTTAGCTCTCTGTCCACACAACAACAGTGGCAGAAGGCAATAGACCAAGAACCAGGGAAGGGACCGAGAAGGACTCATTCTGTGCCCATTCTGCCAGCCTTTTGCTGTGTGTGACTTTGGACGCTCCCTTAAGCTCTCCGAGCCCATTTCCTCATCTGTCAAACAAGGATAATAACACCTGCCCAAAGGAAAGAAAATTGCTGTGAGATGCTGGACCCAAAGATGCATTTGGGGCCAGGCGCAGTGGCTCACGCCTGTAATCCCAGCACTTTGGAAGGCTGAGGCAGGAGGATCACCTGAGGTCAAGAGTTCAAGACCAGCCTGGCCAACGTGGTGAAACCCTGTCTCTACTAAAAATACAAAAATTAGCTGGGCATGATGGTGGGCGCCTGTAATCCCAGCTACTTGGGAGGCTGAGACTGGAGGAGAATCGCTTGCACCCAGGAGGCGGAGGTTGCAGTGAGCCAAGATCACGTCACTGCACTCCAGCCTGGGCAACAGAGCAAGACTCTGTCTCAAAAAAACAATGCATTTGGGAAAAGGTACTTTAACATGTTTATACAATCAACATTTTGAAAAATACAATCATCCGTGTTAAACCTTTTGGGAATACAGTGAGGTGTGATATAAATAAATAGCCCTATTTTTGTAAAATTCTTCGTTCATCAGAAACATTCACTGGGTACTAACTGCACTGAGACTGCCTGGACCTGGATTTGACACTCCAGGCTCACCTCCTACCAGCTTGGGCCTTGGGCAAGTTACTTAACCTTTCTGTGCCTGTGAAATGGAAGTAACCATAGGACCCATCTCCTAAGGTTTCTGCAAGGATTAAATGAGAGAATGCACGCAAAGTGCTTAGAACAGCGTTTGGCACTCAACGTTGGCTACTGTGGTGATGGTGAACCGCTCTGTTAGGCAATAAGTACACAAAGAGGATGAGGAAAACAAGAAGCATTCACAGTCCAGTGGGAGATCAGACAAGGAAGCAAATAGTGGCAGATGCCATGTGATAGGTGTAATAATAGAACATAATACCAACTGTGAGAATGTAGAAGAGGGAGCCTCTTGAGTCATCGGTGGGGCGGGCTTCCTGCAGGGCTGGCTGTCCTGGTCTTAGCCTGCTTGCTCCCACTGTTCCCTGGTGCCCCTCTCGTGCCCCAGGCTGTGTCTGAAGCCGGGGGATGGGGCAGACAGAGGAAGCGCCTTCAAGTGCCCTGAGTGCAGTGTGCTAAATCAGGGCTCCCGGCCAAAGCAGTAATTGCCAGCCGCTGAAAGATATTAAGCGCCAGGGAGGAAAACCAAGTTCTCTATGAGGCAGACTTTTCAGAGTTCTTACAGCTTGTAAAAAAAAAAAAAATGTAAATAGTTACCCAGTGAGATATTATTTCATGTTGTTGCCATTAGGGTTTGAGTGTTATGCAGAGAGAGGAGAGAGAGGCGATCATTCAGGCAATTCTGCCTCGGCAAGGACTGAAAACTACACATTAACCCCACACAACAAATCTACCCCCTCTAGGTCTTAACCTGACTCGAGCATTTTTTCCTGGGTGGTGAATTTTATGTAAATTGAAGTAGTGAAAAAATAATCTATACATATTCACAGTTTCTTAAAGGATTTTCTTGATGGCTTCTAGGGAGGGATGGGCTATTTTTTTTTTTTTTTAAGACACATTGCGGGCTGGGCACGGTGGCTCATGCCTGTAATTCCAGCACTTTCGGAGGCTGAGGCCGGCAGATCACTTGAGGTCAGGAGTTCAAGACCAGCCTGGCCAACATGGAGAAACCCCATCTCTACTAAAAATACAAAAATTAGCTAGGCATCATAGCACACGCCTGTAATCCCAGCTACTCGGGAGGCTGAGGCAGGAGAATCGCTTGAACCCGAGAGGCAGAGGTTGCAGTGAGCCGAGATCATGCCACTGCACTCCAGCCTGGGCAAGACAGCAAGACTCCGTCTCAAAAAAAAAAAAAGACACATTGAACTGGAGGCTGGGGAAGGGTTACTTTCATTTCTGTAGAATTCAGAGACAACCTGGGCTCTTCTGCTTGGGTTCCCAGGGCTAAATCTGGTGCTGATGTGGCTGCTCCCCTGAGCAATTGCTCCTCAGACACAAATGATGCAATCGGTTACAGCCATCATTTACCTTCAACTTTCTTTGTGCCAAGCATGAAACAGGTGACATGCATTGTCTGCTTCTGGTCTCCCAACTCTGAAGTGGCCACGCTTCCATTTTACCCTGGAGGAAACCAAAGCTTAGGGAGGTTCACTTGCCCGGGGTCCCCACAGCAGCCTGGTTCTGGGCCTGACTCTCTTCAGCTTGAACTGAGAATGATAGCAACACCTGATGTTTATTAAGCGCCTGACATACCGAACTGTCATTCTTCACCACAGTGTCATGGGGGCACTCTCAGGCAGCCCTCTCCCCTGTCCCATTTTAATGGTGGCCGCTCATTCCCAGGGCCATCTGAGGAGGACCTGGACAGTGGAAGGCCCCTGAGCCACGCATCTGCCACTTTTTTGCAGAGGGAGAACCTGTGTCATATGTCCTGAACAGGGATGTCTTACTCGGGCCTTCCAACCACATCGCCCTCCATAAACACAGCCCATCTGAATACAGAGCCACATTCCCTCCCAGGTGACAAGCCATTCCTCTGAAAACTACACTTGCCTTCAGGCCCCGAGGGCCCCATTTAGTGCTCTGTATAGGTTAGCATTTTAGCTAAGTGAATGGTGAATCCCAATTGTAATAATCATCTAGCAGTGTTTTAATTAGGCCTCTGGCCTGGCTATGCATGGTTTTTCATTTTCCCTCCTAAGACGTTTGGATGGATCCAGCCAAAGAAACCCTGCTGCCCTGACCAGCAGCTCAAAGTGTGTCCCTCCCGCCTTGCATGCTTTCAGAGGTGTGTCCTACCACTTCCCAGGAGGTGGGAGCAGGCCAATCTGTGTGCCCGTCAGTAATTACCACTGGGAGCTCAGGGAGTGAGGTGTTTTTAACAGGACAGTATAGTATTACCTAGGCAAATCCCCCATCACATCCTGCCAGTCTGTCCTTACCTCCTCTTCTCTCCCTTCCTTTCCTTCATTCACTACCTTTTTCCTTCTCTTTTCCTCTCCAAACAGAGAGTGAATATTCTATTGTCCTCTCTCTTCTCCCCTCTCTCCTTTCAGCTGCCTCCTGCTCTGTTTTCCAAATTCCTAAATACCTCTTCCCTCTCCCCTCCCCTTTTCCTCCTGACTTATTTCCCATTAATCATTTCTAACACACATCTGCTCAGGCCCTAGAAGGATCCCTTGGCTCCCTCTCACAGCTGGGCTGGTTACAATAATCAGGGAGACTTTCATCTTTCATAGCCTCCTAGGTCTCCCCTCTGCCCAGCTCCTCCTCCTCTGCGTTCCTGCAAAGGCCAGCCTCTCTGCACCCTGGCTTCCTTCTGCCCTTCCCGCTCTACACAGCAGTCTCCCGAAGGCAAAATGGCTTGTGGGTGGACACAGCCCTGCAGTGGACTTTTACAGGTGGTGTTTGCAGTGATGGCAATGGCTGCCCGCACAGAAGTCGGCATGAGAAGCCTGCCACGATGAAATAAATGAGATCACTCCCTCCCTTTTCATTCCCGCACCCCTCTTGCTGCAATGTGGGATCCATCTCACAGTCAGGGTACCCCTTTCCATTCGGCGTAACATGATTTTACCAAGATTAAAATTGGGGAACATGTAATTACAGCTTGTGTAATTTCTAAGCATTCTATAAGTGCTGCCCAAAATACAGTATGGATCCAGGGAGTGCACTTAGTTTTGGGTATGACTGATACTGCCTGGAAGTGGGGTCTGCTGTCTTCTACTACTGGGCAAGATACAGATTCGTGATAGCTATTTCTTTCTGTTTGAAGAGCTCCTTTGAAATCACCTCTCCCCATCTTGGGTTCTCAGGTCATCTCAAGGCGTCGGTCAGCGCGGCAGAGTCGGGAACCTGCCATCCTAGAGCAATACGCCCCGAGTGACAGCCCTGACAACCGGAGTGATGGATCGGGACTGGAAAAGTGGTGCTGGGAGCCAGGCAGTGACACCAGCGCGCCTCCACTGGCCGCCGAGCGCACGGAGAAGTGGGCTCCCCAGAGTTCGGCACCCAAAGGACCAACTTCGCCTCCGGAAAAGCGGCGGATCCGGAACTTGGATGTCAGGACTATGACTACGTAAAATCTCTGCCCAGGGCGAAGCTAGCAATGCACACTGTATCAGAAAGGCGCAGGGAGTCGGGAAGGGTATTGTTATTTTTAATTAAAAGTTTTTATCCCGAAATTTGCCTGGGGAAAGCAAGTGCTTTTTCCCCCGGAGTGAGAAGGATGGGGGGGCGGAGGGGTTGTGTTGCCGAGCAGCGCTTAGAGAGAGATCCCCCTCCAGGGACACCCGCCTCGCCCGTGATCTCGGTCTCTCCTCGTAGCAGCTGGGCGCGGTACAGTGAGGAACTTCACGCCCCTCAGCAGGACACGGTAAGAAGCCTGTAACACACCAGACACCGAGCCTCTAACGCAGGGCGCAGGCACAGCGCGCACAGCCTGGGGTCCCGCGCTTGGTCGCCGACCATGTCACTCCAGAAGGGAGACAAACTTGCAGGCTTCAGACAAGACGGGCTCAAAGTAGTTGGAGCTGCCTACGCCGCGTCCCGAGAACAGTGGGTGCCTCCGAGGCTCGGGCGCTTCCAAGTGAACACACCAAGGGGAGGCCAAGTAGGGGAAGGAGAGCGGGGCCGAGGAGAGCCGGAGCAGCTCTGGAGAAGGACCCGGGCTCCCGAGGCGAGGCCTGCCCCCAGGCGGCCTCTGGGAGAGGCTTGAACTCCAGCGTCCCAGAGCCCGCGCCGTGCGATCCCTCCCACCCCACCCCACCCCACCCCACCCCACCTCGGACACACACGGCGGGCGGGGTTACAGCCCCCGCCAGCATCACCCCCCACCCACCCAGTGGTGAGAAGGGAGAGAGGAGAGAGAGCGGCCGGAAAGGAGGACGGGGCGCAGAGCTCAGGGTCCCGGAGAAGTCCCGTCCCAGGCGGGGGACCCCAGGGCGAGGAAGGCCCAGTCGGGGGGAGGGGAGGAATCCCGGGAGCGGCCGAGACCGAGGCAGCGGCGGCGCGCGGCGCGGCCCCTTTAAGGCTCTCCCCGCCCACCGATGGAGCCGGCCTCAGCCCGCCGCTCTCCCCGCCCCGGGGTCCCGGCGAGAGCTGCGATTGGGCGGGCGCGGCGATCCCTTTGAAGTGTGGCTGCCGATCGCGGCTATTTGACGTGCGGCTCGAGGAAGGCGAAGGTTTTTGTGTTGCTAGCCGGGGCCAGCGGCGGTGGCGGCGGCGGCGGAGGCGTCGGTGGAGGAGGGGAGGCGGCGAGGAGGCGCAGCTCCCGCTGCACCGCGATCGACGCTGCGGAGCGAGCCCACCCGCCCCGGGAGCTCGCCTCCCCGGTGCTCCCCCGCCCTCCCCGCCCCCCCAGCGGCGCTGCCTCCTCCAAATGAGCGATTCGCCCGCTGGATCTAACCCAAGGACACCCGAAAGCAGCGGCAGCGGCAGCGGCGGCGGCGGGAAGAGGCCGGCGGTGCCGGCAGCGGTGTCCCTCTTGCCACCGGCGGACCCCCTGCGCCAGGCGAACCGGCTCCCGATCAGGGTCCTGAAGATGCTGAGCGCTCACACCGGTCACCTCCTGCACCCGGAGTACCTGCAGCCGCTGTCCTCCACTCCCGTCAGCCCCATTGAGGTCAGTCCCCGGCCGCTGCCCCCGGGCGCCGGCCCCATTCCTCCCACCGCGACCGGGACCCTGACCCAGCTCCCAGCGCCCCGGGGCTCGGTGCGACACCCAAGTCTGGTCACGCTGGCGGGCTGAGTGAGGAGGGGAAGAAAACCGAGGGATCAGAGCCCACCAGGGCTTCCCCAGGCTTCCCCGTGGAAGGGTCTCCTTCCACGCTCGCCCTTCGGAGCTCCGTGTTTTCTCTCGGATTGGATTTGCTCCTGGAGTCCCCTCTGGGTCCTTTACTTTTCCTCTGATCCCCAGTTTCCAGCCAGGAGTTGGTCTCTGCTGGGTCTTCCCCGCCCCCCACGCCGGGCTGTTTTCTTTGAAGCCCTGGCTGCCCGGGTCCCACTTCGCCTCTGTCCCATCCGGTGAGGGCGCACGGCGCCCTGGCGCTCCCGATCCCGGATCTTTCTTCCTGCCTCTTCCCTGGGTGCCCTCCCCGGGAGGGAGGGGCTACGGAGAGAGCGCCAACTGCAGCCCCTCCTTTAGAATCCGCGCTCCCCTCTCCTACCCCGCGGCGCCATCGCCAGAAACCCGTCCCAAGCGAAGTTCCCCCAAACTAAAGGAATAAGTTTTTTCCTGGGCCTGGAGGAGGGGGACATTAGAGGGAAGTGGCGAGTCACAGCCCCGACTCCAGAGACGTCACCTTCTCCCGCAGGGGTCCTGGGTGAACTCCTTCCGCAGGGCCTGCGGCGCACCCCGGGACCCAGCGGCAGTGTGGGCGCAGTTCCGCCAGCTGCCGCGCCCGGCCCGGCCCTCGCTCGCAGACCCTCTCCCCAGGCCCGCCCCGCCCCGTGGCGCCGCCGCCCAGCTCCCCGGGCGCCCCCGCTCGCCCCGCAGGCCTCTGAGTCTCACTCCTTCTCCCTCCCCCTGCTTCTGTCTCCCACAGCTGGACGCCAAGAAGAGCCCCTTGGCGCTGCTGGCTCAGACCTGCTCGCAGATCGGCAAGCCGGACCCGCCGCCCTCCTCCAAACTCAACTCGGTGGCGGCGGCGGCCAACGGGCTGGGAGCGGAGAAGGACCCCGGCCGCTCAGCCCCGGGCGCCGCCTCCGCAGCCGCGGCCCTGAAGCAGCTGGGGGACTCACCGGCCGAGGACAAGTCCAGCTTCAAGCCCTACTCCAAGGGCTCCGGCGGCGGCGACTCCCGCAAAGACAGCGGCTCCTCCTCGGTGTCTTCCACCTCCTCCTCGTCCTCCTCGTCCCCGGGAGACAAGGCGGGCTTCAGGGTCCCCAGCGCCGCCTGCCCGCCCTTTCCCCCGCATGGAGCGCCGGTCTCCGCATCCTCGTCCTCGTCGTCGCCCGGCGGCTCCCGCGGCGGCTCCCCGCACCACTCTGACTGCAAGAACGGCGGCGGGGTTGGCGGCGGGGAGCTGGACAAGAAAGACCAGGAGCCCAAGCCCAGCCCGGAGCCGGCAGCCGTGAGCCGCGGCGGCGGTGGGGAGCCCGGGGCGCACGGTGGCGCCGAGTCCGGGGCCTCCGGGCGCAAGTCCGAGCCGCCCTCGGCGCTGGTGGGGGCCGGCCACGTGGCGCCGGTGTCTCCCTACAAGCCGGGCCACTCGGTGTTCCCGCTGCCGCCCTCCAGCATTGGCTACCACGGCTCCATCGTGGGCGCCTACGCCGGCTACCCGTCTCAGTTCGTGCCTGGCCTGGATCCTAGCAAGTCCGGCCTCGTGGGAGGCCAGCTGTCTGGGGGCCTGGGCCTGCCGCCGGGCAAGCCCCCCAGCTCCAGCCCGCTCACCGGGGCCTCCCCGCCCTCCTTCCTGCAGGGATTATGCCGCGACCCCTATTGCTTGGGAGGTTACCACGGCGCCTCGCACCTCGGCGGCTCCAGCTGCTCCACCTGCAGCGCGCACGACCCTGCCGGGCCCAGCCTGAAGGCGGGGGGCTACCCGCTGGTGTACCCCGGGCACCCGCTGCAGCCCGCCGCGCTCTCGTCCAGCGCCGCCCAGGCCGCGCTCCCCGGCCACCCGCTCTACACCTACGGCTTCATGCTGCAGAACGAACCGCTGCCGCACAGCTGCAACTGGGTGGCAGCCAGTGGGCCGTGCGACAAGCGCTTCGCCACCTCGGAGGAGCTGCTCAGCCACCTACGGACCCACACGGCCCTGCCGGGAGCCGAGAAACTTCTGGCCGCCTACCCCGGGGCCTCGGGCCTGGGCAGCGCCGCCGCCGCCGCCGCCGCCGCCGCCTCCTGCCATCTGCACCTCCCCCCGCCCGCCGCCCCCGGCAGCCCCGGGTCGCTGTCCTTGCGGAATCCACACACTTTGGGCCTAAGCCGGTACCACCCCTATGGCAAGAGCCACTTATCCACAGCGGGGGGCCTGGCCGTGCCGTCCCTCCCCACAGCCGGACCCTACTATTCGCCATACGCGCTGTATGGACAGAGACTAGCTTCAGCCTCGGCGCTGGGATACCAGTAACTACAGCTCTTCCTCCACCCCAGCCCCCTCACCCTCCTCCCTCTCCCTCCTCCTCCCTCCCCACCTGCCGTCGCCGCTGCAACCTCCACTACTGCTTGACCCTGCCGGGATTCCCCACCCAGCCCTTCCCCACCGGACTGTGTATTTATTTACTATAATGTTAGCTTACAAGCTGGGAATATAAGTGCATTAACGGCCCACATGAGTCAATGGTATGCAAAAAGTCTGTGTTCTCCCAAATAATAATATTAATCCCACAAATAACGACATGATCCCCGCCCCTGTTCCTTTCTGTTATTTTTTCTTAGATATAAGTTTTACATTTTTTATTCCTTTTCCTCTTTTTTTGGTTTTGATTGGTTTGGTTTGAGGGAGAGTTGGGGTCTTTGGGTTCTTCTAGACGTTTTGTTTTCCCTTCCTGGGGAGTTTCTTGCATGAGTCTTAACTTAAAACTACGTTTCCGCCTTCTCTTTTTCCCTCTTCCCCCTTCATTCCCTCTTGTTTCCTTCCATTTGCGGTTCTGTTTTTGTTTTTTGTTTTGTTTTGTTTTGTTTTTTCCTTTGTTGTACAAGTAACAGAGAGGAGGTTTTTTTTGTAACTCATTTTGGGGGTGGAGGGGGCCACCTGGGTGGCAGGGGCCCTGGAGCTCTATTGACCTGGTACACTGCTCCGGGACTCCTCCCCCGCCACCCTCCGCGCATAGGGTCCTTGGTCTGGACCCTGCCCCCCAAAAGTAGGGCCTTGCTCCTCTACCTTGCTCTGAGCACGGAGAGCCCTGACCCCACCAGTAGGCTCGCCCCCAGAAGGGCCCAAGTGGCCGTCTACCGTCACCTTCCAGACTCCCGCCCCTAACACCCAGTGGCTACAGTGCGCCTGTCGGGGCACCTGGAGCGCTCACCTGGTTGAATTCAAAGTCCCAGAAGGCCCCGCTGGCGTGAAGCCGGCCCCTTACATTTTGCGAAGTGCATTATAGTCCTTGTTTTTCTCTCCCTCGTGGGGGCAACGACCCCTCCCCTGGCAGTAGGGGTGGGGTAGGTGACTCTCGCTAGATCCCTCCAAAGCAGACCGGTGGCGATGTCAGCGGATGTCACGAGCTCGTTAGCTGCGTTCGGGGAAGGTTGGGGCGTCAGGGAGCTCTCGGATCACAGCAGCCCCCGCCCTCTCCTAGGCCTGGCCCGGCAGAGCCCCCAGAGTGGACCCCCCAGCGACTGGGGTCTTCTCCCCACTCCTCCCTCCTTCTGGTCTGATGCGGCAGCGCGGGGGCTGCGGGGCCTGTTTGGGACGAACAGAGCTCTCCCTTGGTAAGACTTATTTTGTTAATAAATGGAATACTTGGCTATATTCACACCGTGGTGTTTTTCTCTCTTGCCTCGCCCACCCTCTTCCAGACACCTAAGCAGATGCCCTTCTTTTATTCTTGTTTAAAATGCCTTATGGTTTCCTTCTGTGATTTCCGTTCAAGGACGAGTTTAATGCCTTTCCTCAAGAAATGGGGGAGAAAAAACAAAACTTCTGCCAACGCATTACAAATAACATAAAACCACCTTTTAATTTTTTTCCCCAGTTGGTTATGTAGCTCCCAGCCTCACTTCAAAGGCCTTGACATTTCCTGGGGCCAGGGTGGAGGGTGTGTGTAAAAGTGGATTTTCCTCTGGGCCCAGATGCGACGTGCTAAGGGGGCTAAGAAGGGACCCCAGGACCCCAGCACCAAGGGCTCCGGCAGAGACTCCAGCAGCGCAGTCCTGGAGCCCGGCGGCCTGGCGGGCAGAGACGAAACGCCTTTGGCGCCACCTGGTGGCAGGAAGACGAGCGACAGGCCTCGGAGAGAAGGCGCAGCCCGCACTAGCCCCGACGGCACCTTGGTTCTTCTCATCTTCTGAACGCGAAGGATTCCTACCTGCTGTTTTTGTGGGGCGTTTCCTCTCTCCTGACCAGAGGGTAAAGGCACCTGCTGAGAGGGTTGCTTCTCAAGGCTTGGGGGCTCCCCTCAGCCATCGCTGGGTTGTCGACCTGGGTCATCTGCGCCCCGGAAACTTCGAAACAGGGTTTGGGTTTTGCTGAGAAGATGCGACGATGACTCAAGACCTTGAAGCCATTCTCAGTCCGGAGGAGCCGGGCCCCTGGGCCTGGCTCGTCCATTTTCTTGAGCTCGCACGACTGACACTGGCCTCTGCATCCTCGGGCAAGAGAGGGCGGGTGCTGTTTACTGACGTGTTGGCCAGGGAGCCTGCCCCCTGTACCATAGACAGGCCCTGCGCGAGTGTCCAAGGCGGGAGGAGAGAAGGGACAGCTCTGGGAGGCCCAGCCACGTCCAGCCCAATGCAGACTCGCTGCCCTACCCCCAGCAGCGAGAGCGGGCTGCGCCCGCCAAGGCACGGCGGCTCAGACTTCGGCTGCCCGACGCCAGGACCCCGCTCCATCGGGCCGGGGGCGCTTGCTCCCTGCGCAAGGGCCTGGGCGCGCGGGGCCAATGGGACGCTCTGCAAAACCGCCTCCTGCGCCGCTTCCTGGCCGCGCTCCTCGTGGGATCTGTCGTTGGGGTTGTGCTGTTTGCTTTTTCTGTAAGGAATGCGACTTGGGAGTTCGTGCTCTGAAAGGTGCATGCTTTTGAAACGTCTGTGGCCCGAGGTCAAGTGCAGTGCGTAGGATGGGGCCGGTTTCTCTGCGCTGTTTTTGGTTGTCCACAAACTCGACGACAGACAGGGCGTGTGTGTGTGTGTGTGTGTGTGTGTGTGTGTGTGTGTTTGTGTGTGTGTGTGTGTGTGTGTGTGTGTGTGTGTGTGTGTGTGTGTTTTACCAAATCTTTGGATCTAGCAAAAGGAAAGGGATCCTGGGGTGCTCCTACCACTGGGCACTGGGAAACCCGAATTAGAGAAAGTGCCCTGAGACCAGATCAGGGTCTTCCTGGGAAACCAGCATTATCCAATTTCTCGGGGTTCAATCTGGCCCGAATCTTTAAACGAACTAAATGTAGCGACTCGTGGCTTTATTGTTTCTTTTTCTGTTGTTTTGTTCGTTGTTTATTATTTCTTTGCCATCTTCCCTTCCTCTGAAGGCCCCTCTTTCCTTCAGAGACCCACCCCCTCACTATGTTTTTTAATGCCTGCTAAAAATGATGGAAATTGCTCCCTCTGTAGGGCGACTTAAACTTTGCTTTCTTACACTTCAAGTCTTCAGACCTCCCTATCTACAAACCAAAGGGCTCCTCTTGTTGGGAGGAAGGAAGGAAGGGACGCACAACCAGCAAATTCCCTATACCAAAAGAAACTGTTCTAAAAGGTGTTTGGCTTATACCTTAGGTGTAAGAATGCAGTTAGAGAACTCCTTAGACTACAGAGTTTCCCCCATAAAATGTATTGGTGGCCTTTGGTGACTGGGAAGTTCACTGTTGGGCCTGGTGGGAATAGGCTGCCCCCAACTACCATTGTGGCCGCAAAGGGCAGGTCACATAGTCTGGAGTGTCCAGTTCTACTCTGAAAAGATGGCTCTCCCCACCTAAGAAATGTGACAGTTTTAATAAGCTGATGAAAAGTTTGTTACTTTCAATAGCTTAATTCCCATTAAACAAAGTTGCCATCTTAATGGAGGTGGTGCTCCCCTATCCAGTGCTTATTTGAATAATTAATGCCTCCAGCAACCCTTTCTTTGAGGGTCACCTCCACCTTCCATTTCTCCACCTCCTCTTCCCAGCCCTCCTCCGCCTCTTTCTCCTAATCTGTCCCAGGCGCCAGAAATGGGGCCGGTGTTCCCAAAGCACCAGGAAGGGTGGAAGCCACAGGGCTGGAACTTGAGACACTGGACGTTCCTGGCTCCAGGTCCTATTTTCACACCTCTTGCCTGGTTATTTTTGTGGCCTTGTGGCAGCCATGGGAGGAAGGGAGGAGGAGAAAGAGGGGAAAGACTCACCCTTGGATATAGGCTGGACTCAAACAAAATCATGTGGTGTTAAGTTTTTAACTTCCCAACTGTACACCCGCAAACCCATCTCCTAAGAAATTCATAGCCCAAGCGGGAGGTGTGGGGCCCTTCCCCATCTTTCTGCAGCCATAATTGCTCTGCCCTACCTAGCATACTGTGATTGTATCTCTGGGTATATGAACTAACTCCCTCCTGATGTATGTCTGGGTTACGGTGGAATTCATCTTACAATAATCCTGTGGCTCTACACTTTATTAATCATTCTGTAGGGGAAGCTGCACTCCAGTTTTCTGTTTGATTTGATTTCATTCATCCTGTCTTTTTGCAAAATAGATGGTTGAGTGCATCCGATAATGTATGGTTTAATTTGGAGCACTATGGGTTTGAATTACCATTTTCATAATGTGCTGTGCATTAATGTGTTACATCATTTACAAAGAGGAATGTGCCGGGTTTCAAACTTTCTCCTGAAAGCCAAAGTCACCTAAAGGAAACAAAGCCAAATCACATCAACCCATCTTCTTACCTCCCTGCCAGAGAGCCTCCTGCCTCCCCAACCCCAGTTAAATCTGCCAAAGCTCATAAAACCCAACATGAAGCCTTTGTATTCACATAATGCAGGTGGGTGTCGAGGTTTGGGGGAAACTTTGCACATGGCTGCCCGGGAGCCGTCAATGGCAGTACAAAGCTCCCCCTCATTATTGCATAACAACAGCTTTGCAGCCAACCCGGTTTTCATTTTTTTTTTTTCGGAGACCTCCAGTGGATGGCTCTTCGTCGACCCTAATCCCAGCACTCCCTCCCCAATGGCTGTAATAACACCAGCTGTCTGTTACTCAAACTCTGACTGAGGAGGAAAAAGCACTGATTATCCAAATACAGTCATTAAAGGGGAAATGTGTTTTTAGGACTGTCAGAGTGATTAATGAGGGCTAGCCGTCTTTGCAAATGCACTTGTTTAGTCTAACTGGCAGCTTCTATTTTCCTATTGATTTATTGCAGCCGTTGCCGGGCCTTGGTGTGTGCGAAGTCAGGGCACTTCACAACTGGGCCCTGTTTAAACAGGAAAAGCATGCACCATTTTATCCAGGAGGGAGGGAACAGCCTAAAGTCTCTCCCTTCAGTTCAGTCTCCAGTGGCCCGGACCAACAAAGAAGACATTAAAAACCTGCAGCCCGGAAAGGGAAGGAAACTGCCTCTCCTCGGTCGTCCCTGGTCACTCGGTTCCAAGGTCAGTGGAGACGCACCATGGCCCCTGGACAAAGCCCGCCCTATTGTGACTCTCAGCATGCCCACATTTTCTCCGACAGTCCCCCGAAACCAGCTGTCAGCCCCTGAGTCCAAGTTCAGGAAAGGCACCCAGCAGAGGGAGAGGCAGAAGAGGGAAATGCTGACACGAGGTAAGGGGAAAAACATAAGCAGAGCCACCCCTGGAGTCCAGGGTAGGGCAGGGGGTGTCATTGCGGTAAATTGATAGACCAACAGCTGGTTTCCACCTTTACAAAGAGAAGAAGGTGGAGTGACCTCTATTGCAGAGAGTGATACCGCCTTCTTTCCACTTGTACATTTCATGTTTTGACAAAAGAGTTAGCGAATGACCAAAATTGAGAAATGGCAGCTTGAAAATAGAGTCCCAACTATTTGAGGATTTCACTTCCAGGTGGCCATCATCGAAGCAAACAGACTTTGCAGAATTCCTATTAGGTGCCCAGCACAATGCTGGATACCGTGAGATGCAGAAGAAAACTCAGACAAACTTCCTGCCCCATTGAGCTGGGGGAGACAAGATGCGCCCGTGAGACAGGGAGCAAGATTGCATTATACATAACTGCGTTTCTGCTGATCTGAGAAAGTGCTAAATCATTCTGTGCAGACAGCGGAGAAGAGGATAGGATATAATAAGGCGCTAATTGTGCAGATCAGATGGTCGTGCCAGCCACAGGAGCTGGAGGAGGGAGAGCTCACTGGGGCTGATATAGGGGAACCTGGGGCTCCCCAATTCCTCCTAAGCCCATGCTCTTTTGAAGATGGGTGAGGTTCTCATTCTATAGTGATGAGAAGGCTGAGCCCCTGAGTCAGTAATTTCCATTTCTAGAGCAGATCAAGGAACAGGCTTAATTAAGGCTATATAAACACATCTGAATTTTCTTCTACCCACTCTCTCCCTAATCAGCTTATACCTCCCCCACAGCATTCCCAGCATGGAAATGGTTGGTAAGTCTTCCTAAATGAAAAATACCTTTCCAGGTTTTCCTGGGATGGTGGCATATCACCAGCATTATTAACACTTCCTAAAACAGAAAAAGCTGCTAGTAGATTTAGATTACATATGAACTGGGTTGCCTTTTTCTTAAGAGAAAATAATTTGAACCTGTTGGCTGAGAGAAAAGGAAGATACTATATATATATATATATATATATATATATATATATATATATATTTTTTTTTTTTTTTTTTTTTTTTTTTCCGAGACGGAGTCTTGATCTGCTGCCCAGGCTGTAGTGCAGTGGTGCAATTTCTGCTCACTGCAGTCTCTGCCTCCCAGGTTCAAGCAATTCTCCTGCCTCAGCCTCCTGAGTAGCTGGGATTACAGGTGCACACCACCACTCCTGGCTAATTTTTGTATTTTTAGTACAGACAAGGTTTCACCATGTTGGCCAGGCTGGTCTTGAACTCCTGACCTCATGATCTGCCCACCTCAGCCTCCCAAAGTGCTGGGATTATAGGCGTGAGCCAGCATGCCCAGCTGAAAGTGACCACGTTTTATGAACTTCAAAATGGAGACAAATCGTATACGTGTACTTTGATGAGCTTTAGGGCTCTCCTGGAAAGTCCAGAACATCCAGTCACTATGCATGTACTAGAAAGGGCATTGAAATGAGTCAGAGAACCTAGATTTTATTCTGGTTTCAAAACCTAATTGCCATGTGGCTTTGAAGAAGTCACTTAGTCTCTCTGAACCTATTTTCCCATTTCTGAAATCAAGTTGTTGGGCCCTATAATCTTTAAGGCCTTTCTAACTGGAAGAGTCTATGATCTTCTAAAATGTTGGAAGAGTGAAGCATTATGATGGTGAGAGTTGCTTAGGATGCTCTGTCTTTGGCCCTCATCAAATGCAACTCTAAATTTCCTATCAGAACAGCAAACAGGGAAGACCCAGGAAAAGAAGGCTCATGACTTCACCTCAGCAATGAGTGGGTAGGGAGGGTATATATACAGAGAGAGAGAGACATGGTCTCACTCTGTTGCCCAAGCTGGAGTGCAGTGGCTCAATCTCGGCTCACTGCAACCTCCACCCCTGGGGCTCAAGCAATCCTCCTGCCTCAGCCTCCCGAGTAGCTAGAGCTACAGGTGCATACCACCATGCCCAGCTAATTTTTTGTTGTTGTAATTTTTGTAGAGACAGTGTTTCGCCCTCTTGCCCAGGCTGATCTTGAACTCCTGGGCTCAAATGATCTGCCCACATCAGCCTCCCAAAGAGATGGGATTACAGGCATGAGCCACCGTGCCCAGCCGGAACACAGGAAGAATATTGCAGTGTGGATTTTTTCACCCAGAGAACTGACTCCAACAAAGTGAATTATTAAATTTGTATTTAATTTGATGCAATGCTGAGTATAGGGTGATGTAGGGATTTCAGAGACTACGTCGGGGTGCTTAAGTGGGTTAGGAATTATTTAAAATAATTTTGAGACTGCTGTGAGGTTAAATCAAGGTCTACAAAAAGAATCAGATTTTTCATAGCCTACAGCCAGTTGCTTTTGAAAAATGGGGCAGAAAGAAAGAGAGAGAGAAAGAAGGAAGGAAGAAGGAAGGGAGGGAGGGAGGAAGGGAGGGAGGAAGAGAAAGAAAGAGAAGGAAAGAAAGAAAGAAAGAAAGAGAAAGAAAAAGAAAGAAAGAAAGAAAGAAAGAAAGAAAGAAAGAAAGAAAGAAAGAAAGAAAGAAAGAAGGAAGGAAAGAAGGAAGGAAGGAGAGAGGAAGGAAGGAAGGAAGGAAGGAAGGAAAGAAGGAAGGAAGGAGAGAGAGAGAAAGGAAGGAATGAAGGAAGGAAGGAGAGAGAGAGAAAGGAAGGAACGAAGGAAAGAAGGAAGGAGAGAGAGAGGAAGGAGGGAAGGAAAGAAGGAAGGAAGGAAGGGAGGGAGGGAGGGAAAGTAGACAAAAATTATACCACAGTTTGGGGAACCTCTGCTCTGAATGGGCAGGGAGTATCTCCACAGCTCTTTGGAACACAAAATAAAATGACTCTTCTGGAGTTCCAATCAGAGCCAAATTATAGAATGAAAACAGCAATTTGGAGAATTCCCTTGCATGTCCTTATCCTGTTTGCTCTCCTGGGTGTGTGTATGTGCATGCATGGTGTGAGCTATAATGTGGGTTTGTAGTCAGTTCACACAGGAATCATTGTGGCTGTGCTCTTCCTGCTTCAAACATGGGCACCACCAAAAATACAGAAAGGATAGGTCAGGCCCACCCTAGGGCATCTCAGGAAGCATCATTTTGTGTGTACCATGGCACAGTTAAATATACGAATATATACTGGACATTTAATTCTTAAAACAAACCTTTAGTTTCTCTTTATATGAAAACTAAAATTTATAGAGGTCAAGTAAATTGCCCAAGACTGGGCGCAGTGGCTCATGCCTGTAATCCCAGCACTTTGGGAGACCAAGGCAGGCGGATCATCTGAGGTCAGGAGTTCGAGGCCAGCTTAGCCAATGTGGTGAAACCCTGTCTCTACTAAAAATATAAAATTACAATATAAAATTACAAAAAAATACAAAAATTAGCTGAGCATGGTGGCACACACCTGTAATCCCAGCTACTTAGGAGGCTGAGGCAGGAGAATCACTTGAACCAAGGAGGCAGAGGTTGCAGTGAGCCGCCACTGCACTCCAGCCTGGGTGACAGAGTGAGACTCTGTCTCAGAAAAAAAAAAAAAAATTGCCCAAGATCTCACAGTTAAAGAGCATGAAGCCAGGATTCTAATATGGTTCTGACTCTAAAACTCTTTACACTTAGCCAAGCAGCTTCAGACTTTGTATGTTGGCAGGCCTAGATGCTATGGATAAATGGAATAAGGGTGCCTGCTCCCTGGAAAGTTCTGGCTGTGCCTGTGTGTGTTGGGACCAGTTGACTATGTACAATTCAAATGAAATTGGTCCTGCCCCAAACAAGAGCTGAGATGCTGGTCAGTGCATTGGGTTTGAGCATTCAGTAAACATTTACAGACCACTACCTACTAAGTATTTTGGTCTGCTCTGGGAATTCAAAAGATGGAGGAGATACTGGCCTTGCCACAAGGAGTTTGCAGTCAAATGGGAGATTGGTGTATAAACTAAGATATCACATTATATCTTAGCCCACACTGGCCAGGCACATTGGCTCACACCTGTAATCCCAACACTTTGGGAGACTGAAGTGGATGGATCACTTGAGGCCAGGAGTTCGAGACCAGCCTGGACAACATGCCAAAACCCCATTTCTACAAAAAATACAAAAATTAGAGAGGCCTGGTGATGCTTGCCTGTGGTCCCAGCTACTCAGGAAGCTGAGGTGGGAGAATCACCTGAGCCCGGGGAGGTCAAGGCTGTAGTTTGCCACGATTGTGCCACTACACTCCAGCCTGGGCAACAGAGCAAGACCCTGTCTCCAAAAAAAAAAAAGAGAGAGAGAGATAATGTGCTGAGGACTCTATTAATGCCATTGCAGTAATCAAGAGTATAGGCTAGGTTATACGGTGGTAACAAATTAACACACAAATCTCAGTGGCTTAACACAACAAAGTCCTCTTTTTTTTTTCCACTTATACTGTGTATCCATTGTGAATTGACGGGGATCTCTATCAGTCAGTGTTCAACCAGAGAAGCAGAAGCAGTAATATATGGAGTCATTTATTTCAAGGCGTTCACTTACGCAATCATGGCTAGCTAAGTGAGTTGGAAGTCTGTAGGGCAGGCAGACAGGAAGGGAAGATCACAAGCCAGCATCACAAGACACCCTGCTGGCTTGAGCCATGTGGAGTCTCTGAGAACAAGGAAGGCCTAAGCCCCCTTTTAAAGGGCTTGCTTCATTAGGTCAGGCCCACCCTAGATCACTTCTCTTTTGATCAACTTAAAGTCAACTGATTAGGGACTTCAATCACATTTGCAAAATTCCTTCACAGAAGCACCTAGATTCTTGTTTGATTTAGTAACTGGGGACTGGAGTTCAATCTAACCAAACCGATGCATCAGAAAGCATCAACTGTGCCACATAATTAATCAGGGCCACATAATTAATCAGGCCCACTGACTGGCAGAGGAACACACACAGAGGAAGAGCCGGAGCATCTCACACAAACAATCACATGTTGCAGGCCAAAAATGAATATGTCACCTCTGCTCACAATCTTCTGGCCAGCACTGGTCCCATGGCCCCTCCTAACTGCAAGGGTGGCACATTGCTTCTCCCTGGTGCCAGAGGAGAAGGAGGCCTGGAGGTGAGTCCACCCCAGCTGTTGTCTCGGCAGCTTCGATACTGCCCTGTCTGTGGTCATTTTACTCTCCTCCACTCTGCTTCCCAGACCTTACCAAACAGAAGCCCTTCCAAACCCACTGAGCCCTATCTACCTGGAGAAAGCTTAAAAGCTTACATCTGAAATTGTAGGAAACACAGGTGCATCTGGGGATGGACTGCTCTAGCCAGACTAGGCTGTCTCCACTAAGGTTAGGACAGAAGGCTCAGGCCTATGAGACCCTGAAGTTCATAGAAATTTGTGACCTTCTGCATACTTTGTAGTACTGAGACCTCCACCTGGTGGCTTGCAGAGGATCACCTATTTGAGCATGGAGGCAGCATATTGGCAAGCCCTCCTAACGAGAAGGATAGGCATCTTTGGTGTATTGGACTCTAACAATGCTTGCATCTGTGAAACTTACAAAAAGCAGAGGATTGATACAAAGTGATAATGATCCATGGTCACTGACAAACAAGAGCTGTCAATAGAATGCTGCTGTAAGTTCAAATGAAGAAGTCTGAGCATCGCAGACCAGATATGAGCCTTTTTCTTTCTCTAACATTTATTGAGCTCTTGCTGTGTGCCAGGCACTGTGCTGAGCACTTTGCATAGAAGCTTTCCTTGAATCCTGGCAGCAATTCTCTGCAGCAAGTCTATTGTTGGATGTATCTTGCCTAAGGCCACAAAACCAGTAAGCAGTAGAGGCAAGATTCCTACCAAGGCTATCTGGTTATAAAAACCTGTCTACCTGTGGCCAGGGCCACCCTTCACATACTATTGTGCAGGCAATGCCCCACAGGACAGCATCTGGCCAAGGGAACAACTGGGAGCTCCACAGACACCAGACCTGGGACTGCATCAGCTTGGAAGGGGGCCTTCTTCTAAATCTTCCAAAGGTGCCACGTGGCTGGGGGTAGGATAGGGGGAGCCCTGCTAACCTCTGGCCCTCTCTTCTAAAGACCATAGATCAGAAAGGAGCCCTTCAATCCCCTGATCACCTCCTGATGGTCACAGTTGAGCCTTACAGTGTGTGGAATGCTAATTGTCAATCAAAAGCAGTTCTGAAGAACCTATTATGTGTGCTAAATGCTATTGGAGGATGGAAGATGCACAGGACATGCCCCAGACATCAAACTGTTTACAATCAATAGGGAAACCCATACAAGCACATACTAGTTATGCAAAGTAAAGTACGATCACAAGTGAAGGGGACCCACATAAAGTACAAGGTATTTAGAGCATCCTCGGAGCTGGAAGGGATCATCATTCACTCAGCCCCAGAGGAGAAAGGAGAGGTCTTCGAGGCCAGTGGGGCAGCCAGAGCCAGGCCCAAGGCGGGACAGCGCAAGCTGTGTTGCGGGACACCTCTCCCACTCACACAAACCAGCTTCTGTGTGCGGAGAGCACAAAGGTACACTAAGTATAACTTAAGGAATTCAGGTCTTCAGGGCCACACGCAGAGGTGCAGCCACCCAGCAACCTGGCCAAAGAAGGGGCAACAGCCTCACTGCAGAGAAGGGGCACAATTCAAAGCCTGCCACAGAGAAAGGTAAGGCTCTCTGCACAGGTAGCATGGGGCCTGCAATTGAAACCTGTGTCACGCTCGCCGGGGCTGACTCCCCTAGTCCCAGCCACTCACTGTGGGCTCCCCTGTCCCCAGGGCCCACCCTCCTGGCTCTGTGACTGCTTCAGGGCACACAGCACAGAGAGGAGGTCTCAGGAGGCTCGTGATGGTCACACTGACAGGTAGGGCTTTCACTCCCATCCCCTCTTGATACTCACCTGCCGCCCCCGACCCCTCTCCCTTCTTTGAAAGTATTGGAGAAGAAAATGATCTTAGACAGAATCCTTCTTGGCAACCCTTGCCCCTCACCATAATCTTCCCCTTCCTGCCCCTTCCCCAGTGCCATTCTTCCCCCAACACACACACACACACACACACACACACACACACGTTCCCTCTCACTCTCACCTCCTTTCCCTCCCCCACCCCTTCCCCTCCATTTGTTTCAATGAACAGCCCCTTTTATCTATTCTGTAGGTACAAATGAAGCTGTCAAATTTGATCAGGCGCTTGATATGACAGGCTGTGGGAGTCAGGACCCCTTGAACAGAGTGGGCCTTGTCTGTCACAGTCCGCCTGACACTTCCCATAATGCCCAGACTGATGAGATTCTGAGTAGGGCCCAGCACATTTTCAACTCTATTTTGGGTGAAAACCCTTCTTGAAAGATCTTGAAAGGAGCTGGCAGTTCAGCCGCCCGGATGATTAATGAGGGTTGGCTCTGCAGGATGGATTTCTCCTGGTGCCAACAGCCGGCCTCCAAACAGGCTAGAACGTGTTGCCGTGGACTTCCCCAGCACTTCCCCTCATGGTGACACCCCCCAAAAAACCTTTCCCATTCCCCAGGCCGCCCCTCACCTCCACCACAGTCCCTCTGGCTGTGCATCTCCCGCGGCCCTCTCTCGTGTTTCTGAAGCGGGAGCAGCCTTTGCATATGGAAAAAGTTAGGCATCACGGCTGAGTGAGGCCTGGCTGAGTGAGCCAGGCCTGCCAGAAATCTGTACAGAGTGGCGGGGCGCTGAGGGAGGGTGGAGAAGAAACAGAAGGGGATGGTGACCCAGGCTCTCCTTCAGCTTACGTCCCATGCCCTGATGGTCAGGGACGGGCCTCTCTGCTTTCTCTCCATGCAACTCAGGAGCTCTAGGGACAGAAACCATGGAGTGTCTAAGGCCCCAAAGGGATCCAGCATCAAAGTCCCTGCTTTTCACTTACCCCACAGTATTTATTAAAGGAGACACTCTTGATATTTGGGCAAGACACTTCTTTACTGAGCAGGACCCTTCTGTGCAAGGTAGAAGGTTTAGCATCCTTAGTCTCAAGATACCAATTGCTTGTAATGCCTCTCAACCATGAGGACCATCAGAATAATCCAGATGCCCTTGGCGGTGGTATCAGCCTGGGTTGAGAGCCACTATTAGGGTGAAGAGCCTCCCTCGTCCCCACATGCCTTGAGAGCTACGCCCACTTCGGTGTCTCCTTCCACTCTCATTTACACCCCTCAAGCCCACTCAGCAGGGAGAGCACTTTGAAGAGGGGTAAGGAGATGAGGGTGTTCTCCCATGCACCTTTTTTTTTTTTTTTTTTGTGAGACAGAGTCTAGCTCTGTCACCCAGGCTGGAGTGCAGTGGCCCAATCTCGGCTCACTGCAGCCTCTGCCTCCCAGGTTCAGGCAACTCTCCTGCCTCAGCCTCCCAAGTAGCTGGGATTATGGGATTACAGGCATGCGCCACCATGCCTGGCTAATTTTTGTATTTTTAGTAGAGACGGGATTTCACCATGTTGGCCAGGCTGGTCTTGAACTCAAGTGATCCACCTACCTCAGCCTCCCAAAGTGCTGGGATTACAGGTGTGAGCCACCACGCCCAACTCTCCCATGCACTCTTAATGCTAACTTTCCTTCTGTGCTGGTGCCTTAAACCACCCCTGCTCTAGACTCTGTTCCCCCACCTCCTTCTGTTTCCCTGTCTTCCCAGCAGACAGCAGCTCATTCATACTTGGGGAAAAGAATGGTGCCCACAGCTTCTTTGGGGTTTCAAGCTCAGAATCCTTTGGGAACAGGTGGGTGGAGGGCAAGTGGGGTTCAGAACTTGCTGTTTCTTTTTGGAACATTCATAGATTTCTTTTTCAAGCCCAGGGTACCTCTGTCAGAGGAGAAGTTGGGTCCCTGTTACAGGGTTGTCACCATCATGGGCAGGCCATGAGGGAGGCTTCGCAAGAGCCTATGCTCCTCACTCCCCATTTTCTTCTCTCCCTCTCCCTTATGGAAAGGGAGAGAAAGAAAGAAAAAAGAAAGATGACCAGGTGCAGTGGTTCACACACATAATCCCAGTACTTTGGGAGGCCAAGGAGGGAGGATTACTTGAGGCCAGGAGTTTGAGGCCAGCCTGGACAGTATAGCAAGACCCCATCTCTAAAAAAAAATTTTTTTTTTTTTTTGTTATCTCAGTGTGGTGTCATGCACCTGTAGTCTCAGCTACTCCAGAGGCTTATGCAAGAGGATCACTTGAGCCCAGGACATCAAGGCTGCAGCGAGCTGTGATTGCACCACTATACTCCAGCCTGGGTGACAGAGCAAGACCCTGTCTCAATTTTTTAAAAAGGAAAGAAGGAAAGAAGGAAGGAAGAAGAGAGAGAGGGAGATGTAGAAAAAGGGAGAAATTCTATAGTTTCCCCGCCCTAAGCTACTGGATAGATGCTCTGAGATCATCCAGCCCACAGATGGACCCGAGACCATCCATTCATTCGTTCAGTACCATTTACTGAGCATCTACTACATGCCAGGCACTGGGCTAGATTTTGGGGCTATAATAGTGAGAGAAAAGACATGCAGCTCCTGCCTTCATGGAGCTTACAGACTAATAAGGAGACAAAACTAAACAAATCAATATACAATTATAAGTTGTAGTAGTGACAAAGAAAAAGTACAAAGTGTTGTGTAGTGCACACAGAAAGGTTACAACAACGGACCCCTCCTGACTAAGGTCAGGAAGAGTCTCTTTAGGAATGCACCATTGAAGCTGAGGCCTGATGGCTGAGTGGGGTTAACCAGGTACAGAGAGAAGAGTGTGTCAAGCTGGGGAAAGCCGCACATGAATCCCAGGCAGATTCCCCTGTCATGAAGGTGATTTCCCTTTTAGCTGTGCCTTCATGGAAGGACAAAATTCAGTAACTCAGCAAAGCCCAGGAGGAACCGGAAGAGGGAAGAGCTAGGAATGGGAAAGGAAGCCAAGGGTGGTCCAGGTTGCCAGGTGCGATGGCTCACACCTATAATCCCAACACTTTGGGAGACCGAGGTGGGCTGATCACTTGAGGTCAGGAGTTCAAGACCAGCCTAGACAACATGGTAAAACCCCATCTCTATTAAAAATACAAAAATTAGCCAGGCGTGGTGGGGCACACCTATAGTTCCAGCAACTCAGGAGCCTGAGGTGAAAGAATCGCTTGAACCCTGGAGGCGGAGGTTGCAGTGAGCCTAGATCATGCCACTGAAGTCCAGCCTGGGTGATAGAGTGAGACTTCATCTCAAAAAAAAAAAAAAAAAAAAAGGGTGGTCAAGGCATGGCATCTGAGCACCAAGGCAAGGGAGCAGGGGAACGGAGACTGAGCCTATGCAGGATGGGATCTCTCAGCAAGTTGCAAGGCAGCCCCAGGAAACAGCCTGAACTTCTCCAACTCCTACAGCTGTGGCATGGACAGTTGCTCATGCAGGCAAAAATTCAAATAATCATCACACAAATCAGTTTATAAGTACAAGGTTCTTGCAGGGAGTGTGAAGCTGGAGAGCAACTCAAGCCTTCTCTCTTCCAGAAAGATCAGTGTTTAATGAAATATACAAGAGCGTGTTTCTTACTTTTGGAGGTACATAGGCCTTCACTGGCTCCGCATTGTCTAATAGGGCCAAATTTTTCACCTAGCATTTGAGTCCCCCGCAGATGTCCCCAACGTATCTTTCCACTGCCCCTACCAGAACCAATGACAGGAGCCAAACGCAACCACTCACTGTTTCCTGGACGCTGAGCTCTAGCAGTGAGTTGCTCCTTCTTCCTCAGCATCTGCTCCCCTTCTCACACAGTCACGGCTCTCATTTTTACCCTGAGCAATCGCGGTTTCCCCTTGCTTTGTATATCCTGAACTCTTTATCTCCCTGACAGTTCTTCTCTTTGGGAGTGCCTCTCCTCTCCCTCCACTGGACCACATGTTTCTTAAAGGCAAGAAAGGCATTTTATTCCTCTGTGTGTCCTCTGTGCCTGAGACAGTGCCAGTCATGCAATGGGGCATCAACAAATGCTTGCAGTGTTCCATTCATTGAAAACCACTAAAGGGCTAAAACATGTGTCAATGCCTTTGAACTGAAGTCATCAGGTGGGTGAGGGAAGAGACCTGGGAGTGAAACTCAAAGAAGAAACAATAGAAGCCGTAATCAGAGGCCGGGCATGGTAGCTCACACCTGTAATCCCAGCACTTTGGGAGGCTGAGGTGGGCGGATCACCTGAGGTCAGGAGGTCAAGACCAACCTGACCAACATGGTGAAACCCCATCTCTACTAAAAATACAAAAATTAGCCGGGCCTGGTGGTGGGCACCTATAATCCCAGCTACTCCGGAGGCTGAGGCAGAATTGCTTGAGCCCAGGAGGCGGAGGTTGCAGTGAGCCAAGAATGCACCTCTGCACTCCTGCCTGGGCGACAAGAGCGTCTTGCGGGAGTCTTCCTATAGAAAGAAAAGAAAGAAAAGAAGGAAAAGAAGGAAGGGAGGAAGGGAGAGAGAGAGAGAAAGAGAAAGAAAGAAAGAAAGAAAGAAAGAAAGAAAGAAAGAAAGAAAGAAAGGAAGGAAGGAAGGAAGGAAGGAAGGAAGGAAGGAAGGAAGGAAGGAAGGAAGGAAGGAAAGAAAGATAGAAAGAAAGAAAGAGAAAGAAAGATGGAAGTAACGGTGATCAGGAAGGAGAGGAAGAGGGCACGCCACCTACCGAGGGCCCAGGGCCTGGCTGTTGCAGAAGACTTTCTTCTCCAGTCAGCCTCCCCTGTCCAGAACAGGAAGGAAGGTCTTGGGGAAAGAAGACTCACACTAAGGACTCTGGGCATGGCTACAAACCCTAGAGGTAGGCAGAGAGGACCCCCTGGGGACAGGGTGGTCAGTGACCTCCATCTCTACCAACTCCCCATGGCAGCTGAAATGATGCCCTCAAGTCAATCCTTGGAGTTAAGGAATGAAATCCTGCAAAAACACCATAATCCATGCCCAGGAAAGGGATGGGGGGAGAAGACAGCCCTGTTAATACATCAGTGTCACCCCAACATGTTTGGGAATAGCCAGTATCTAGAAAAACAGAGGCAGCGTCTGAAGGGAATGAGACAGGAGACCATTGAAGGGGAGAAGGAGCCAGGTCAGGCAGGCTCTGAAATAAGAACATTTTCCCAGGAAGGGCAGCTTCAGGATTGGCACCCTGGAAAGGCCTGGCAGCCAGGCAATGCACAGTGAGAGTCCAGGGCTCGAGCGCTTCCCAGCCACAATATGGGTTTCTGTGGCAGAAGCTTATCTCCCCCGCAAAGGCAACCACCATGAGGGCACAGGCTTTGCCTGTGCATTTACTGCTGTAGCCTCCATGCCCAGTCTGTGCCTGGCAGGTAATGGGCTCTCAATAGATATTTCTTGAATGCATGAATGAATGAATAAAGCAAGGTCTAGAGAATGGACCCCAAAAAGAAACTGGTCCTTCCTCTCGATTCTGCAGACAGATCCAGAAGACCTGCCCGAAGTCAGGCCCGAGTTGCTGGTAGCAATACCTGAAACGAGTCAAGTGGCCCTTCTTGCAGAGAGAGGTCCACACCTGAGCAGCTGGGGAAGGACTGCACTTTACAAACTTACCCCAGCAGCTCTTGGAACAGGACCGGGCTCCCTGCTGTCTTTTAGGATTTCTTCAGGGAGAAAAAGAATTTTCCTGGCCATCGGGCCAGAATATAAAAACAAGGCTACATAAAACAGGCCTAAGAGGGAAAGAGCAGGCCAAAAACAATACGCTTCTCTCTCCCCTTGTTTTTACAGGACCTCAACTTCTTTTCCCAGTGAGGGGGAGGAGGAGGAGGAGAGGGGAGAAAGCCCAGTGACCCTGTGCCTCCTCGCCAGGACAGAGGCCTTTGCAGGCAGGGAGTCAAAGAAAACTTTTCCAAGACTGATTACCAAGAGGGTAACTAGGTACACAGAGCACATGTGAACAGGCTCCTCGTTTCCAATTCAGGACTGTCAGATGGTGATTAATGACTAACAGCCACAGAACAGCCTTGATTGCCAACTGCTGTATTGTTAATCCTGACATTTAATGAGGCCGGACACAACTCCAGCACAATTCCACACCATCATCTGCAAATAGCACTCGACGGACTTAATTGGTTAAGTATTTGTGTGTGGGGGGCGGGGGGGTGGGGAGAAAGAGAGAGAGAATAGAGAGATATAAAGAGCAAAAGAAAGGGGCGAGGTCTCTGTAATTGTGCCCTTTGTGGGCATCTATATTTTAATGCATGTAACTGTGTTATCGCATGAGTCATCTGCGATATAACCTTGGTCCCCAACAGAAACATCCCTAATAGGGTGAAACCTCCCACCACCACCCTCCCCACCCCACTCCATCTGACCCCTACGGCGGTGTCCTTCCCACCACCATCACTGCTGCTGTCTGAGGGGCAGCTGGAAACTGGCATGTTTGTGAAGTTAAAATACATGAAAGGAAGTTGAAAGAAGAAGTTGTCTCGAAGTGGGCCAGCATCCAGGGCTCCTGAGAAGCCACTTTTTCACTGGACTCTGATCAATGGGGCCTTGGCCCGCCTGACTGGGTGGTTCCTCCTCTGCCAAGAGAGAAGTATGTTTCCCCCATTCCGGAACTCAACGCTTTCTTAGGAGATGAACAGAATTCACCTTATTGTTCTAAAAACAGAGTCCCAGGCAACAGGGACAGAGAGACTGGCCCAGCAGGGGCTCTCTGGGCCAACTGAGCAAGGTGACAGGGCCCAGGAAAGGAGCTGTTGCCTGCACAAGGGCAGATGGAGTCAAGGAATCAGTGTTCATGGGATCCTGGCTGTCCCCACAGTGTCGTGGCTGAACCTTACAAGAACAGAAGCAAGTGAAGCACAGGTAGCCAGCCACCTCAAGGGGGAAGTATTGATAACGAAGGGACTCAAAGCAGCATAGACATGGGATGCTGAGGGGCCAAGTGAGCAGAGCAGAGAGTGAGTGCTGCAAGTCCTCGGAGGGGTCAACCGGGACCCAAGCATCCAGAAAAGGCAGGGACCATGCAAAGGGGTCCGAAAAATGGGACCTTCAGTGGAAAGCACTGAGAAGACCATTATTCAGGTGAGGTTTGGGATAAATTCATTCCCACGAACTCCCCTTTGAAAGGCTCGTTCCTCTAAGCATGGATTTCAAACCAGTAGTGTCACCATCACCTGGAAGCCCTTTATTTTATTTTATTATATGTTTTGAGACAGAGTTTTGCTCTTGTCGCCCAGGCTAGAGTGCAATGGCACAATGTCAGCTCACTGCAACCTCTGCCTGTCGGGTTCAAGTGATCATCCTGCCTAGCCTCTCGAGTAGCTGGGATTACAGACATGCACCACCACCCCCAGCTAATTTTTTTTGTATTTTAGTAGAGACAGGGTTTCACCATGTTGCCCAGGCTAGTCTGGAACTCCTGACCTCAGGTGATCCGCCTGCCTTGGCCTCCCAAAGCGCTGGGATTACAGGCGTGAGCCACTGTGCCCAGCCTGGAAGCCCTTTAGAAATACAGACTCAGTAGAACTGTGGTCACTAGAGGGGTGGGGAGGGCAGGGGTTGGGGAGGGAGAGGTTGGCTAACAGATACAAAGTTACAGCTACATAGGAACTAGCAGGAATAAATCCTAGTGTTCTATAGCAGTGTATGGTGATGACCATTAACAAGAATGTATTGTATATTTTCAAATAGCTACAAGAGAGGATTTGGAATGTTCCCAACACAAAGACATGATAAATGTTTGAGGTGATGGATATGCAGATTACCCTGATTTGATCATGACACATTGTATGCAGGTATCAAAATATCACATGGGCCCCATAAACATGTACAATTATTAGGTTGTCAATTTAAAAATACAACTTTTTTTTTTTGAGACAGAGTCTCGCTTTGTCACCCAGGCTAGAATGCAGTGGCCCAGGCTCATTGCAGCCTCCACTTCCTGGGTTCAAGCAATTCTTGTGCTTCAGCCTCCCAGGTAGCTGGGACTACAGGCGTGCACCACCGCACCCAGCTAATTTTTGTATTTCTCATAGAGACAGGGTTTCACCACGTTGGCCAGGTGGTCTCAAACTCCTGGCTTCAAGTGATCTGCCCACCTCAGCCTCCCAAATTTCTGGGATTACAGGCGTGAGCCACAGCACCCAGCCAAAAAATAAAACTTGTTAAAAGGGAATGTAGACTCACAGGCCCCATCCCGATCCATGACTCTAAATCTGCATTTTGACAAAATCCCCTGAGTAAAGTTCAAGTATGAGGAGTGCTGCTCTAAATGCCATGGTCAAGAAGCCGCACACAAAAGCCAGGCCTGACCCAATTACCTAGTGTCTGGTAGTCCCAACATGTGTCCACTTTGCTACTACAAGAAACACAGCCAGGTGTGATGGTTCACGCCTGTAATCCCAGTGCTTTGGGAGGCCTGAGGTGGAAGGATTGCTTGAGGCCAGGAGATCAAGGCCAGTGTAGACAACATCCCAAGACCCGATCGCTATTAAAAAAAAAAAAATTGCCAGGTGCAGTGACGCATGCCTGAAGTCCCAGCTACTCCAGAGCCTGAGGTGGGTTGATCGCTTGAGCCCAGGAGGTTGAGGCTGCAGTGAGCTGTGATTGTACCACTGCACTCCAGCCTGGGAGACAGAGTGAGACCCTGTCTCAAAAAAAAGAATAGAGTATGTTTTTTATATGTATATATAAAAAACACTGTATATATAATATCCTGCTTTTTTTGCTAACCATTATGTTTTAAGCTTTTTTTTCCATACAGCCTCAGCATTTTGATGACTGCATGATATTCTTAGGCTATTTCTAATTTTTCTCTATTTTAAATATATATTATGATTTTTTTAAAAAATCATTTTTTATAAAATGATTTATAAAATCATTTTTTATAAAATGATTTATAAAATCATTTTTTATAAAAATCATTGTGGCTGGGTGCGGTGGCTCACACCTGTAATCCCCAACACTTTGGGAGGCTGAGGCGGAAGGATCACCTGAGGTCGGGAGTTCGAGACCAGCCTGACCAACATGGAGAAACTCCATCTCTACTAAAAATACAAAAAATAGCCGGGTGTGGTGGCTCATGCCTATAATCCCAGCTATTCGGGAGGCTGAGGCAAGAGAATCCCTTGAACCCGGGAGGTGGAGTTTGCGGTGAACAGAGATCATGCCATTGCATTCCAGCCTGGGCAACAAGAGCGAAACTCCATTTAAAAAAAAAAAGGATATATATATATATATATATATATATATAATATATATATAGTGTAGAGCCCAGGCGCGGTGGCTCACGCCTGTAATCCCAGCACTTTGGGAGGGCGAGGCGGGAGAATTGCTGAAGGTCAGGAGTTCAACACCAGCCTGGCCAACATGGTGAAACCTCGACTCTACTAAAAGTAGAAAAATTAGCCTGGTGTGGTGGCAAGCACCTGTAATCCCAGCTACTCAGGAGGCTGAGGCAGGAGAATAGCTTAAACCCAGGAGGCAGAGGTTACAGTGAGCCGAGATTGCACCACTGCACTCCAGCCTGGGTGACGGAGCGAGACTCCATCTCAAAAAAAAAGAAAAAAAAAATTGTGTATGAGTTTGCTAATTAGTTGGATTTAGAGGTCCTATCTCTAAAAAACTAAAATAAAATAATAAATGCTCCTGGGTCTCCTTTCCTCCCAGGAGACCAGGGTTCCCCATGCCTTCGCTGCCTCAATTCCCTGCATGGCCCCGAACCAGGGCTGGGACGCCTTGGGGCATGGGGCTTGGCAGGACAGCAGGACATTATTGGGCCTGAGCACTTGGGCATGGGCCTGGCCGCAGCTGAAAGGTCCTGGGTGGCTCTGCAACGCTTCGCCGCCCGTGCGCTGGAGGGCTCGGGTCACAGGAAGGGGCGAACACCTTGCTCCTGGGGTGTCCCATGTGCAGGTCTTTGTTCCCAGCCAGTGGTTGGAACGTCAGCACCCCATGCTGAGGAATTCCGTTCGTGACTGAGGCCTCATGTAAAGACCGCTGGCCGCCTTCATTCCAGCAGGCATTCCTTGCCCGCTTGATTCCCCCGCTCCAGACACCCTAACTGTGGGAGGGGCAGCCTCAGAAAGTGATAATTAAAAGCTAATGTTTCCCCTGGTGACTCTGGGCCTCGGGATGTCCCTACAGTGACCCCACCTCCCAAATCCTCATACTGAACCATCACCTCGTCCCCACCTGGGCTCCCCTGGGCTTCATTAAATGCTCCTGTGGCCTTAATCCAATCGCCCTCCCCATTCTGAAAGTGTAGGAAAGAATGTGGAAAAGAACCAAGGGCCCCGGGTTCGCATTCCAGCTCCTCTGCTTCTGTGTGACCATGACAATGCACTTCCCATATCCATGCCTTGGTTTCCTCCATATAGAATCAAGGGATTGGATAAAATGGATGATCTCTGAGGTCCTTAGCAGCCGTGACTCTCTGTGACTTTATTTCAGAGAATTATCACTGGGTCTAAATGAAATGAGATCATGGATGTTATAAAACATTGAAAACGTTTAAAACTACACACATATATGACACACATAGGAATAAGGAGTCTCCTTTTCTTTTTTAGTTTTATTTATTTTTTTGAGACAGAATCGTGCTCTGTCACCCAGGCTGGAGTGCAGTGGTGCAATCACCGCTCACTGCAGCCTCAACCTCCTGGGCTCAAGAGATCCTCCCACTTCAGCCTCCCAAGTAGCTGAGACTACAGGCATGTGCTACCACACCTGGCTAACTTTTTGGATTTTTTTGTAGAAACTGGGTTTTCCCATGTTGCCCAGGCTGGTCTCAAACTCCTGGCCTCAAGCAGTCCTCCTGCCTTGGCCTCCCAAAGTGCTGGGATGACAGGCATGAGCCACCGCACCTGGCCAAGAATCTTCTTTTCTCTAATCCCCCAGCAATATGTGTCCTTCTAGTGTTGTTTTGTTTCATGGTCTGTTTTCCCTGCCAGATTGGGAGCAACATGAGGGCAAATGGAGGTGTTTTTTTTTTTTTTTTTTTGAGATGGCATCTCGCTGTCACCCAGGCTAAAGATCTTGGTTCTCTGCAACCTCCGCCTCCCGGGTTCAAGTGATTCTCCTGCCTCAGCCTCTTGAGTAGCTGGGATTACAGGTGTGCACCACCATGCCCGGTTAATTTTTGTATTTTTAGTAGAGACAGGGTTCCACGATGTTGGCCAGGCTGGTCTCAAACTCCTGACCTCAGGTGATCTGCCTGCCTTGGCCTCCCAAAGTCCTGGGATTATAGGCATGAGCCACTGTGCCCAGCCTCTATTTTTTAAATCCCCTCTCAATAACTAACACCCACAAAGCTGCTCAGTAATGTTGACTTGGGGACAGACTGATAACCCCCCTGGCTGCTCATTCATTTAAATGGACTTGTAAGAAGCTTAACAGAAAAGTAGTTACCTTTGCTTCTTAGGAGGGGAAGGGGAAGAACCTCTTTTAAATATATCTTACTTCTTTCAAGGAAAAAAAGTAGTTTGGCCCCTCAAAATTAGTTGGATTTGGAAATTCATATGAAATTTTTAATACTGCCTTGCAAATAAACACATATCAACATGCCCAAGACTTAATTCCATTCCCCAGGCTCTTCTTAAGTATACTGTGTGCTGAATACCAAGCCTCCACTCAATAGTAAGAGAACACAGAAGAGATACTATAAAGTACTAAAATTTTTAAAGCAAACTTAGCAGGACTTAGATATCAAAATAAATATTGTCCCATTCAAAATGTCCCTTTGGAAGGATATACACTCATTCTTATATGTTGCCTTGCTCAAAACTCTTTGGAATGTTTTGAAAGCTATCTTTAAACCATCAGACTTTTAATTGACAATTACAAATCTTTATGTGGTGATTAGCAGGGGAAATGTCTCTCCTGAAGCCAGCCCTGGTGAATAAGCTGGATGATCAGGCTTATTCGGTCAGGTCAAAAATCTAAATAATGTGTGTCTTATAATGAAGTTCTTAATAAGCACATGAGAATCGTATGTAGCCTTCCAACATGAATACGCTGAAGGTCTTCTTTCTCTGAGTTGCACAGGTTCAGCTGCGTCTGTAAAAATCAGTCTCTTGACAGATCTTCTTCTACCCTGGTCCCACTCTCCACCTCCCAACCCCCATCATCTATTCTCAACACTATAGCCAAAAGATCTTTTAGAAACAGAAGTTGCTCATTGGTTTGAAAGCCCATGAGAGCTCCCATCTCATTTGGAGGAGTGGCCAAAGTCCACAGGGTGGCTTCTAAGACCTAGCTCCCTGCACCCTCTCCAATCTCCTCCCACCCCACCGTCTTCTTCAGCAGCTTTGGCTTCAGCCACATGGCCTCCCTGCCATTCCTCAAACACACTAGGATGCTCCTGTCTGGGGCCATTCTCTAGCTGTCCTCCGTTTGGAAACTTCTCTTCCAGAAATCTTCTTGGCCAGCCCCATCATTTCCTTTATGTTTTTGGTAAATTATCACCTTCTCAACGAGACATACTCTGACTTTCTATTTAATACCTCTATTAATAGTGCCTTCTTTTTCATAATGTCTTCTGCTTAATACCTTCTATTTAATAACACACAGACACGCATGGACACACTCACTCCTTAGCCCCAGGACCCTGGCCTTCTTTTCATTTCTTCCCTGGTGCTTATCACCTTCTACCATAATATCTAATTTATCTAATATTATTTATAGTATATCTTTTTGTCTGTACGCTCCTGTGAGAACTAAGCTCAGGAAGGCCAGTATCTTTGTCTGTTTAATCGAATCTCAAAAGCCTAGAACAGGCACATAGCTGGTACTCAATAAAAACATGTTGAATTGAATTGGATTGGATTGCATTGAATCGAATTGGCTTGAATTGCATTGCATTGTGTTGAATGTCCCAACTTATATAAAGTATGCTCCCTGCCTTCCAGTTGCTTGTATATCTGATTGAGAGAACTAGTGACATACACATGAAAGTGACTGAGCAGTACACAGCAGTCCAGGACTAAGTGGAACCTGCAGTGATGCTGCAGGAATCCTGGACGGATGAGTGCCGGCTGGAGGAGGAGAAAGAACCTGAGCTGAGCCTCCCATCTAGTCAAGCAAACCCTCTCCTTGTCCCCAGCATAGGTCCTGTTGTTCTGCTCACACTGGCCCTCTGCCTGAAGTCCCCCACCTTTCCTGCCCACTTACCTAAATGCTATCCACCCAAGTCCCCTTCCTCCTCACCACTTTCCCTGATTACTCCAGCCCTCCTCTGAGCCCCTGTAGCTCCTATATTTTGTTTCAGATCATTTAGCCTTTACATAGAACTGTTCTGTGTGTGTGCATGTCATTTCCCCAGCTAAGAACTACATCTTTTACTTCTCTCTTCTAAATAGGGCCAAGGGCTGGGCACAGTGGCTCATGCCTATAATCCCTGCACTTTGGGAGGCTGAGGTGGGCAGATCACCTGAGGTCAGGAGTTCGAGACCAGTCTGGCCGACATGGTGAAACCCCATCTCTACTAAAAATACAAAAAAATTAACCAGGTGTGGTGGTGTATGCCTGTAGTCCCAGCTACTCAGGAGGCAGAGGCAGGGGAATCACTTGAACCTGGGAGACAGAGGTTGCAGTGAGCTGAGATCGCACCACTGCAATCCAGCCTGGGTGACAGAACAAGACTCCATCTCAAAAAATAAATAAATAAATAGTGTCAATAAAAAATAAATAAATAGTGCAGAGAAAAGAGGAAGGTGGCTTTCCAGGAGGTAAATCTCAAAAACAAAGATACCATGGTGTGAACTGCCATGATGAGTTTACAAATATGACACCAGTACTTTTCAGCCCAAGCTGAGTGAGGCTTGTATCACCTGAAGAGCTTTTCCCAAATATCTCTGGCTGGGCACAGTGGCTTAACCTTGTAATCCCAGTACTTTGAGAGGCCGAGGCGGTGGATCGTTTGAGCCCAGGAATTCAAGACCAGCCTGGGCAACATGGCGAAATCCTACCTCTACTAAAAATACAAAAATTAGCCAGGCATGGTGGCACGTGCCTGTAGTCCCAGCTACTCAGGAGGCTAAGGTGGGGGGATCAAATGAGCCTGGGAGGTAGAGGCTGCAGTGAGCTGTGATTACGCCACTGCACTCCAGCCTGGGTAATAAAGCAAGACCCTGTCTCAAAAAAAAATCCCTGGCCGGGCACAATGGCTCATGACTGCAATCCCAGCACTTTGGGAGGCAGAGGAAGGATCACTTGAGACCAGGAGTTCAAGACCAGCCTGGGCAACAAAGCAAGACCCTATCTCTACAAAAAAATTACAAATTAGCCAAGTGTGGTGGTGCATGTCTGTAGTCCCGGCTACTCAAGAGGCTGAGGTGGGAGGACTGTTTGAGCCCAAGAAATCAAGGCTGCAGTGAGCTATAATGAGACCACTGAACTCCAGCCTTAGCGGCAGAATGAGAACCCGACTCAAAAAAAAAAAAAAAAATCTCCTTGTGGGGGCCTTACCCCAGACCAATGTTATCAGAATATCAGGGAATGTGGCCCAGACATCACCAAATGATTCTAATGTGTAGCTGGAATTAAGAACAACCATTGTATCAGAGAAAACATAAGGAGGCCAGGCGTGGTGGCTCATGCCTGTAATCCCAGCACTTTGGGAGGACCAGGCGGTTGGATCACTTGAGACCAGGAGTTCGAGACCAACATGGGTAACATACCAAAACCCCGTCTCTACTAAAAAATACAAAAATTAGCCAGGCATGGTGTCCCACAGCTGTAGTCCCAGCTACTCGGGAGGCTGAGGGACAAGAATCACTTGAACCTGGGAGGCAAAGGTTGCAGTGAGCTGAGACTGTGCCACTGCACTCCAGCCTGGGTGGCAGAGCAAGACCCCCAGCCTGGGTGACAGAGCAAGACTCCATCTCAAAAAAAAACAAAAGAATAAAGGGGTATATGAAAAATTGGGAAGCCGGCCTAAAATGCTGTAGTTGTGACTATCCCTCCTTTCCATTTTGTTCCTATGAGTTTGTCATGGGAATTTGTCTTTGTCAGGATAGCCTGGATGGATCAACTGTGGACAGATGTGACCATCCTCTGCCTAATGCTATAATGAGTAGCAAGAGGTCAGAGAAGCTATGGAGAGAGCAGACGACACCAACAAATGTGGCCAAGACCAGGGGTCATCTGCACCCACGGAATGCAGAAATGTTTGGGAAAACTAGAGGACTAGTTTAGACCAATTGACAATTTTTGTTGCAATTTCTCCCCTTCCTTGGTTGTTAGCACTCAGGTTACTCTCTCAGGCCTGCCCAGCAGAAGAGCTAAGAAGTGTGTAAATTATCTTGACGTTACTCTTTCAGGAATTCCTGGCTAATTCCTTACACTCCTCCTCCCTCTACATCCTGGGAAACTGAGCAGAAGTTGAATCTTCTCTCTTAAATGTAACCTGGCTCACGTGCACTGAAGAGCATGCAAGAAACTTGACTAACAGAATTAGCTGGGCGTGGTGGGGGGTGCCTGTAGTCCCAGCTACTCGGGAGGCTGAAGCAGGACAATCACTTGAACCCAGGAGGCAATGAGCCAAGATCGCGCTGCTGCACTCCAGCCTGGGAGACAGAGCGAGACTCCATCTCAAAAAAAAAAGAAACTTGAGTGACAGAAGTCCTCATCCTAGTCTGGTCTGTAGATGTCCTCTGCTCCATCTCTCTTCTCCTCCCTCCTTTATGAAAAAACTTAGAGAGACAGACTAAGAAACTAAGCAGCACTTCCCATTGGTTGATTTCAGAGGCACCTGTGCAGACCAGGCCTCTCCTTGCACCACCCTGACTGCACTCTCACACATGAAATATCAATATCACTATTAAAATACAAACATCACTCGTACCCCACTGCCACAGCTAGAGATGGGGCTGAAAAGCCAAGCCCCTCTGAGAGACGAAACGGGGCTTGAATTCAGAGTGAGATGGAAAAAATTGAGATGAAAACTTTTCCTGCCAGCAGGATCTGCTTATTTGGGAATGGTGGGAAGGGAAGGGAAGGGAAGGGAGGGTGGGAAGGGCAGGGAAAAGGAACATAAAGGAAAATATGTTGGCACCTAGTAGCTGAAGGAGGGAGAGAAGGGTGTGCCAGGGAACGAGGGGGCGGGTGTGGAAAGACGAGGCCTGGGTGCTGATGACAGCCTTCCCTGACTCCACCAGCTTGCCAAGACCCAGCCCTAGATCCCAGAGGGGTCACAGCTGAGGTCCCCCCTCCAGAAGCCACTACCTTTCATTTTCTTGCTCCCCAGTCTCTGTGCCCAGAATCACTGTCTGCCAGGCTCTGGCCAACCTGTAGCCTCTCCGTGCTGAAAACGACCCGCTAAAAAAGCCAAGAGGGAAGGACCCAGCACACAGCCGTGAACCACATATACACGAAGAGGTAACTCTAAACTCCAGAGCTGGGCCCAGGAGGAGGGGAAGGGTGGAGGGGGGATGAGGTTTTTCCACTTCCATTCGCAACTGTCAGGCGGGTGATTAATGACCAACAGGTTTGGAATCGCCTCTATTGCCAGATCAGTATTGTTGCCCCTGACAGCTAATGAGGTTGGACAGGCTTCTCCACACTGAGCTTTACAGGCCCGCTCCCTCCCCTGCAGAGCTCACAAGCCCTGCCAGCTTTTGTGCACCGGAATGTTCAAGCCCCACCCCCCTTCATTCCTCCAACACCACCTCCCCCCAACTCCCTGAACCACCATCTCACCCCAAAATCTTGCCCATCCACCAAGGAAGCTGGGTAGTGAGGCTTCAAGCCCCAGCCTGCTCACAGATACCCATCTGTTACACCCACACCCCCAAAAGCCCCTTTCCCATTCCCACTGGAGCTTGAGCAATGGGGCTGGAAGGAAGGAAAAAGAACCAAAGCGAACACTTCAGCCCTTGGGTTTAAGATGATGGAAGGATCTCTGAACACTTGCTTTGGACGGTCTGGCCAGCAAGTTTAACAAGGCCATTCCACAGCCAGCTGTAAAATTCAAGAAGTATTTTATACACTCACGGCTTCAATCTGGCAGATGTGCTAAGGGGGTGAGGATGGAGGAGTGAGAGAACTTGGGAAAGGTGATTTAATAACAGTTAATAATGATTTTTAACCAACCACCTTACGCCTAGATACACAAAGCCAGGTGTCAGTGCAGAAATCAACCTGGTCCTAGGTCTAAGGGTAAGGAAATACTGGCTTTGTTTTCTGCTCTCTTACAAATAATATTTACCTTTGTGCTAGTTCACATCTTGATACGGTTAAGCACGTTTCCCTGTGGTTTAATATTTGAAGGAGTTGGAGCAACATAATAAGCAAACAGCATAAAAAGCCCAGAAAGACCCCCTCAGCTTAAAAATCTATTACTTTTCAGTGTGATATAAATGTATTTTGCTTCTGCTCAGAGCAATTTCCTAGTTTACTCTTATTAAACCAGAAGACGGCTTAGCAGAGTTCTTGATTTATGAAACACATACTAGATTCATTAAAACCTTAAAAGATTTAATACATTTTATCAGGACATTAAATCTGTGCAGGCTTTTTAAATCAAATACCTGCCATATTTCATTCCCCACACCCTGCAAACTTACTTAAGAACACTAAAATGTGGACTGACAAACATTATGGGTGTTTCAGGCCTGATTTCTAAGTGGCAGTAAAGTCCTCCCCTCCAGGATTTATAGCCTGGCTTCTCCCCAAGTCTGGTCTTCCAAAGAACAACTGACTCTCCTCTTTAGAATTTGGTTCGGTAGGATGAGCTGAGATCTACATTTCACACACATATGCACACACATTTCTTCCTCTCCCATTGCATAGCCAACGTTCCTATTATCATGGGTTCTCTAGGACCCCACCCTTCAACACCACTCGCCCATCTTCTATCTTCTTCCAGAACTCCTACTGGCCTCTGCTTCCATGCAGACACACTCCTAACATCTCCTTCTCTCCCTCCCTACTCCCCTGACTCTTAGCCCATACAGAACTGTACCCATGGAACACCTGCCATGCTTTGGGAAGCAAAGCAAAGCCCTCTTATTCTTAATCCCCTCATTTTTAAGTCTATCCACACCACAGTTGTTCTCAGCTGGGGGCAAATTTGTCTCACGCACACACAACTGGGGACATTTGGCAATGCTTGAAGACATATTTGGTTGTCACAACGAGGTGGGGGTGTTGCTACCAGCATCTAGGGATAGAGGCCAGAGAATCTGCTAAACATCCTACAATGCACAAGCCAGCCCCTCTACCCCACATCGTGGAAAAAAGAGAGAAAAAGAAAGAATGAAAGAAAAGAAGGAAGGGGCAGGCATGATGGCTCACACCTGTGATCCCAGCACTTTGGAAGGCCAAGGCAGGATTGCTCGAGGCCAGGAGTTTGACACCTGCCCTGGATAACACAGTGAGACCTCATCTCTACAGAAATAAAGCCGGGCATGGTGGCGTGCACCTGTAATCCTAGCTACTCAGGAGGCCGAGACAAGATGATCACTTGAGCCCAGGAGTTCAAGGCTGCAGTGAGCTATGATTGTGCCACTGCACTCCAGCCTGAGTGAGAGAGTGAGACCCTGGATCTCAACTAAGTAAATAAAATAAAAGAGGGGGAAGAAAGAAATCGAGGGAGGGAGGGAGCAAGAGAGAGGGAGGGAGGAAGGAAGGAAGGGAGGAAGGGAGGGAGGGAGGGACGGAGTGGGGGAGACTGTGAGTGTCTAGAACCTTACCAGGCATAAGTGGTCTCCTCCACTCTCCTTCATTGCTTTCACACTTAGGATTGTGGCTCATAGATAATAGTTGTTTCAATAAATGTTTACAGAGTCAAACTAAATCTCTGTCCTAACACACTGACATTTTCCAAAATCACAAATGTAAGGGAAAAAAAATTGGATTTACAATCAGTTGATCTGCCTGTGACCTTGAGGAATGGCTGAAGCCCTCTCTCCTGTGTGTCCTTATCTGTGAAATGGAGTTGTGGTGGTATTACCCTCATGGACTATTATGAGCATTCAATGAGCTGGTGTAACTGACAGCGATTTTACATTCTAAAAGGTCATGGGATGTTTATTATTTTTGTTGACAAACACTTATTGAGTGTTTATTGTATGCCAGGAATTATGTTAGACCCTCGGGGGGTGGGACAGATACAAAGATGAATAGACAAGCTCCTGCCCTCGCAGATCTTAGCCTTGTAAGAAGCACAGACAAAAACTAGAATGTTTCAGTGTATTATAATGAGTGTCGTATGACAAGAATGCACAGGATATTGTGGACACAGAGAAGAAACACCTAGAAGGGTCTTGAAAGATGAATAAGGCCGAGCACAGTGGCTCACGTCTGTAATCCCAGCACTTTGGGAGGCCTAGGTGGCTGGATGACTTGAGGTCAGGAATTCGAGACCAGCCTGGCCAATATGGTGTAAACCCCGTCTCTACTAAAAATACAAAAATTAGGCAGGCATGGTGGCACATGCCTGTAATCCCAGCTACTCGGGGTGCTGAGGCAGGAAAATCACTTGAACCCAGGAGGCGGAGGTTGCAGTGAGCTGAGATGGCACCACTACACTCCAGCCTGGCCTGGGCGACAGAGGAAAAAAAAAGAAAAAGAAAAAGAAAAAAAGAAAGAAAGACAGATGAATAAGAGCTGGTCTAGCAAAATAAAAAAAACTGCAGAATAAGATCATAAAAGCTGCAGTTATAGGCAGGGGATCACATCATTAAAAATCTTATATGAAAAGTTAAGAGGATTTGAACTTTTTTCGGTAGGAAACTTATTATGATGTTTTTAAGCAGAAAAGGGATCCATCAAAGAACACATGGGGGTAAACTGTGGACAACACACTGATTTAAGGGTAAATGGAAGGTGGGGGTGAGGAGATAGCTAACATTAGATTATTACAATAATCCAGGTGATAAAGCCCTGAATTGCCTGGAGAGGAAAGCCCAGGGTCAAGGAATAACTACGATGGATGGGGAAGATTAAAGACAGTGGCTGAGTGTCTACCCTGGATGGTTGAGTGAATGGTGGCGTCTTTAGTGGGAGGAGGATGTTTGAAGGGAACTATGAGTTCCGTTTTAGAGATGATCTCTTTCTCCCTGTCCAAAATCCAAAGAAATGGTATTCTAGTGTGTAGCTTGTGGTTATCAATATGTATTTAGGAGCATCACCAGCGACCACATAATTAGAATATGGAGAACACAAGAGGCCTTCCAGAAAGAGACAATAGAGAAAAGAAGAGCAGTAGGGGCCGGGTGCGGTGGCTCACCCCTGTAATCCCAGCACTTTGGGAGGTCGAGGCAGGTGGATCACTTGAGGTCAGGCATTCAAGACCAGCCTGGCCAACATGGCGAAATCTCGTCTCTACTGAAAATATAAAAATTAGCCGGTCATGGTGGCGGGCACCTGTAATCCCAGCTACTCGGGAGACCGAGGCAGGAGAATCACTTGAACCCAGGAGGCAGAGGTTGCAGTGAGCCAAGATTGCGCCATTGCACTCCAGCCTGGGCGACGAGTGAAATTCCGTCACAAAAAAAAAAACAGAAAAGAAAAGAAAGAAGAGCAGTAGGTCAAGGACACAAGGACAGAGTTCTGAGGAATAGTTGAGGATGAGCTCAACTAGAGATTAAAAATAGGAAAATTCAGACAAGTAGACAGAAACCCAGGAGGGAGGGAGTGATTCACAGAGGCCAAGGGAGGAAGAGTCTAAGAATTCAGGGGACAAATCAATAGCACCACGTGCATCAGAGAAAGCGACTGAAGGGTTAAGAACAAGGGAATGGAAAGTGAGGAAGTAACGACATCAAGTGTAGGCTACTTTTTCAAGAAACTTTGCTCAAAGGGAAGGAGACAAATCAGGTAAGAACTAGAGGCTTACATAGGATCAACGGAGAGGCTTAGAGGGAAGGGCGTGGAGAAATTGCACAAGATTATAGGCTGTGGCTAAAGAACTGGTAGAAAGAGGAGATAATTAAAGGCTCTAGGTCCCTGAGGAAAGAGGAGGGATACGATTAAGAAACCAGGTGAAAAAAGATTGGCCTAGAGTAAACATGGGTTACCTTATCCTCTGAGACTCACATCGCCGTATACAAGGTATCTCTTATATACAGCAAAAAAGAAGTCTATCAATGACATAGAGAGATGTGTAAATACATATATGTAGATAAAATTTCATATAATCTTTTAAAAAAAATTCCTGTTACTGTAAGTTCAGAGTTGGAGGGTTAGAGATGTCAAAGGAAAGGTCATCCCAGGCAAATCAGGCCAAGCCAAAATGCAACTGCCAGGCTTGTTGGAACAAAATCTCAAGGTCACAGGCTACTCTTCTCATCACCCCTCAAATGCAGTAGGAACCTTAGCCAAGCCCCCTTTCTGAAGACTTCTTCTCCCTGGACTTCTCTACAAGTAAAATAAATGGGTTGGATTAAAATCATAGGCAATAACCTATCTGTCCATCAACAGGTGAGTGGATAAACAAATTGTTGTATAGCTACACAATGAAACACTACACAGCAATAAAAAGGAATGAACTCTTGATAGACTCAACAACATGGATGAATCTCAAAATAATTATTCTGGGTTTTCAAAAAAGCCAGACCCTCCCCCACAAAAAAGGGTACATACTATACAATTCCATGCATATAAAATTCTACAAAATGCACACTAATCTAGAGTGGCAAAAGAAGATCAGTGGTCTTTTGAGAATCGAAAAGGGGGTGTACCAAAGAGGGGTAAGAGGGAGAGATTACAAAGAGGCATGGGGAAATTTGGGGCCATGATGCATGTGTTCATTATACTGATTGTGGTAATGGCTTCACAGGTATTTGCAAGTCAAAATGTAAATTGTAGACTTTATGAACAGTTTATTACATGTCAATTATATCTCAATAAAGCTGTAAAAATGTGTAATCACAAAAGGACCTTTAGGTGCCTTCTAGCTGACTTTCAACTCAATTTTTTTCCTGATGGCTCTTTGATCTCTTTACCCAATGCCTTGAAGAAACATCATTAGCCCCAAGCAAATATGCTTTTGTTCTTGGAAGGCACCAATCCCGGTTTTTGCAACTGAAAAAAAAAGAAAAGAGGAAAAATTTCTGAGCCCCCTTAATAACTAAGGATACAGTTCACTCCTCTTCCCATAAGCTCACCAAAATCTTACTGGAATCAAATGTTCTAAAAGATTATTTCTATTCCCTGTTTTAGGGCCTAAAGTGAAAAAGATAAACTTTAAATCAAACGGAAACTTTTTCCAGCAACTTCCACTCTTGTGATACTGAACTGAACTGAAGCAGAAGATTTTAAGAGTTGCCTGAATCCTTTGGACCTGCTTATTGGCTTAAAAAGTCTAATTGTGAAATTGACTTAAAAATTCCTAATTGTGAAAGAAGGGGTCTCTTCTTTGGCATGGCACTCTCACTAACAATTTTCTTGGTAAGAGGACCCAACAAACAGCAATAGAAATAGAAAACTATGGATTGCTAGGTGAGAGTATTTTTTAACCTGCTTCAATCTACAACTGCAAAATGAACTGGCCCAATTTAATTAGAAAAATTTCAGTTTCTGACCACTGATCTACATTACTGAAAGGTTACATGTGAAATAAATGTGGGGTGTGTGTGTGTGTTTGTGTCTGAAATTGAATCATTTTCTAACTCATTCACTATAAAAAAGAAATAGACGGGATCATTTGAACTCTGCCTTTGCAATTTATCATCTTCGTGATCTTAGACAATCTCTTAATTTCTCTAAGCTTCCACTTTCTCCTCTAAAATGGAGTTGAACTCAAAGGGCTGACCTAAAGTTTACATAAAATGAGAAAATGTAAGGTACTGGGGCTGATACATAGACAGTATTCAATAAAGCTTTATGAAATCTGTATTGTAAATATCCATTGAGGTATAATTTCAGAAGCCTTTATCTCTTCTTCTGATAAGCCTTCATTTGGTTATTATTTAATACCATACAACTTAAAGTTTATCATTCTCTCGCCCTGTGTCACATTAATAATCTGCAATGATAACCCACAAACATGCAAGAATACATTAAGGGAATTTGCTATTTAAAACAGCAACAGCTAACACTTGGTGAACACTTAAAATGTACCAAATGTTGTATATGCTTTTCACAACAGTCCTATAAGTTTCATACCATTATTACTTTAATTTTATAGATGAAGAAACTGAGGCAGGGATAGATCATTTTTCCAATGTTACAGAATAAGAGGCAGGCTCCAGGATTTAAACAAGGCAGCCTGACTGTGAAGTATCTGAGCTAAATCACTACTCTATACTGTGAGGTTTTTTAAAAAATAAAATTTTAGCCGGGCGCAGTGGCTCACGCCTGTAATCCCAGCACTTTGGGAGCCCAAGGCACGTGGATCACTTGAGGTCAGGAGTTCAATACCAGCCTGACCAACGTGGTGAAACCCCATCTCTACTAAAAATACAAAAATTAGCCAGTCGTGGTGGCATGCGTCTGTAGCCCCAGCTACTCGGGAGGCTGAGGCAGGAGAATCGCTTGAAGGGAGGCAAAGGTTGCAGAGCTGAGATCGCGCCACTGCAGTCCAGCCTGGGTGACAGAGCGAGACAGGAAGGAAGGAAGGAAGGAAGGAAGGAAGGAAGGAAGGAAGGAAGGAAGGAAGGAGAAAAAGAAATTGTAAACATTTTTGTTAAACAAATCATCACAAATGTATCTGCTGGGTAACATAAAAATCACAGGTCTCTTAAGAAAGAGATTTTCAGAAGTACTAGATCATCATGTACTAGCACATCACGAAGTCCATCCCCCTGCCTTTAGGCACGTCCACAACTAAATAACTCAGGTCTGGTAAAATGACTCCTAAGAACAAAATCCCAAAACTTCTAGCCACAATTCACTCCAAAGTTTAATGTGAGGAAATTTTTGTGTTTTTATTATTTTTAATTGACACATAATAATATACATATTTGTGGGAAGGGGAGGGGAGACGGGTTGCCAGAGGTTGGTTAAAGGAAATTCTTAAATTACAAGTAATTTAAATACTTGATGCTGCAGGCTAGCCCCCATTTCATGGGTTGATGAACCCTAATATTTCCATTTTTCTTACTCAATTATTAAATAAACTATTAAATAAGCATGCCCAGCTGAGGTTATATCACTGAACAGGGAGAGAAAAAACTCAAGTTCTGATAGGATTGATCGAGAGATTGGCCAGCTGTGTCTGTTTGGGGTGGGGGATGCAGGGACAGAGTAGGGAGATGAAAGGCCTTCATTTATGGAGATGGGCACAGAGCTCCCAGACAGCACCATGTAACCCTCGTATGGGTTTCACCATGTAATGCTGAAACATCCCAACACCCAGAGCAAACGCAGGAAAGGTAAACGGGCCAATCCCAAGCAGGCATGCCTGGAAAAAACCACACTTCCCTTTTCCTGAGTCTTAAATCTGTCTAACACCACCAGCTTGCCATCTTCCCGGTGTAAAAGTTTTTCTTTTACTGAAGGCTATAATTAAGTGGACTCTTTCTCTCCTGCAAACAAAATATTAATAACCTCAGTGGCTGAATTAGAAATGCCCCAATGTGATGCTGGTGAATAGGGCAGGTGGAGGACAACGTGAGGCCCTTAGACTAGGAGACACAAACTCTGGATTCCGGGCCTGGTCCCACGTTGCCTTCAGTCTGTTTTTACTGGGCACCTAAGCCCCGGGGGTGCGGAAGGAAAGTCAGTCTCTGCTCTCCCGGGAACGTACAGTTTATCTAGAAAGACGAAGTGCACTAGCCCCTGTGCACTGTGGCAGGAGTTTAAAAAGCAGTGAACTCAAGATATTAAGGAAACACAAAGGAAACTTTCCTTGGCTTTTACCCTTGAACCTCGCTGAACTTCTTAGATTCCGTTCATTAAAATTAGAATAATAATTCCTTGTTAATATACTTTGTGGCGTTGCAGGATCCCAAGGGCCAAAGCTCCCAGAAAAATATAAAGAACAACTCAAGGTAGGGATTTTTGATTGGTGAGGTAATGATGCTAATCTGTACATTGAAAAGACTGTTTCATTTCAGCTGTGCTATAGGAAAGCAAACAGTTGCAACTCGCCAGTACCTTATCAAGGAGAGAAAAAAAAAAAGGCCGCGCATGGTGGCTCATGCCTGTAATCCCAGCAGTTTGGGAGGCCGAGGCAGGAGGATTGCTTGAAGCCAGAGTTTGAGACCAGAAATACCAAGACCCTGTCTTTACTAAAAATAAAATTGTCAAGTGTCGTGGCGTGCGCCTGTGGTCCCAGCTACTCAGCAGGGTGAGGTGGGAGGATCGCTTAAGCCCAGGAGTTCGAGGCTGTAGTGAGCTATGATCGTGCCACTGCACTCCAGCCTGGGCAAAAGAGCGAGACCTTGTCTCTAAAAAAACCAAAACGAACCAGGTTCGGCCTAATGCAGAAGGAAATCCGGAGCAATCCCCAAAGTCAACGCCTTGGAAAGGTTCGCCCTGGGTCTCAGTACTCCGGGGCATGCGCGTCCTGCCGCTCGCTCTCGGGGAGCTCCCACCAACACCGCCCTCATCCCCAGCCCCAGGACGGATACCCAAGACCGAGGTCCAGGACCGCACCGACCAAGTCGCGGGCGATCCCTGGCGGCCAGCTACGGCCATTGACCGCTGGGAGCGCGAGGGGCGGGGCGCAGAGCGAGCGCGGGGCGGGGGTGTGGTCTTCTCGCGTGAATTGATGGCGTCATCGAAGCGACGGCCCGGAAGGAAGTCGCGTGCTGAGGGGTGTGACGGTTTTCTTGCTCGTGGGCTCGGACGAGTACGGAGCGCCTGCAGGGACAGCCTGGTACGCGGCCCCCGCCCCTTCGTGCGCGCGCTGGGCCTAGCTGCCGCTCAGGGTCGGGGCTGACCCGTCACTTTCGGGAACCTCAGTCCCAGCAGCTTCTCTCCCTCAGCCGGCCCGCTCCTGGAGAGAGACAGAAACCCTTTTCTGTCGCGTCCTCTCCTTGCGAGCCGCAGGGGGACCGAGCGGAGGCTATTGGAGCCGCAGCCCCAGACCAGGGCGCTTGACCCTCTCTCGGAACGGGGCGGGGAAGGGGCGCGAGTGACCTCGGGGAGGGAAGGGCACTGGCAGGAAAGGACGCAACTGCAGATCGGTAGCCGGAGGCCGCCACGGTAAAATAAGCGCCTCGCAGATGTCCGCGCCCCGGTTACGTTAGACCTGGGAGGCAGAATCCACGCCCTGCGCTCACGGGCCCACGCACGCACAGCTGAACTTTGCAGTCAGTCACCATAGTTCCAGATCATTCAGCGTTCAGGATCCCACTCCTCCGCGTCCTGGTGCCTGAACGCGGTTGGACCTAGGAGCCTAGAGGCTCGCAGTTTGGGACATTGCCTTTCTCTCTGACCACGGGCTTGGGGATCTGTCAGGTGCAAAGTGCCAAAGTATATGGGGGGGAGTGTGGCTTCAGGCTTGTTCAGAGCCCTGTCCTGTTTAGGGCCAAAGGAATAACTGGGAAGGTGGATGCGAGGCCAACGAATCCTACCTTGAAACTCTGCTCGCCTGCTGGCTCTGCCACTCCAGCATCTGAAAGGAGTAAATAATGGTTTCCTTTGAAACTGCAGGCAATTAGGAGTGGGAGACTCTGACCAGAATTACATAGCCACAACTGCCTGTCATTTGGCATCCTCTGTAATTTGGGCCAAAGTACTGCAGCTGCCTCTCTTCCCTACTACTGGTAGGAAAGGTTCAGTGACAGCACATTCGTGTTCACAGGAAGACAAGGCTGTGTTCTGAACCCTACCCAGCTGGCACGGGTTCTCCCTTGAGCAACGGCTGTATCCGGAGCCAGTGCTTCCTCAGTGCGGTGGGGGCTCTAATTTTACAGTTAAAGAAAGGGGAACGTTGACTGAGAACGAGGAGGAAGCGAGTTGTAGATCTAGCCTTGTGTTCACACGACACCAGGCTGGATATGAGTCACTCGCAGGGAGCTCAGCTTGGTGAGGTCCTCTCGCTGTTGTGGCCTTTTCTCCTGCACGTTGGACCACACACATTTTCCCGTGTCTTTTCCCTAGGATAAAGGCTCACTGATGGCTCAGTTGGGAGCAGTTGTGGCTGTGGCTTCCAGTTTCTTTTGTGCATCTCTCTTCTCAGCTGTGCACAAGATAGAAGAGGGACATATTGGGGTATATTACAGGTAAGGCAGAGACAGGGAGAAGCCGGCAACTTCCTGTTAAATAGCTCCCTTTCCTGGTCATTGCTTTCCTAGCAGATTCTGCTGAACATCTCTATTTATATTTCCTTGAATAGGGGAGCCTTTTCAGATGGAGCTTTTTATGTCAGTAACCACGGGAAAGAGAATACACACACACACATATATATGTAAATTTAGAACTTCACTTAGTAGTCCAAGATGATGCCATGGGTGGTGATTAATAAATGTGTATATAGATTTAGAGACAAAATCTAAAGGAAACTGGTGCTCCTCATTGATCATCCCTAAAATACTGTTTTCTCCTACATTCCTCTGGCAGTCTTAGCTCTACATCCCTCTGGCAGTCTTAGCTCTACATCCCTCTGGCAGTCTTAGCTCTACACTGCTAGGTTACCTTTACAAAAGCCAGCTGAGTACCAGTTCTTGATGGCAACTTGAGAAGGTAGCCTACTCTGCTAATTTGGGATGCTCTTTTAAAATTAACATTTCAGCCAGCCTGGGTCACATAGTGAGACCCTATCTCTAAAAAAATAAAATAAAAAATAAAATTTTAATTGGCCGGCTGTGGTGTCACACACACGTAGTCCTAGCTACTCAGGAGGCTTAGATGGGAGGATCACCTGAGCCCAGGAGATTGAGACCAGCCTGAGCAACATAGTGAGAGCCCATCTCTACAAAAAGTAAAAAATTAGCCGAGCATGGCAGCACGTGCCTGTAATCCCAGTTATTTGGGGGGCTGAGGTGGGAGGATCACTTGAGCCCAGAAGTTTGAGGCTGCAGTGAGCTATGATCACACCACTGCACTCCAGCCTGGGTGACAGAGCAAGACCCTGTCTCTAAAAA